>NC_000010.11:93930974-94234004 GCF_000001405.40 Homo sapiens | reverse complement strand
TTACAGCAAGGAGCCTAAATTCCATACAAATTCATTCTTTTTACCATTTTTTTTTTTTAGGTGGAGTCTCACTCTGTTGCCCAGGCTGGAGTGCAGTGGTGCGATCTTGGCTCACTGCAACCTCTGCCTCCTGGGTTCAAGCGATTCTCCTGCCTCAGCCTCCCTAGTAGCTGGGATTATAGGCGCGCGCCACTATGCCTGGCTAATTTTTATATTTTTAGTAGAGACGGGGTTTCGCCATGTTGGCCAAGCTGGTCTCGAACTCCTGACCTCAGGCGATCCACCTGCCTCGGCCTCTCAAAGTGCTGGGATTACAGGCATGAGCCACCGCGCCCAGCCCCAATATTCTTTACTTGTTAATATTTATGTAGGGTTCCTATCCCCACCTACTTCCCCAGATAATATGAATAATACTTTTGTAAATTGAAACTGAAAAATAAATAGGACAGATACAAACACAAATAGGCATATGGGACGCGTTAGTTATGGAAGCTGGGCACTGAATGTAGGTTTGAGTTTTTCTGGCAGCTATGGCCAAAAGGGGAAAGTAGAGGGTAATGTGGTTTGTACAGATATTGGTGGAGGAGGACTGCCTGGGGAAACTTGGCCCATCTGGCCCTCTTGATCTTTTAAATATTACTCTTGGATCAATCCAGTCCCTTAGTGATCAACATGAAGCCCATTGTTTTCACCTCTTCTGTAGAATTGATTTTTACTGAATCAAGCTTTGACATGAAGCCACCAGCCCATTTTGGGGGACCTTGTTGTAAAGTATTATTTGCATTACAGGATGTTAAGTGGGACTTTCCCTATTCTGAAACTCCTGCTGAGACCCACAGATGACAATGCACCACACCTTCTAAAGAGAGGCCCTCACAAGGTGTTACCTGAACTGCTTTGCCCACAGTGGTCTCCCACTCTCTTTCAGCCCATGCAGAGAAAGTGGATCTGAGCAGATAGCTTGGGAATATTTCTCTGGGGGGAATTGTGGGAGAGCTCACCTTTCTGTGAGAGGATGAAGTCACCCCAAGTGCAGGGGGCAGTAAGTGAATTCCCTGGGGACATTGACCTGTGTCCCGGGCAGTCTGTAGATCACGTGAACTGGTGCATGACTCTTGCCTAAAGATTTGAGGCTAGCTGGAGCTCCCTGGTGGCAAAGGGAGAGAGGATTCCAGTAGATATGTCCTGTGCTTGCAGAGTTGGGAGGGCAACATGCTGACTATTTCCTGTGAGTCAGGAGGGGATACTGTGCAAAGAGGTGGGGCTTGAGCTGTCTTGAAGGGTCTGCCTGCCAAATGAGGCGACCCTAGCAGAAAGGGCCTGTGAGGACAGGACCCCAGGGGGTGAGGAATAAGAGGTTGACCAGAGGGTACACTGCATTTTGCTAGGTAATTGTGCAGTGGGGAGATGGAAAAAATTAGAGAGAGTAACTAGTAAGAAAACCTAAAAGCACCCTCCATTGGTCTCTGTGAGGGCACCAAGGCCAGATTACAACTGCCCCATCAAGTAAGACTCTGTGCTCCCTCTATCCCCATCCTTTCCCATCTCCTCTCCTGTCCACTTCTTTTCTGCAGACACCCAGTTGCAGGGAAAAGGAAGAAAAAAGATAAACTCTATCTTCCTCACTACTACAAGTCTCTGAGACTGGTTGGGTTGTGAAACGTAAGGAAGGGAAGAAGATATATATTGAATGAGATATTAAAATTTTGATTTAGATTAACTGGGTTACAAAATCACTGTGTAATATATAAGACATCCAAAGACATAAAGAAGTACAACATGACAAACACCCATGTGCCAATCTCTCAGTTTAAAAAATCAAACATCAACAATGTGGTTGAGGCCCTAGTGTATTCCTCCAAGAGCACATACTCTATTCTTCCCTCACCAGACAGGACCACCACTGGTACTTTGGGGTTCTCCTTTCCTTAAAATTCTTAATACTTTTCCAACATATGCATATATCACTAAGCAAGTTACAGAATTGTGTATTTTTAAACTTTATGTAAATAGTATCACATGGTAGATAGTCTTAGACCAGGGGTCCCCACCCCTGGGCCGCAGACCAGTACTGGCTCATGGCCTGTTAGGAACTGGGCTGCACAGCAGGAGATGAGCAGCGGGCAAGCAAGCATTACAGCTTGAGCTCTGCCTGCTGTCAGATCAGCAGTGGCATTAGATTCTCATAGCAGCGCAAACCCTACTGTGAACTGTGCATGTAAGGGATCTAGGTTGCACGCTCCTTATGAGAATCTAATGCCTGATGATCTGATGTGGAACAGTTTCATCTGAAAACCATCTGCCCCCACCCCCACACCCCGAGTCTGTGGAAAAATTGTCTTCCATGAAACTGGTCTCTGATGCTAAAAAGGCTGGGGATCCCTGTTTTAAACAACTTGCTTTTTTTTTTTTTATACAGCCTTAAATTTGCAAGACTCATTCATATTCAAGAGCATAGGAGAATGAGATTGTGTGTTAACTAGGAAAGTGACTGGAAAACTACAGGATCTCTCAATGTAGCATAATCCAGGGTTGAGGGAGGGAGAGCTAGTTGGAAGCTTTGAAAGGCAATCAAATCAGAAAAGTAAAAGCATTTTATGATTTCATCCCACTAAATCCAGCTTGTCCTATAACTGGATTCTTATAAGACAGTGAGAATTCTTTTTTGGGGAATGAAGTGGAGGTTACAAACAAATGAAGTGAATGAATGAATGAGACATGGTTCTCACTGGTTTCTTATTGTGTGAGTAATGAAGTAGTTATGGTTCACTTGGGGGCAAAGGGCAAACTTCAGCAAAGATCAATTCTTTATTGTTGAATTGAGAATTGAAACTATTTTTAAAACTTTTATTCATCTTTATGATTATAAAGATACTACTCATTGTAGAAAATCTAGAAAATATCAAAAATATAGAAAACCCACTTACAATTCTACCACACACAGACATTAGGTATATTTTCTTTCAGTATTTCTTCTATTCTTGTCTATATGGGCATATAAATATTGCTGAGGTTATTAGGGATAGACAGTTTTGTTCCCAGATAGATTCATGTATTATGTGTCTCCTGCTTTCCAATGATATAAAAACTTTTCAGGCCAGGTGCAGTGGCTCATGCCTGTAATCCCAGCACTTTGGGAGGCTGAGGCAGGGGAGATCACTTGAGGCCAGGAGTTCCAGACCAGCCTGGGAAACATAGAAAGACTCCATCTCTAAAAAAATTTTTTTAAATAGCCATTGTGCTGGTACACTCCTTGTAGACCTAGCTACTTGGAAGCCAAAGTGGGAGGATTACTTGAGCCCAGGGTAAGAGGTTACAGTGAGCTATGATCTTGCTCCTGCACTCCAGCCTGGGTGACAGAGTGAGATCTTATCTCTTAAAAAATTGTTTTTTACCTCATGCCTGTAATCCTAGCACTTTGGGAGGCTGAGGCGTGTGGATCACTTGAGGTCAGGAGTTAAAGATCAGCCTGGCCAACATGTTGAAAGTCCATCTCTACTAAAAATACAAAAAAATTAGCAGGGCATGGTGGCGTGCCTGTAATCCCAGCTACTTGGGAGGGTGAGGCCGGAGAATTGCTCAAATCTGGGAGGTGGAGGTTGCAGTGAGCGAAGATTGCACCACTGCACTCCAGCCTGGGCGACACGGTGAGGCTCCGTTTAAAAAAAAAATTTTGTTTTTTATAAACATCATTTTTGATGGCTATATAATATTCCATTACCTGGATATAGCATATTATTTCCTTTAACTATTTTCCTATTGTTGTTCATTTGGGTTATTTTAAACTGACACCATGACTGAGTAAATACTCTTGATTGTAAATATTTGTACTTCTTACTAGTGGCTTAAGAGAGCTAAGAATTTAGTTAGAGGAAGCAAAATGTACAATGTCCATAAAAAAACCAAAGTCACTTAATAAGTATGCTTTCTCTTCCCATTTAATTGCTTAAAAAATAAAAAAAATCTCTATTATGTTGGTAATAGTTAATTGCTTGGAACCTAAACACTTTCAAACCTAAAAGTGCACATATAAGCTCTGCCTCCATAATCATTGCATCATAAGAGTATCTGGCCACTTATCTCCTGTGTACAGAATAGCTGTCAACAAAAGACCTATTATACGTGGTACTTTCGCCTATCTATCTGTAAAGATCAGTTTAGTTTTAAGCCAAATATAGGAGCATGAAACTAGGCAGCAGTGGGTCTGGGGTGTGAGACAAAATGCACTGGGATCAATGTTGAGGTCTGTCCTGGTTTGAGATTATTCCTCATTTAGGGAAATCACCAGGTTCTATGGTCTTCTTGGATTTTGGATTTAAACTCAGTTGAATCTTAAAGTCCCATTCACTCTAGGCCTCCATAGGTCACTCTGAGGCCGTTCCTGTAATAAGAGAATCTAGAACATGGTATGTGGCAGCCAGCCTCCAAGACGGCCTCCCATGGTCCACATCTCCTGATTTTGTGGCTTTGTGCAGTCCCCACCCACAAGGAATCCATGCTGTCCTATGTGATCAGTACAATATGGCAAGAGTGACTATGTATGATTCCCAAGGCTATCATATAAAAGGCATTGCAGCCTCTGCCTCCCTCTCTTGGATCACCCACTTCAGAAGGAGCCAGTCACCGTGCTGTGATGGCAGTCATGTTGTGGGGTCAGGAAGCAAGGTCCCTGGCCAACAGCCAGCACCAACTTGCCAGACACAGAATGATAAGCATCATTAAAATAAAATGACTTTATCAAAATATGATAATTCTTTTCTTAAAAGAAATGTAATACATATTTTCTTTTTTCTGTTTTTTTTTGTTTGTTTGTTTTGTTTTTTGATACAGAGTTTCCCTCTTATTGCCCAGGCTGGAGCGCAATGGCATGATCTCGGCTCACTGCAACCTCCACCTCCTGGTTCAAGCGATTCTCCTGCCTCAGCCTCCTGAGTAGCTGGGATTACAGGCGCCTGCCACCATGCCCAGCTAATTTTTGTATTTTTAGTAGAGATGGGGTTTTACCATGTTGGCCAGGCTGGTCTCAAACTCCTGACCTCAGGTGATCTACCCACCTTGGCCTCCCAAAGTGCTGGGATTACAGGCATGAGCCACCGTGCCCGGCCTACACGTTTTCTTTATAGAAAATTGATCACAAAGAGAATCTAAATCATCTGGATATAACCTCCTGTTCTCCAAGGCTTTGTTTTTTTTTCTCCCCACTTTTTCCTTCTTTTGAGCCATGCCTGATGCATTTGTATGACTATTTTAAATGTCAAGGACATGATCATTTGGGTTTATTCTAAGTTAAGAAAGTTGAAAACGACAAAAAAAAAATTAGAACTCTGGGAGTTTTCATCTCCTCCCCTAACCCAGAATCCCTACCTAGGGACCTGGAGAATCAAAGAAAAATCTCAGTAATGTTATGAACTAACATTCCTTTATAGTGAGAACCCTCATGAGGATGGTGAATCTCAGGAAGCAATAACAATATCAATAGCTTCTCTTTATGAGGCCTTACTATACGCCACGCACATGTGTCAAATACTATATTATTTCACTGAATTCTACCTAAAGATGTAGGTGCTTTTTAGTATTATCCCCATTTTGCAGACAAAGTAACTGAGGCTCAATGAAGTCAAGTAGCTTGCCTGGATCACACAGGTATTCCTTGGGGGAATCAGGATTTGATTCCTGGATAAGGATTTGATTCCTAATTTGATTCTAACTTAAGAACTCATGCTCTTCTTCCTCACATACCATGCTGCCTCCCACAGGAGTAAGAACAGTTACTTTATGCCAGGTAGCTGAGGCTAAAAGGGGATAAAGCAGGCAACCTGATGAACAGAATGGTGATTTTGTTATTAGCTTGATGGAAAAAGCATAAGAACAGGATATCATAGTGGTCAAGCTCATGGGCTCCGAAACCAAGGTTGCCTGTATTCCCAGCAATGCCAGGTGACCTTGGGTGAATGACTTAATTTCTCTTAGCCTTAGCTTCCTCTTTTGTATAATGTGGGAATAAGAATAGTATCTACCTGATAAACCTGTTTTGAGAATTAAAACATACAATATAGGGAATGTGCATAGCTCATACTTGACATATAGTGTTTGTTAATAATGAGAGCTTACATTATTGGAGGCCTATTGTCAATGCTAGCCACTGTTATTACTAAGGGCAGTTGGTGGTCTATAGCATATAGCCCTGGAACACTACATAAGGCAGGCCTGAAAAGAGACAGATAACAGTGGGGTTTACAGGACAGGAAGGGGAATAGTCAGTGGTGGGGTTGATCGGGTTATGCAACCAAGTAATTTCACTTGGCTTGGCAAAGAACACAGGATCACAGCAGACCCAGTGAAGTAGGATTGTGACTGGCCCACAGGGGCTGAATTCTGCAGCATCTTTGAGGGACAGGGCCTTTGGTGCTGAAAGAAGATAATACATTTCCCAAGTTAATCATTTCCAGTTACCTGGCTTGGGTAAAGGTGAGTCCCTGGACAATTAATTCAGTGCCATTCAGGTGATGAGAAGCGATTGTGCCAAGATAACCATATTCCCCACTGACTATACCTGAGGCCAGCCAAGAACTCCATGACAGCGTTGTAGTTGCCCATGTTCCAGCAGCATTTGGCCACATGCACCAAATATGAAAAGACTTCTCGCTTCTCCTCCATGGAGCCTGCCGTGAGGATCAGCCATGTCACCCAGGAGCTCACCTGGAAAACACACAGAGACATTCACGGGAATTATGTCCTAGAAGCTTGGCAATTTTTTTTTCCAAAAGCATTCTTTGTTTTTCTAAAAATATCAATTTGGTATTAGGAAATGAAAGACCTGTAGGTCCTGGCTGGGCGTGGTGGTTCACGCCTGTAATCCCAGCACTTTGGGAGGCTGAGGTGGGCGAATCACCTGAGGTCAGGAGTTTGAGACCAGCCTGGCCAGCGTGGTGAAAGCCCGTTTCTACTAAAAATACAAAAATTAGCTGGGCATGGTGGCAGGCGCCTATAATTCCAACTACTTGGGAAGCTGAGGCAGGAGAATCGCTTGAACCCTGCCTCAGCTTCAAGGTTGAAGGTTGCAGCGAGCAGCGAGAGGCAGAGGTTGCAGCGAGCCGAGATTGTACCACTGCACTGCAGCCTGGGTGACAGAGCAAGGCTCTGTCTCAAAAAAAAAAAAAAAAAAAAAAAAAAGACCTATAGGTCCTTAATCTCTTATAACTCTCTCTTTATTTTCTTTAAAACAAGAAGGCTGAAAAAGGCAATTCATAAAATCCTTTGATTGAAAAAATTTCTTTTGACTATAAGAAAATAAGGCCTAAGGATAATTTTGATTGAAAGATATTTGACTGATGGACATTAAAATGAAATGTACTTAACCCATCAGTTAAAGACATTTACTAAGTATTAAAATACATAATATCAAAGGAAAAATAAAAACATTTTTAAACAATCTTTTACAAATGCTTTATCTATTATGCCCCTCAAATGACAAAATATTATGAACAAATATTTATAGAGCACTTATTATGTGCCAGGAGCCATTCTAAGCACTTTACCTATATTACCTCATTTATCTCTCACAACAATTCTAAGAGTCAGGGACTGTTACTGTCCTCAGGGATGTGTGTAAGGTCTTCAACCACGTTGAAGGTAGCAAAGCCTAGGTTTGAACTTAGGGTGTCTTCTCCAGAGGTTGCATTATCAACCACTCACAAAATGCCTGATGTGTTTACACAAACTCTAATGTTCTTCAGTTCTGGGCTTAAAGTTATTCTAATGTGATTCGTTTTTCCTGCTACACAGACTGGAGGACAATATTTAAAAATAATCCATGTCTACACCCTCCCCTTATGATATGCAGCCTCTAAATCATCTGCTTCTGCTCTATGATTATTTTGCTGCCACCTTTACTTTGGTGCTTAGATGCTGGTGTCCACCTAAGTTACCTTCTCTATCCTGACTAGCATCTGGGTTGATAAGCTTGGTTGTCAACAGACCAAAGTCTTGGTCTTGACCTCACATGGCCCTACAAGCTCCGCTTGGTTCAGCATCAGTGCTGAAGCCTGGACAGCAACACTTTTCTCTGGACTAAGTTAGAGAGGCCGGAACACAGAGTTTATGGTGACCCATGACAACTGCAGGAAATAAGAGCTCAAGGTCAATGGCATACTGCCTGTAAGTGGATAAAATGATAAGAATTAATGGCATTGAGTGCTGGCAGCAACCACAGAGGGCAGTGCAACCCCATTTTTCCAGATCGAGAATCTATGGCTCATGGGAGAAGTGACTTTTCAAGGTCACAATTCTTGTTGATGTCAAAAGTAGGACTCCCAGCCCAGTGCTCTTTCATCTGGTGAAAGTTGACAGTTTCTTTCTTTCTTTCTTCCTTTTTTAGACAGAATCTTGCTTCGTTGCCCAGGCTGGAGTGCAATGGTATGATCTTGGCTCACTGCAACCTCGAGTAACTGGGATTACAAGGCCTGCCACCTCGCCCGGCTAATTTTTGTATTTTTAGTAGAGATGGGTTTCACCATGTTGGCCAGGCTGGTCTTGAACTCCTGACCTCAAGTGATCCACCCACCTCGGCCTCCCAAAGTGCTGGGATTACGGGCGTGAGCCACCGCACCCAGCCGAAAGGTGAGTTTTTTCAGACTTGGCTCTGGGTAGGTCCTCCTAAGCACTCAGTTTTGAGCTGCATATGTGAAGGCAGAGCAGGAATAAAAGGAGAAAATACTGAGAAGAGTCCAAAATATGACTAAAGAGATGAAAAAAACAAAATGAATGGTTGCTCACACCTCTTTCCTATCCCTACATAGAAACAAACAGGAAAATCAGAGCAACAGGGAGTTTTAGTGATAAAACAGGTCTATTCTCTGGTATGAGCCAGAGGCACTGGAGTAATTAATAATCTTCCTCTTCCCTTCTGAAACAGACTGAAGCAAAACGTGCTGGGCTACCTGCCACCCTCAAGCTCAGTCCTGAGCCTAGTGGGCTCCCAGCATGTGCCTCTGCCCTCCATCTGTACTGGACTTCACTGGGCCCTCAGGTGGCATCAGGAGAACAGGTCTGGAATCAGACCCTTGGGACAAACCCTGGTCCACATCATCCCAGGAACTGTCTGGGATTCCTAGTGCTGACCCGTCTCCTGCAGCTATGAGTAACCCCTTGCTCACAGTCTCCATGCCTGTCCTCTCACTTGATTCCTTGGTTAAAAGTCACCTTTGTGAAACCCTGGCTCACTAGAGCAAGAAATTATTTTGCTAACAGAGACTGAGTCATTGGTGCATCCATCTAATTCTTCCTTTAGTCTGACTGGCTTTTGATGAGCCCTATCCTAAAATGGGAAACCATCAGCAAACACTTAGCATCATAACCCTACTGACTCTTTGAGTTGGAAATTCAAACACTTCTCACAAATAAAAATGAGATCCTGAAAAGTAAAAAAACAGTTTCTCAAAGCCACCCAACTCATTAGTTGTTGAGGCCTCTGGCTATATTGTCTCTATGGCTTTAGCTCCTTTCTAGTTGAAATTGATGGCAAATCAGGGTCTCTGGAAAGTTGTCATTCTTTCAGGCTGTTCTGATACCATGCATTGACTTACTAGTCCAGTGGCTGGAAAGGGTTAACTCACCTCCCCCTGGAGAGGTCTGCTTCACAGGGCAGGTGGAGACCACCACTTGGTTTGTGTCACAATCCTGATCACTCATCCAGATTTATTTCCTATCAGTCAAATCATTTTCCATATACTTTCCCACAATGCTAGGAAAAAAACAGCGATACCATATTTCACATGGAAACCTAATTTAAACCAACTGTTCCATTGCCGAGTGTGAGTCCCCAGGGCCCTGGTTGTTGAGATTATGTAAGCACTGTTATCATAAACACACACACAGACACACCACACACACACACACACACGCACACACACCCCAACATCTGTTTACAAGCCTCACGGACAATTCTTATTATGGTCTGATGTATTCATAATTTTATAAGCATTAAATGGTGAGAGGGCCACCGCTAGTTATAAAATAATAAATGACACAAAAAGGAAATGAAGATTCAGTGACAAATGTCAAAATGTTGACCAAAGCATAAAAGGTGGTCACATTTACTAAGTGGAAAATGGGATGTGTTGCCAATCCAGAAAGAATTTCTGTGCAATCACACAGAAAAACAAAAAAATCATATAAATATAAAGTACTATGGTTTAGGCATAGGGAGTGCTACTAGAGCAGAAAGGTGTTAATGGTAGCAGATTATTTTGCTTATTTCAATAGTAAGCACAGAATGAGGAGAGAATCTGGCCCCCAGCCCAATTCTTTAAGCACCTCTCCCAGAAGGTTCTGGGCTTACCCTGACATCATAACCCCCTGGACCATGCCCACAACTCCTCCACAACTGCCCCTCCCAAAATATCTTTTTTTCCTTCCTTTTGCTTTTCTCAGTACTCTTGGGCTTAGCCAAATAGAACAGTTTACTCCCTCTCCTCACATCAAATACCTTATTGGTGTCACACATGCTCATTTTGGAAGGAATTTTCTTGCATCATTCAAAATGACCTTTCCCTGGTCCACCATGTCTTGCTTGTGTCCTCTGCAAAGCCAAATCTTTACTTTGGCCCACCAGGCCCCTGTCCATTCTCCAATCACCTCACCTCTCCCCTATATCCCTCCTTTTAGGGAGGTAAAGTAGGCTTTTTAACATCTCAGGAATCTTGAACTGGTTGTTCCTTCTGCAGGAAGGCTTCCCCATCACCCCAGATTCAATTTTTTTTTTTTTTTTTTTGTAGAGATGGAGTATCACTATGTTGCCCAGGCTGATCTTGAACTTCTGGCCTCAAGTGATCCTCCCGCTTCCGCTTCCATAGCATTGGCATTACAGTTGATCCACCACACACGGCCTGGCATTTTATTCATTGAACCCTACTCATCCTTTAGGCAGCACTGCCCTGAGACCATGCCATCAGGATCCTGCCCTGGACCCCAGGTTTCAGAAGGCTCCACACTGGCTGTCGTCCAGCTGTGCCCTCTCCATAGAGTAAGAAGTCTATGGGGTGGAGGGGACGTGCCTGTCCATAGGCTGCACACTCACTTCTAGATAATTTATCCCTTGTAAACCCACGCTTCCCAAATTCCCTGTCCAAACAGCACCAAGCCCACTGCTGGTCTGCAAGGGCTGTTTATCTGGATCAGTCCTTCAGAGGGTAGATTGTAACCCCTAGGCCTAAAGCCAGGCCAGAGGGCAGTGGGGGTGGGGGTGATGTGTGGACAGGGTTTGAACTTGAGGCCTGAGGTATACATACTCTGGCACACAAGCCAGGATGGGAAGAGAAGGTGGGAAGGCCAACATGCTGGGGCCTCCCTTGTACTCACGCCCTGGCCCCCTAAAGGAAAGGGTGAGGCTGCCTTCAGGAGTCTGATAAAAACATCATTTTCTTGAGCAGAACTTCCTTGACTTCCCACCTGGAGTGTGTCCACACACTGCATGCTCTGTGGTGCCCCCACATCACCCTGACCCTAGCGCACATTTAGTGCTGTGATCCTCATTAAGGCAGATGCTGGATCTGCTATGCTCACGGGTAAGCAGCAGTGTCGGTGACCTGTCAGGATCTGCCCTCGGTAAGTTTAAACAAGAGTCAGCGAAGGAGTGAACATATGAATGAATGAATGAATGAATGAATGAATGAAGCTTACCTCCTCTAGGGAGGCTTTTCTCATGGTTCACCTAGCACCTTTCATTCCATTTCTTCCTACTTCTCTTTGACTTAATGTAGGACCTTGAGTTCAAAGTTTCACTTGTATTCTCACCACTGCATGGATCTGCCTCTGGTTTATTTTTGTTATATTTGTGTGCCTGACTCTTTCACATGGGCCTGTTCTGTCTCCCCCAGCAGACCCTTAGACCTCCAGGACAGAGACCATCTTTCCCACATTTCCAGCATGGAGTTGCTCAGTGTCTCTGGCAGACAGGCAGGCCATCCAGAGTCCCAGGAGGCCGTGGGCAGGGAGGATTCTCAGCTTCCAAACGCTCAGGGATTATATTTGGGAAAAGGCCTGAACACTTCCCAGTGCTGTTCCCAGGTCCAGAAAAAGGAGACAAATGACTTTCTGCCGAAAAGTTTCTTGAAAATGCCAAGCAGAAGTTTTCAAAGAGATGATCATTTGTAATGGGTATCTGGTCATTCTAACTGCAAAGGTTGAATTCAAATGGTAAAGTCTACAAAATATAATGAAAGTCTAGACAGAGCTACTTTCCTTCTTCTTCTTCTTCTTCTTCTTTTTTTTTAGACAGAACTTCCCTCTTGTTGCCCAGCTGGAGTGCAATGGCACGATTTTGGCTCACTGCAATCTCCGCCTCCTGGGTTCAAGTGATTCTCCTGCCTCAGCCTCCCAAGTAGCTGGAATTACAGGCATGCGCCACCACACCTGGCTAATTTTGTATTTTTAGAAAGATGGGGTTTCTCCATGTTGGTCAGGCTGGTCTCAAACTCCTGACCTCAGGTGATCCACCCACCTCGGCCTCCCAAAGTGCTGGGATTCCAGGCGTGAGCCACTGAACCCGGCTATGACAAAGCTACTTTCAAGTAGTTTATGTGTAGTGCACATCCATACCTATCCTCCATGGAGCTTTACTGAAACATCTTGACTAGCACATGTGGGCATGTACACACACACAACATGCACATGTGTGCATGCACAGGCACATACACACACACACACCCTTGCAGAGGCAGTGCTTCTCAAATGTGGAGCACTGACATCAGAAGCACTGGGGGTGGTGTTTAGGTGTTTGTTCAAATGTAGATTCCAAGGCCTCAGACTGAGAAATCAGGCTCTCTTAAGGCCAGAGATCAATAATTTGCATTTTCAGATAAACTCCCTGGTGATTCTTATATGCGCTGGAGTTTGAGAACTCACCCAGGGGCTTAGTGACCTTTTTCTGCACCCCAGGGCCTTGAGTCAGATCAGGCGTCATTTCTGTAGTACCAGCGCAAAATTGTAAATCACCTCTCTGGCCTCACCAGTTAACTGTACCTGAGATTGAGACTGTAACCCATTTGGAACAAGGGGAAGCTGGAGGGAGGCAGCACGGTGTAGTGGCGGAGCCCGGCGCTGGAGGTAGGTAGACCTGTGTGCACTCCCAGCCCCACCGTTTCCTGTGCGTGCCCCTGAGGCAAGCCATCTAACTGCTCTGAGCCCTAATTCCCTTTTCAGTAAAATGGGCATACTGTTTACCTCCTAAAATTGTTGTGAGGGTGAAGTTGGAGAGTGTATCTAAAGATCTCAGCATGATGCTTAGTGTGCAGTTAAGGGATAGATGTTCACTACTGTGACTGCTCTGCTGCTGCAAGTACTGTTGTAGAGATGCTGAATTTCAGGTGACAGAACACAGAAATCCTGAAGACTGGAATCTCTAAATCCCACTTCCTAACTAACAGGCTGGACCAAGAAGAATCTGTGACTGCCCTGAGAAGGGTTTGTGCCCCGAGTACAGTCTTCTCTTAAGAGAAGGATAACTCAAATGTTACCTCTTCTCTCAAGGCTTCCCTGGCTCATTGCTAGGAATAAAAGAGCATGTTTCTATTACAATAGCCCAATCATATATATATATATATATATATATATATATATATATATATATAAAATGTTTAGTTTTTAAGCTTTTATTTCTTTTTAGAAATGGAGTCTCTCTATGTTGCCCAGGATGGCCACAAACTCCTGCCTCAGCCTCCCAAGTAGCTGGTACTACAGGTGCATGCCACTGTGCTTGGCTACATATATGTATGTGTGTGTGTGTATGTGTGTGTGTGTGTATGTGTGTGTGTATGTATGTATGTATGTATAAAATGTTGTCCTAGACCAAGTTCTTCTAATCATAAGCTCCTTAAAGCACGGGCCATGGTTCATTCATGCCAGGATCTCAGTTCTGAGGATACAGCAGCCAGCATGTTTCCCACACCCAGGCATCCTCCTTGACATGAAGTGGGTGCAGAAGAGTCTCTTGAACTCCTTGCTGTGCTTGGCATGGTTCCACTGATGACTCTTTGCTTAGGAGAGACACAGAGGGGAAAAGGCAAGTACCCAAAGGTAGCTTTTTCAGAGCCTCAAACACAGCTCAGATTATCTCCCCTTACCCCCAAACTACATCACATTTGTCTTCAGAACAAACTCTAAATCTCTTTTTGGCTTTCAAGGATGGCACTATTTGCTCTAAATTTACGTCTCCAGTATTAATTTTTTACTGTTACCTGCCACTTATCCAGATAACAATCCAATTGTACTATGTGTATCATTTTCTATTCTTTGTCTATTCTTAGGCTCATTTCAATCTGATTCCTTGTGTAGGGGGTTTTGTTTTGGCTGTCTAACATCTTAATCTATACAGATTACATAAGGCTGACCATACTCCTTCCTGCAAGCCTGACCTCAGTGATTTGTTCAAAGATTGTCATATGACCTACACCAGCCAACTAAAGCCCTTCTTGAGTCTTTTACTGAAGCTATCAGGAAAAGAGACAACCTTTTTGTTGGAATCATAAACTGTAAAGATATGAGCCTGGAGCTGTTGAGAGCTGTCTTTGCTATAATATAAGGAAAGCCTGCCTAAGAAGGAAGCCAACACCAAGAAAAGATGAAGATAGATTTTTAAAAACATTGGTGGGTTCCTAAATCCAGCCATCCCTGAAGCCCTCTGATGACTCCATATACATACACCAATTTCTTATTTTGTTTGAACAGATTTGAATTGAGTTGCTGTTAACTCATAACTGAAAAAAGAACCTTGACAAATATATCTTGACTTGAGGTGATCCTCCCTCTTCTAATAAATACTTAGTGAGTATCCACTATATAGTATGCACTGTGCTGGGCGCTAGTAAACAAGACAGACATGGTATCTGCCCATTGATAGCTTGGCATCTCATGGGGGAAAATAACATAAGCAAGTAATTAAATAGTGGTATTATTGATATAATAATTGGATAATTATTTTTATAATTATACATAAAATTAACAATTAATAATTATTTATATATAACTATAATTAATTATATTTTAATTATATTTAATTATATAATAATATAATTATAATTAAAATTTTTATAGTCAGATTTTTTATAATTATATATAAAATTATTATTTTATAATTATATATAAAAGTATGATTGATATAATAATTGGATAATTACTTTACCATTTATATGCTGTCATCTTTAGAAATCTGGTTCTTCTACCACTTCTTGGTCCCAGTTGCCCTCCCAAAGCACTTTATTTATATCTCTGTAGTAATGCCTATTTTTTCCACAAACAGTTACTGCATGCCTGTGAATTTGCCTGGAACTATGCTAGGCATGAGGGTGGGAGCAGTTAAAGCAAGTATAAGAAAAGTAAGAAGCTACAAATCCGTATCCATTTTCTGTTCACTAGAACAGAATTGTAGACAAGTCCCAATTCTAAGCTGACAGAAGTATTGGTTTATGTCATTATAATACTATTTATGATCTTCATTTTATTTTATCTACACATGAAATTGTGGGTAAGGAGATAACAGAGTTTCCTAAGGATGGTATAGCAGAAAACATGCAGACCTAAGAGAAAGAACCCAAGATTCTTGAATTCCAAGCCTAACTCTAGCTGGAAATCATACGGAATTCACTTAACCTATCTGGGCTTTACCTAACTTACCTGTAACATAAATTGAATAATCACTAAGATGTCATCTGGTTATAATATTTTTAAAACTAACAATGTAATATACATACTATAAAAACCTAGTGTTCTTATTCTAGAACTCCATTAATTATTTTAGAATGTGTTAAGTATAACTGTATCACACAGAAAGTGTAATAATTCATGTTATCCCAAAACATTAAAAGAAAAGTGTGTTAAAGCCAGCAACACCAATGGATATGGATTTGTAGACATCATTTGCTTCATTTGTGCTAAGATGCATCATTATGAAATTTTATTTTATATTTACTGAAAGTGCTCTTTTAGACTTATAGTGACACCAATTTCTATAATATCTTACCCTTGTGTATAAGTAAAAATAAAATGTA
Organism: Homo sapiens; assembly: GCF_000001405.40. Classification (NCBI taxonomy): domain Eukaryota; kingdom Metazoa; phylum Chordata; class Mammalia; order Primates; family Hominidae; genus Homo; species Homo sapiens. Next base: position 94,217,961 of record NC_000010.11, on the reverse strand, counting down.
AGCAAAACTAAAAAAAAAAAAAGTAAGAAGCATACTCTGTCTTGCAATTAAACCAGTTGTGTATATGTCCATTTTCTCTAAATTGTCACCTCCTTGAGGGTAGAGAACATGTTATTCTGGGTATCTTTCTATTGTTTGCAGAATGGCTTGCCCACAGTTTGCAAGAGACAGTTGATTATTCTCAAATTCTTCAACTATAAATCCCTAAATACTGTACTCAGAAATTGGGTTCTAAGTTCACTAGAGTTATTTACTGTTTTAAAATCAACTAGGGAGAATATTTTCACTGAGATTTGCAAATACCATGTCTAGTTAAATGGAATTTGGGGAATTGCCAACAGCTATGCAGAATGTGTTATCCTCTTCTCTCTCACCATAGTTAATTGAATTGAATGGATCATTCCTTGTGAAGCCAATTATTAAATGCTGTTCAGAAGTAAGCCTCATCTCATGCAGAGTCTCCCCTTTTGTAATTGTATTAATTGATGGCCCTAGAATAGGGTCCTACTTATTTCATCCCACTTTAATATGATGAGATTAAAATCCATCACTAACAGTTTACATAAAATGTCTTGATATAACTGAGCTGTTAGCTCCGAACTATCCTGATCCTATTGTGGGACCATTTATAAATCAATTTCTTTTCCTCTTTGCATAATTTTCATAATCATAATTACAATAACAACACTCTCCATGTAAATGGTAGGCTTGTGAGAGGGACGCTGCTTATCCTATCCTTTCAGCTCTACAAGGCTGGTACTAATACTGCTGCCATTTTACAGATGAGAAAGGTGAGATTCAGAGTGAGTAAACTAGCTTGCCCAAGGTTACACACCTGCAAAGTAGGAATGAGCCAAATCAAAAGCCTGTGCTTTTACATTACCATGCTACTGCCTTCCATTTTCTCTTTTATGAAGATTAGACTCAACAGTAAATTAGACTGTTTGCTAATTTACTGTTGAGTCTAATCTTCATAAAAGAGAAAATGGAAGATAGTAGAGCATGGTAATGTAAAAGCACAGGCCTTTAAATTTTTAAAGCTTTGCTCCCCACACAGCCACCCTGATCTACTGGGCAAAGAAATGCCTCAGCAAACACTGTGCGGAGCTTAGCTCCAGAATCAGAATGATGCAGCCGAGTCGCATTCCCTTTAGAAACAGAATTTTAGCATTCTGAGAAGTCACAGAGAATGTGGCATTGGTGCTTACCAGTTGCTTACAAATGTTCCTATTCTGTCATGTATCTAAAATTTTAAGTTTCCTATGACATGCAGAGTAGGACAGGGTCCTTCTGAATTAGAGAAGAATGTGTGGGAGAAGGCCTGTGAGAGATTCCATCCCTGAAGCTCACTCACCCAGACAGCTAGGTATCCCAGGCAGAGGCCAGAAAGTCAGGGTATACCCCCTAGTAAACCTCACCCCAAGCTGCTGCCACCTCTGGACTGCCTGCTCCCTGCAGCCCCTTCACTCCAGCTAAGTCAGGGAACTTCAACAAATATATACTTGTTCAGCAAATCATTCCTGAGTGTCTACCCTCTAGAGCTCGCACTCCAGTGGGCACTAGAGCACATGATGAGCAAGACAAACACAGTCCCTACCCTGCCAGGAGGTGGTGGCATCCCAAGCCTGACGTGTCCCTCCTCAGCTCTGATCTGCTTCCTATAAGGAGTGCTCCTTTACCTCTCCTCACCGAGGAGATCTCAACTGGGCAGTGCTGACTCTATCATTGGCTGGGTTTGCCCTTTTCCGACATCAGTGAAATAACAGTGACACCAAATGCTTTTACAGAGTCTACTTAACAGGTATTAATTCATTTAATCCTACAACAAGCCTATGAGGTATATGTCCTTATCATTTGCATTTTAGAAATGAAATTGAAGCAATCACTTGCCTAAGATCATAAAGCTAATTAAAGTGGTGAAGGTGGGATTCCAACCCAGGCAGGCCGGCCCCAGAGCCCATGTACTCTGCTGGCATGTATTGGTTTTTGAATGCTGTGTTTCTTGTGGCTCTGTCTTGGCCTATTTTATTTTATTTTATTTGAGTTCGGGTCTCATTGTCACCCAGGCTGGAGTGCAGTGGCATGATCATAGCTCACTGAAGCCTTGAACTCCTGGGTTCAGCTGATTCTCTCACAACAGCCTCTCCAGTAGTTGGGACTACAGGTGTGTGCTACCATGCCTTGCTCTGTCTCGGCCCTTCTCGAATCTCTTCTTATGCTACATCCTCTCCATATATGTTTTCCTTCACTAACTTTCCTTTACCCATCCTCTCTCTGCTGCTGGCTCCAAATGTCTAGCTCTTATCTTGTATATCCAAGAATGAACTGGACATTCTTACCTGGAGGACCCAAAGCCCATCCTGTTTCCAGTCCTTAACTCCTTCACTTTCCATTCCCACATCCAATTAGCTTCCAAGTAGCCCAGATGTCATGTTCTCCAGGAGGCCGTCCCTGAGCCCTCAGATAATTAATGGGTCCTCTGTGCTAATATAACCTTCCTGCTGCACTTTTTATACTGCACGGTGACCACTATCCCCCTGGACTTTGCCACTGCAGATGGAGCTCCTTGGATGCAGGCATTGTTTTACTCATCTGTTTCCCAGCACAAGTGACATAAGTGAGAGGTGTTTGACAACATCTTGTTTTGAGTTATGCATAATACATTGCAGCCAACTCCATGTTGGTGCTGCCCTTCCCAGAAGACTGTCCAAGCACCTTACTTGCCCAGGGTATCTGGGGACTCCAGTACAGGAAGTAAGGCAGGATCATTTACCCTAGAGCTCACAGCCCCAGAGCTGCCTGCTTGATCTTCACCCAAGAGGCTCAGAAGGCTAGTGTTGCTGGGGAAGGCAACCAGGGGAGCCATGACATAGAAGACCTATGGGCAGTTTGGTCCATGACTGGAAGACTCCATTTTCCCTGAGATGATTGGGCAGCAGAGGGTGAGAGTGTGGTGGGTTTCTCATCTGCACTGGAATGGGCTGGACCCATTCTGAGGTTCTCTGAGTGAAGGACAAGAACATAGCTTACGCAAGTACCCTGGATGGGGAAGCCTCTGGCCACAGGCCACACTACTTAGGAAAAGGGGACAGGTGAAGGTTGTCATCCAGGGCCACTGAGCAGGGTCACGATGTTTGGAGACCATGCTGTGATTCACTCTTGGTCCTCGGGCAGGTGTGCACCTGTCACTGGTAAGCAAAAGTAAGCCCGCAAGTCACTTTTTCACTTGCGGTGAAATGCAAATTTTCACCAATTAGAATGTGAATGGTGAGCAAGTAGAAGGAGACCGACAACCAGCCAACAATAATGATGGAGCAGGAAGGACAGAGCGGAAGGGAATAAAATGGTGTGCCTGTGTTGGCGTACATTCCACTGAAAACAAATCTGTGTGAACAAACAAAGGATATTGGCATCCCACCAAGATCAATTCATCCTGGCCCCACTGGACACTGGTAGATAGAACAGACCATTAAGAAGAAGATAATTAAATCAGCAGTCTGTCCAGTACATATATGTTGGGTGAGCATCTGTGAATGAAACTCGTAAGGGAATAAATCTGATGAAAACTGGAATTCTAATCTCCTCAGCTTCTCTGTTCCAGTGGGGAAGAGAGTGTATGTAATCACTCTCCTCAGGGTGAAGATCAAGTAGGCAGCTCTGGGGCTGTGAGCTCTAGGGTAAATGATCGTGCCTTACTGCCCGTACTGCAGTCCCCAGATGCCCTGGGCAAGTAAGGCACTTGGACAGTCTTCTGGGAAGGGCAGCACCAACATGGAGTTGGCTGCAATGTTTTATGCATAACTCAAAACAAGATGTTGTCAAGCACCTCTCACTCATGTCACTTGTGCTGGGAAACAGAAAAACACAGGATGTGGAGCCAAAGGAATGTAGGTTCATTTCTTGGCTCTGCCTTTCACTATTTCTGTGACCTTGAGCAAGTTTCCTACCTACCCTGAGACTCTTATTTCCTCGCTCATAAGATGGGGATAATAAAATGCCCGGTATCATAAGGAGTGTGGTGACTAATAAAAGCGATGATAAATATAAAGTCTCTTTATATTCATAAACTAATAAAAGGGACGATAAATATGAAGGGCTCCGGTGCTTGGAGAGGAGTAGTATGTGCTCAATAAATGTCAACTAATACTGATAATTAAAAAATAATAAGCAGCTCCTTCTTCAAGATGTAGCACTTGTGGAAACAATGTTGGCCTTTTTATTACAGGGCCAGCTTCCCTTCACTGTTTAGCAGAGAGGGACTTTCCAAGGATTAGATTCTCCAAAAGAATGATCCTTCATTTCTTTCAAAGAAGCCAGAAAGGAGAGGCAGAGGAAAAGGGGCAAGAAAAATGTTCAGAAAGAACATATCAATGGAACATCCAAGGAAAGTTGGCAGTGAAGGGTGGGAAGCAGAAGAGGAAGAGGTCTGGGTCAGGGCTCTCTGAGGAGGTAGGGACACAGGGACATGGCTTGGTAGGTGGGGAAGTCCTGGAAAAATAGCTGTGAGTCATAGACAGGTTCAAAAAGGGCAGCCACCCTGAGAACCCAGGGCCTTTGTCCAGGAAACATCAGGTACACTGGACTGTGGTTACAACATTTGATGGGCTGGGATTAAACCACATCACATGACATTGGCTGTTTCATCATCTTTCTTGCTTTTTGAAAAGTTCATCATCTTTTCCAGGCAAAGAACAGATCCTAATTCTGAGTAAAAACTAACAGAGCTGTACATGAAAGGCAAAAATTCTAGGGTGTTCAGCACAGGATAAAAATGCTGGATGTGTCCCACCAACTACCTAAGATATAAACAGTGAATGTCCTGAAATGAGATCCTGTAACTGGGGAGTGGTAACCGCACTGGTGGAGCAAAGCAAAGGAACTTGAGACTGACAGCTGAGAGTATGGAATTCAATTCGGGGAGTCAAACAAGGGCCCAGCAGCCTGGCTGCAGCACTTCCAAGCTGCACTTAGTACTTAATTTGTCTTGTTTGTTGACTGGCCTGCTTATTCATATGCGGCAACCCTCTGCAGCATTTGATTTTGAAATCTTGATGAGCAGATTGATCTGCCAATTTTGAATTATTCCCACATGTTCTGCACAAAGTAGATGCTCAATAAATATTCTGGAAAGTGTTGTTATCCCTTTCTGCTCCAAAGACCCCAGACAGAAACAGATCAGCAATGTTTTGTGGTAATGTTTCCCAAACTGTGTTTCAGGGCACATGTTCTACCCAGATATTAAGTATTAAATATTTTGTGAAGAAAGTGTCTGGAGCCATATGACTTCAGGAAATTCTAGGATAAGCATTTTGGGAGGCTGAGGTGGGTGGATCACTTGAGTTCAGGAGTTTGAGACCAGACTGACCAACAGGGTGAAACCCCATCTCTATTAAAAATACAAAAATTGGCTGGGCGTGGTGGCTCATGCCTGTAATCCCAGCACTTTGGGAGGCCAAGGAGGGTGGATCACAAGGTCAGGAGATCAAGACCATCCTGGCTAACACGGTGAAACCCTGTCTCTACTAAAAATACAAAAAATCAGCTGGGCGTAGTGGTGGATGCCTGTAGTCCCAGCTACTCTGGAGGCTGAGGCAGGAGAATGGCGTGAACCCGGGAGGCGGAGCTTGCAGTGAGCTGAGATGGCACCACTGCACTCCGGCCTGGGCAACAGAGCCAGACTCTGTCTCAAAAAAAGAAAAACACAAAAATTAGCCAGGTGTGGTGGCATGCACATGTAATTCCAGCTACTTGGGAGGCTGAGGCAGGAGAATCGTTTGAACCTGGGAGGCAGAGGTTGCAGTGAGCCGAGATCACGCCACTGCACTTGCACTCCAGCCTGGGTGACAGAGGGAGACTCAGTCTCCTAAATAAATAAACAAAAGGTTTTTAGGGGCAGGATTTTTGGAGGCTTTAATATGCTAATATGCACGATAAACCTTTAAGAAGCAGCTAATATTCAGTATTTCTCAAGTTCTTTTGACCATGTAATTTTTTTTTCAAAGGAACATTAATTAACATTTAGAATAATGCTGCAATATTGACAGGGGTCTCTCTGAGCTCTTTTAGCTTGAAGAGGACATAGCAGGGGCTTGTCTCCACCAGTAGTTCAGTAGGTCCTCTACCTGCACCTGGCCAAACCAAAAATACACCCCTCCTTCTCTAGAAACCGCTTGGGGTGGGTGGGTTATAGGAGGTAGAAACAGAAACAGCAGCATAGGATTTTATAATTGGTGTCATAAATCCAGAATCAATATGTCATTGGAGGAACTCTAAAACCAAGACATGAAGGAAGATTTTTCTTTAGACTCCAAAGTGAGGAGATGAAGGCCAACTGTTATTTCATAGCCAAGGCTGTCATGAAGGAATAATCCAGAAAGCAGACCAACTTTTAGCTATGCGGTTCTACTACATAATGTAACAACGAATAAATCAATGGACTGTAGAATGTTTGAATTGGAAAAGACTTTAGACATTATTTAGTCCATTTCTCTTATTTGATAGATGAAGAAACAGAGAATCAGAGATGTTAGGTGACTTGCAAAGGTCACCCAGTTAGTGAGTGGTAATGCTGAGGCTAGAGCCCAGATGTCACCTCAGGACACCTACAGTCATAACTTGCTGCATTTGTCATCTCTGTGAAGACAGTCTGATACACTGCCACCTGCCCTCCCTCTGTAGGCCTTCATAGGCAGGCTTACTGGGTGAAGAAGTGGTGGATAAGGAGGACGAGGAGAGCTGGGAGCAGCAGCAATTGCTAGAGCACTAACCTCAGATGGCCTAAAAGATGGGGGCAGTGGGTCCTAGTTAGGCAAAAGCCAAGGAACAAAAGGGAGAAGAGTCCAGGCCATGAAAACAAGGGTGTCCAGCCTAGGGCCTCCCACGACACAGCTCTCAGCAGGCTGAACGGAGTCCAAGAGGTGGCAGTGGCGGCAGACTTGTCTGGAGAATTTCAGATATGCTGGCCTTGAACTTTTCCCCTCTAGCTTCAGCCAGAAGGTACCACCAGCTGTGCCCTGCAGACTGGGCTACAGAAGGGAAAGGGCAGAGGAGAATAGAGATTTGGGGAAGAATTCTAGAAGGGAGGCCCCAACAAGGAAAACAGGAGAAATAATGGTGCCATTGCTATTTGTCTTCATTAGGAATGGCCAGAGAGGGAGAAGCCAAAGGAAGAAAACTTCCTCTGCTTCCTAGAAGAGAGGAAGCTGGCAGGAAGAGCCCTTCAGGGAAAATTCTGGCTAGGATCTGTTTTAGGAAAGGAGGGAGCAGCTGCTCACCAGCTGCTGATTATGGGCTGGAGACCCTGATTAACAGCTCAACAGGCACAAAGCCAAGGTTAAAAGTCACAGGAGTTCAAAGCCTAGGACGTGGGGAGGCTGAAGTGAGCCTCAGACCAGCAGAGGAAGGGGATTTATTTTGGAGACTGGGGCCATGCAGCTGGAAGGACTTGAGTGATTTTGGTGAGCAAGCTCAAGTTAAAGCCTGCTTGTTTTCTTCAGGGTGGTCAGTTAAAAAATTTCGGGGGTGTGTTGACAGTTCCTGTAAAAGTGACAGACCTGTTTGGGAGCCTAGGGGTCTGATAATTTAGGGGTCACAAAGATCCTCAGAAGGAATGGGGGCCAAATACCAGCCTTGCTTTTTTTGTAGAGAAAGGGTGAGTTTTAACCTCAGAGGAGTAAAGACATGTTGTACATCTGGCTCAAGAAATCTCTTTCAAGAAATATTTACTTGGGAAGTGCTTACGGCATAGATGATAGAAACTGAAAAGTAAAAAAAAAAAAACACCATTCAAATATTAAAACGTGACATCTTATACCAATAACAAACAAACAACAAACAAAAAAACACCAAACGAAACCAAAGCCAAAAAAAAGATCATTTTTTTGGTCTGTTGACTGGACAAATATTCTGTACTAGATGCGTAGGGTAGGCCAGGTGTGAAGTCAGAGGTGCTGGCTTTAAGTCTCAGCTCTAGTATCACCAATTGTGTGATACTGAGTCAATTATTTAATCTCTCTTCTATGCCCTTCAGTTGAAAGCAGGCCTACGAGCAACACCTCCCTTACAGAACTGTGGGACTAAAGGACATAATATGAAAGTGCCTTTACATACTTAAGCCCACAGTTGAAAGGTTAGCCAATTTTACTAATATTAATAGGCATATAGTCAATGATTTCTAGATATGGCATTTGATTTTGTGAGGCACCTGCATTGAATTGTGGTGTTTCTTTGAATTTGGAAATTACAATTTTTGAAGTGTCTTATTACATATCCCTTGCTGTTCCACCACTTAGTCCCTCCCCAGTCTCTGTGTTGGATAGCATTATTTCTTATATTCATTCATAGAACATACCTACATTATAACCAGCCTCATGCTTGGAATTCTATGCTTTTATATCTTTTCTGGAAGAGGTCAGAAATTTGTAAAGGATATTTTTATGCCCATGAGGTACTATAGGCAAATTGAGATCTGCAAAGCAAGTTTTGCTATGAGTTGATGAAAGCTCAGTATATAATATAAAACAAAGAATATCTGAAAACTATTTGCCTTTAAAATGGACTAAAAGATTTATTTCTATTTTCTCCTATTTTTCAAAGTGCTGGAAAAATCAAAACTTAAATGTTTTCATCAAGTATTATCTGAAACAAAATTGGCAGGCACACATATATTTTTCCTTTTAACTCTAAGTTACTAGACTCCAGCCTTCTGTCAAATATACTCAACACCTGTAGCACATAAACTCAGGCCTAAATTTCCTAAAAATACTGGACATGTTTTAGTATTTTAATGATAAAACCCAGATGTCCTGTTTTACATGCCCTGGAAGAAAAGAAACATACAACCTTACACAGAACTCTCACCATTTTAAATCTGATTAAACTCTATGCCAAACAAGGAATGGAAAGAGTATGATGTTTGTACAAACAATCCTTTAAAGAGTATTTTTCAAATCCACTTAAATGTTCTAGAAAACTTCTGAAATGTGAATCAGCAATATTTATTTACATTCCACCCCTGGACTGAAGTTTGGGGTCATGTCTTGGTGCCTGGAGCAGGAATTGTGGCGACGATTAGTTTGGTTCTCCAACCTGTGTTTTGAGGCCCACGTGCAATGAGACCCACTTTGGTCACTTATGCATATGTCAACACTATTTACAGCCCAGTGATTCTTAGATGTACCTTGGTTTCAGAACCAGCTGGGAGAGTTTCTTCAGAATATCCTATTGTAGACTCCACAGTTTAGTGTCTAATTCAGTAGATCTGGGGAGGGGAGTAGGAATCTGTCCTTACATAAAGTTTTCCTAAGTGATTCTAATAAAGCCTTGTGTTTGGGAATCACTGATCTAGGGCCCTGGCTATTTACAACCTTAAATGTTCATGGGGATCTTATTAAAATGCAGATTATGATTCAGTGGGTGGGGGTAGGAGCAGAAGATTCTGCAGTTTCAGCAAATTCCCAGATGACACTGATGTGCTGGTCGGGGGACCACACTTTGCATTTTGTTTTCTTCTGTCTCTTCCAATCTGGAATAGTTCCTCTACTGTTCCCTGTCTTTCATGTCTTTATGTAATTTCAAAGATTACAGGCCTTACATTCTGTAGGATGGCCCTCAGCCTGGGTCTCTCTGAGGTTTCATTGCCAGACTTAGGTGATGCTGTCCTGGAAGAAATACTCAGAATGAAGCTGGGCTCTGCTTGGTGCATCACCGCAGAGGGTACAGGATGTGGAACTTTTGCATCACTGGTGATGTCAATCTTGATCACCTGGTCAGGTTGGTGTCTGCCAGGTGTCTCCGCCACACAGTTACCATTTTCTCTCTGGTAATTTATTAGTATTTGTGAGGCACTATTCTAGGAATGCACCAATATCCTACTCTTCATATACCCTCTATTACCTGCCTTCATTGATAAATACCACCGGAATCAGTCACCTCTATGACAGCTACCAAATGGTGATTTATATTTCCTTCATTATTTTTATATTTATTAGTTTCATTCTTCAGTAAGAAATAACAATCCCTTGTCTTCCATTTATTTGTTCACATATTCATTTAAATTGGCGTAGTCAAATGGATTATAATTTTTTTTCACTATATTGGAATCCATTACTCGCTTTATTTATTTTGAAGCTCAAATGATCCCAAAGTGGCACCTGGTCCTTTTAATATGTTTCCATCATCACTGGAACATTTCCTTTGTTTCTGGCATAACAAGATGTTTCAGATTTATCTTTAATTTTCCCTTCCCCAGCCATGGCATCAGCCATTTTCTCCAAGAAGCCCTGGTTTCTTTTTAGTAAAGAATGGTATTTAGAATCCAATATCTGTGTGCTTCATGTGCTCATTGCCTCTGGAGTGCCATTGCTTTGAGGTTTCCTAGACAGACAGAGCTTGAAAAAAAAAGTCTATACACACACACACACACACACACACACACACACACACACACGTATAACTATTCCCTCATTTATTTGTGTATATAGATTATAAAAGCCTACATTCATAATGAAACCTACATTTCAAATTTAACACCTCAAAGTTCTTTCCAGCCTTTTTCCTTTTTGTGTTTGTAAGTATCATTTCCAACCGTGAGAAACCTGGCTTTTGTATAGTTATCCTAAATATATTTGCTTATTTACTCATCAATTTAGTATCTGCTCACAGTAACCAATGTCCCAACCATTTCGGCTTTCCCTTCTGTCTCCCAGCTGTGTGTCCCCTTCTCCATTCTGCATCCTTGCATGCTGGGGGCACGCTCCTGACGTGTCACTGATGTGCTTCTGTGAAGCTCCCACACCCTCCCCACACGAGCCAGGGCTGCCCTCCATGCTGAGAAACAAAGGGAAGAGGGAATGGAAGATGGGAAAGCTGCTTGTTCTTTGTAAATGGTTCACTAGTATCTTACATTTGAGCTACATACAATGGTTAATACATTTATAATTATGAAAGTGAAAGTAAATTTGACCTTTTATTAAAGCATTTACCAATGAAAAAATAAACATCAAAACATTTTAAACATATTGTATGTACGTGTGTGCATGTATGTGACAGCTGTACTTTAAAGTTGTAAAGAACTTTAGAGGTCTCTTATTTAAATGGTTTCAAATCTGGGGGCCTGGAGGCTTTATGGGGACACTTTCAATACAACACTGATTAAGAGTTGGTCTGGAATAAAGAGAGGCTGGGGAAAAAGTGAGGTTCAAGGAATATTCCCTAGGGCTCCTCAGAGCAGCATGTCAACACCACTGGCCTGTTCCAACCCCTCAAGCTCTAAACAAGAGAAGACAGGCTTTACCAACTACTTTGCTATTTGCTAACAGCAGTTTCAAATGTTTGGCCACATAGATTTGTCCACTGTCCACGGTTGATGTATGGCCCAAACCACCCACAGGGCCAAGCTGTACCCAGTAGAATAAGATAGAGCAATGGAAAAGAATCAACCATGGCTACGCATATCAACTGGGCTGAATGACAGAAACAAGTCAGAAAAGGACACATGCAATTTGATCACAACTTTCAATGACTTCCTGTACCATTCTGGGTAAAATTGAAAGCACTTACAATGACCTACAAAGCTCTACAGATTGGGTCCTCTGACCTCCTCTCTTGCCACTTCCTTTCATGTCCTGCACAGCTTACCCCCACCTCAGCCACACTGACCCTCTTCCTGTTGCTTGAATATGCCAGGCACGCTTTACACAGGGCACTGGCACTTATGGTTCCCTCTACCTGGAATGTTCTTGCTTTGCATGTCCAGGTAGCTCATTCCCTCAACCCTCCCTTCTTTACTCAAATACCAGCTTCTCAGTAAGGCTTTCCCTCATCACTCGACTTGAGGTTGCAAGAACTACCCCTCCCCAACACTTCCCATCCCTCTGCCTTGCTTTATTTTTCTCCCTGGCGCTTATCATAGGGTATATTTATCTTATTTCTCTAATCTGTCTCCATCTAACTGCAATGGAAGCTCCATGTGGGTAGGGAGTTTTATTTGTTTTTTCGTTGCTGGATCCGTAGAGCCTAGAACAGTGCATGGCACACAGTGGGCACTCAGTCAATATTTCTAAAAGAATGACTGAAAGAGCAAATGAAGGATATTCCAGGAGAGGCCTCAAGAAGCGACCAAAAGTGCTGGCCAACTGACGACAGGAGGAAGAGTTCACTTCCAATTATCCTGGATCAAAACAGTGGTTTTTGGCAGCCTGCCTCTGACACATAATTCTAGTTGACAGATGAACAGATGAACCGTTTAGAGATCTGCAGATGCATTTTGGGGCTGCTCATCCTGGAAAGGGCATTAGGATATTGCCATGAACAAAGCAAAGTGTTTTAAAGAAGGCACAGTCCATTTGTTTCCTAGTTGAGGTGGCCAGTTGGCAACTTCTGGCTTCCGACTCTTGCCAGCTGGTCCTCTTTTCCATGTTCTATTTATTTAGTCATTCAATGAATATTTGTAGAGCAATGTCTAAGTGACAGGGCTGCCCCATGGCTTCATGTGCATAACTTTCTTTTATTCACATGCAACTGTACTTTATTTCCATTCTCTCTTCCTCCCCACCTCCACCAGTCTTTGGTTTAATCTTTAATATTGAAAGTAATACGTGCTTGTAAAGCAAAGATCCAATATCATAACATTCTCTACAGTAGGAAATGAAATCCCCTCCCTCTCTCTTCTTCCCCCACTATTATTACCATAATAATAAAATTTCTTGGCCCTCTCTGCAGGTAGACAGGTGAGAGTCCCCTGGGGAATGGAAAGGTGGTGGAAGGGAGAACTTTCATAAACCAAGATTACTTTTGCATATTAAAGGACGTGTAAGGAATCTCAATTTTCAACTGTCTGTAGCATGTCATACTTGTCAAAAGCTTGGCTAAGGCAATTGATATTCAAGAAAAACATCTTAAAAGTCATACCAGGTATTCATTCCTTAGATTTTCTAAGCTTTATCCTTACGCCAAGTAAGACTGTCAGTGAGCAACATACCTGAACTGGATTACTTTAGCTCCCCATATCATATCTTTATAGAGAGTCATGTTTTGAATTATGTCTTTTTATTAACAATCAATATAAAATATGGTCAAAAGGAGATTGCTTTTGCCAATGTTTCTGCCCTCAAAACTGCTCTTGAAGACACCATCATTTTCTACAGCACACATTATTTTGCTTCCTTCCTTCCTTCCTTCCTTCCTTCCTTCCTTCCTTCCTTCCTTCCTTCCTCCCTCCCTTCTTCTTTCCTTCCTTCCTTCCTTCTTTTCTTCCTTCCTTTCTTTCTTCCTGTGTATCTTTCTTTCTTTCTTTCGGGACAGAGTTTCACTCTGTCACCCAGGCTGAAGTGCAGTGGCGTGATCTTGGCTCACTGTAACCTCCGCCACCTGGGTTCAAGCAATTCTCTGCCTCAGTTTCCCGAGTAGCTGGGATTACAGGCGCCTGCCACCACGCCTGGCTAATTTTTTGTATTTTTAGTAAAGACGCAGTTTCACCATCTTGGCCAGGATGATCTTGAACTCCTGACCTCGTGATTCACCCGCCTCAGCCTCCCAAAGTGCTAGGATTACAGGCGTGAGCCACCACGCCTTGCCAGGACACATCATTTTCTAATTCCTCCCAGAGTTCTAGAAGGTAGCTTGGAGTTTCTGATGATTTGATGTGCTGATGCTTTTTTGCCTTCTTTCTCTCCTTCCTCTTCTTTTATCTGCTCCTCCAACTCCTTTTCTTTTTCAGATAATGAGAATGATATAATCTATCATATCACCCTTTTTGCCTAGGCTGCCAGGAACCTCTGCCCAACTTTTTCATCAATGGAAGCATCTGTTTCCTTTGCCTAGGCATTCTCTCTGGCACTATTCTAGTTTTTTTATTCTACCATTTAAAAAAATCTTCCCCCAATTTTTTTTTTATTTTTTGCAAATACGAAGAGACATAAATAAATGTGTTAACAAAGAGTCCAATGCTGATATTTTACAATTTATAGGTAAGGAAAATAAGGCCCCAAGAGGTTGCCTTTGCTATCAGCCACAAACAACTAGTTAGAAGAAACTTTCAGACTAAAACCTGAGGGTTCCTGCCCTTTCCATTACTTGATGCTGTTTCAAATTAGAGACTAATATTTCTTCTGCCTTCACAGGTTGTGGATATTCACTCAGCATGCTTTCCTTTATGTCCTCCTCTTGGGAAGGGAAGCCAGGTCTGTGGCCTGTTTGCTCTTCTCTTCATCATCATCAATGCACAAGGTTGGCAGCAGAGTCCAGGAAGAAGAGAGAGATGTTCTCACCTCTTTTTATTTCTGCTTATGTAGGCTCAACTCCAGCAACCTATCTAATCCATTCAGGAATTCAGATATAATTATGGGGACATGGATGAAATATCTTTGGGAATGAAGGTGTTCCTGAGTATTACATTTTTGTTGAGAAGTGTGAGGTCATCAAAAAGAGAAAAACATTGAGTTTAATGCAAGCTGAAGAACTCTACATTTCAAAGTTTACAAAATGGTAGTTTATAATCTCAAAGCAAGTCTGATCAACCAGATTTTAAACGAATAATTTCTGCTTAAAACATGAATATGAAGTAAAAGTTCCTGTTTGGACCTTTATGCTTCCTTGCATGGAAATATGTAGCAAATGTAAAGATGGGTCCAGGAATGCTAACTTGGATAAATATTCAGGGTGATCTGATAGGGGTTCATAAGTGTCATGGAGGAGGGGGTCACAGTTGGGAGCAGAGTGTGACAGAGCCATGATCCATCTGCAGCACCACTGTGTATAGGTGCTTTGGAGGCACAGAGACTTCCCTGAATTCTAGTTCTCCTACTTACCAGAGCTCAGACATGTTTTCTAAGTTCTAAGTTTTCCAAATCCTGTAAATTGAGAATGACCTAAGGAGCATGCAGGATATTTAAAAAGGCTTCACATATGCGTGAAGCACATAGCACCATGCTGGCTTGCAGAAGTGTTCAACTAATTGTAGCTATTATCACCTAAGTCAGGTTAGAGCGACTATTGAAGCCAGACAATAACTATTTTATGTAACCAATTAAAATAACCAACCAGGAAAGAATCACAAAGAAAAACCCGAGAGGACACACTAGTTGCAGAAGGCACTGAACAGGTACTGGTACTTTTAGCAGAGGACAGACTTAATCCCCTGAGGTTCAAGTAGCTGCAGAGATGTCAGTTTTCAGAATGAAACTGTGATGAGCCACACTTAGGTCAGGATGAATCAAATCAATGAACAAACTCTGTATTTGGTCATTGTCTACCTCTGCCGCACGGACACACCTTGTAGCCAAGGGGCCAAGGTTTCCTTACACTGTCATCAAGACAAAAATGGCCAACTGAGCAAACAACGTGATAACGCGCCTCTAGAGAGTAATAATGGGGGAAATATCCTAGGCAGAGCTCAAGGAGAAGAAACCCTGACAAATGTGGTTGGCAGCCCTGAGCCTTGTGAATTAGGAGTCGGGGTAGCGTCAGCTTCTATGGGGGGTGGTGGTAAAGTTCTTGGCTCAGTTTTGTCTCCGTTTTGTCATAGACAATGATCTGGGTCTGAATGTAAAAACATCTTGCCAGAAACTTTCTGTTACAGGAAGCTCACTAGAAAGCAATGAAAGAACAAACTGCTACATATCCTTTAAAGGCATCACTATTATCTTGGTGGGGGTGGGGTAGAGGGAAGGGTAATTGCAGCCAGGAATAAATAAAGTTGATAAAAGGAATACGGGAATTTTCTTTTGTGTAAAACGTCTTGACTGATGGAGCTAGATAGTCCAGACATTTATCATGTGGACATATTCTACACGTGGCAGTCACATTAAACAAATGTTGTTCTGTAACACCTGTAAATTGATGCTATTTGTACCCTTGCTCTTATTTGTTTATTTGAAAGGCAAAACAAAATAACAACCATACACACACAAAAACCCCTAAAACCAAGCTGGATTTTGTCTTTAACTTGGCAGAAAGAGTGGCCTCTGATTTGTGCCTCATATTTTGAATGATTATCTGCTAGATTTTTATTTTTTTACCAATTCATTTTCCATATTTATTTAAGTCTTAGAAAGGAAATGCCCCCAAAATATGGTCATCTTTTTCACTGGGTATCTCAATGAACAGCAATTAAAAAAACTGTACTAAATGTTTCCCTTGGGACTCACATAATTCATTGTCATACAACCTTTACAATAACATGTTAGCCTGGGCGTGGTGGCTCACGCCTGTAATCCCAGCACTTTGGGAGGCTGAGGCAGGTGGATCACGAGGTCAGGAGATCGAGACCATCCTGGCTAACACAGTGAAACCCCGTCTCTACTAAAAAATACCAAAAAAAATTAGCCGGGCTTGGTGGCAGGCGCCTGTGGTCCCAGCTACTCAGGAGGCTGAGGCGGGAGAATGGCGTGAACCCAGGAGGCGGAGCTTGCAGTGAGCCGAGATCATGCCACTGCACTCCAGCCTGGGTGACAGAGCAAGACTCCGCTCAAAAAAATTAAAAACTTCATCAAGATTAAACTGAAATTCCTCAGAGAATATTTTTTAGTGGGGCAAATGCTGCAACCTAAGTGGCAGCATTTCTTACTTGGGTATAGCACTTTATAGTTCACAAAGCACTTCTGCTATACCACCTCACTTCTATTTCTATCTTTACAACAATCCTGAGTGAGTGGTAGGGTAGGGACTGCTGTCCCATTTACAAATGAAGAAACTGAGCTTTTTGACAAGGGCTGGTGTGGATGTGGAGCAACTGGAATATTTTTAGATTTATAGAAAAATAGCAAGAATAGTACAGAGAATTCCCATAATCCTGGCACCCAAGTCCCCGTTTATTAATGTCTTAGGTTAGCATGATACATTTGTCACAATTAATAAAATATTATTGATGCATGACTATGAACTAAATTAACTTTATTGGTTATGTCTCAGTTTTTACCTAATGTCCTTTTTCTGTTCCAGGATCCCACATCACCTTCAGTCATCATGCCTCTTTAGGCTCCTCTTGGCTATAACAGTTTCTTACACTTGCCTTATTTTTAATGACCTTGACATTTTTGAGAATTACTGGTCATGTATTTTGCAGAATCCCCTTAACTTGGGATTTGGTGACTATTTTTCTCATGGTTAGACTGGTTTAAGGTTTTGTGGGAGGAAGACCACGGAGGTCAAATGCAATTCCCATCACATTATATCCAGGGCACACACTATCAACAGAATGTGTCCCTGTTGATGTTGACCTTGATCACCTGGCTGAGGTCATATTTCTCAGCTTTCCTTACTGTAAAGTTACTCATTTTTACTCCCTTTCCCTACTGTACTTCCTGGAAGGAAGTCAATATGCATAGCTCATACTTTAACAAGTAGGGAGTTAGGCTCCACCTTCTAGAGGGTGGAGTATTCATGAGTTATTTGGAGTTCTTTTGCACAGATTTGTCTATTCTCTTTCATTTATTCTCCCCCATTTATTTATTCAATCATGTCAGCATAGAGTCAAGAATATTTATTTTATACTTTTGGTTATAATATATTTTTCCTTTACTTTGTCTTGCAAGTTGCTCCAGCTTTGGCTGTTGGGAGCTCTTTCAGTTATCTTATCTCTTTGACACACCCCATCACTTGTGTTTCCGTTGAAGCACCTCCTTACTGCTTGGCACTACCAGATGCTCCAGGCTCAGCCTGTATATTTTCTGCCTTAGTCCTACAATCAGCCATTTCTCCAAGCAGCCCTGGTTCCTTTTAATTGGAGAATGGTTTTAGAAACCAAGATCTGAGCACAAGGTGTCCTTGTTGCTACTGGGATGTCAGTTGTTTCTATGCCCTCTCAGATGACAGAGCAAGGGAATATATGTATGTTATACTAACTTGTTTATATATGTGTATCTATAGATATTTCTATATGTAACCATCTTTGTAACACACTAAGAATTAGTCCATTCTGATGTTAAGGAGGTAACGTTTGGCTTGTTTCTTACAGCTTTTTGTTTCTAACATGGAAAAAAGTGATTTTCAAATTTGAAAAAAGTTGAAATTAGTGCTTTGTCAGTTTTCTCACCAACTCTCCCAGACTCACCATAGTGGAGCATATTAGCCCTCTTTGCTGCTGTGCAGTCATCCTCAGCGCCTTACCCTGGGGACACTGCCTGGTTAGGGCTGCCTTTATTTCTTCCACAGCACGTCACATTGTCTGTCATGCTGACTCCATTCCTGCTGACTTCCATCCCACAGGGTCATTTTTCTTGACAAAACTGACTCACGCTTAATGATTTACATCTCGGTCATTTATTCATTTCTGTGAAAAGTTCAAAAACTGGAGCCAAAACAAACTCCACAATGCATCTAAGACAAACCTTTTTGCCGTCTAAGACTTGTTATAACTTATTTTGCCAAGATGTAGGGGAAAAAATGAAACATCTAGCTCATGTGGGAAACAAGTTTTGCATTGAAGTGAGCATGATCTCTATCAAACTAAGTGGCAGCATTTCTTACTTGGGTATAGCACTTTATGGTTCACAAAGCACTTCTGCTATACCACCTCACTTCTGTTTCTATCTTTACAACAATCCTGAGTGAGTGGTAGGGTAGGGACTTCTGTCCCATTTACAAATGAAGAAACTGAGATTTTTGACAAGGGCTGGTGTGGATATGGAGCAACTGGAATGTTCACACATTGTTGCTGTGAATGCCAAATGATACAGCCACTTCGCATAACGCTTCGTAAAATAATTTAGTATCTACCCAAGAAAAAACCTACATTCACCTATTTGAGAATGCTTTTAGTGGCCAATTAATAATGGCATAAAAGCTGAAAATAAATGTCCTTCAACTGGTAAATGGATAAATAAACTATGGTAGATTCATATAATGACATGCTACTCAGAACAAATTATTGACACATACAGTAACACTGAGGGATTTCTTTTTTCTTGTTTTTTTGAGACAGGGTCTCACTGTCACCCAGGCTGGAGTGTAGTGGTGTGACTTCAGCTCACTGCAGCCTCAACCTCCTGGGCTCAAGCGATCCTCCTACCTCAGCCTCCCAAGTAGCTGGGACTACAGGTGCGTGCCACCATGCCCAGATAATTTTTGTGTTTTTTGTAGACAGGAGGTTTTACATGAGGATTTGCCCAGGTTGGTCTCACACTCTTGAGCTCAAGTGATACTCCCACCTTGGCCTCCCAAAATGCTGGGATTAACAGGTGTGCATCACCATGCCTGGCTGAGGGATTTCTAATCCATCATTCTAAATGAAGAAAGCCAGGCTCAAAAGACTACCTACTGTAAGATTCTATTTCTGCTACATTCTGTCAAAGGCAAAAGGATAAAAAGAGAAATCAGATCCCAGAGGTTTGAGATAGGGGAGGAATGACTACAAAGGAGGCAAAAGGAACTTTTGGGATGAAAACTTTTGGGATCAGTATCATCCCTTTGTAATGATATTCTCTATCCTGATCGTGGTGGTCATTACGCAACTGTATGCATTGTCAAAATTCAAACTGCATGCCAAAAGGCAAATTCTATTGTATGTAAATTATAGTTCAATTTAAAAAAGGAAAGAAGATAACTGAAAAGGGGAGGATGAAAAGAAAGGTTCAAAGAAGCTAATTACCTACTAAGCAACTTATTCATATTTGCCAAGTAGAAGCAGGAATTGAGCCTAGATCTTCTACCTTCCAGTCCAGACTTCTGTTGAGAATGAACACATATTCAGGAAAAAACTGATTTTCTCTCTATCCTGTTTATACATATAATCCCAGACCAGAGTGGGAACCCTAAGTGCTGATCCCTCTCTTCTTGTTCATACTTGGAAGTGGGCTCTTACTTCCCCCACCTAGCATATACATTCATAGTCAAAGACTTAGAATGACAACAGCCAATCTATAAAGAATGAGATTATATCTTTTTTTTTTTTGGTGGGGGGTGGTTCATCAGTTCATCCAACAGGTTTCATCATCAGCTCTTTCATGTTCTTAAATTTTTTTTTTTTTTTTTTTTTTTTTTTTGAGACAGAGTCTTGCTCTGTCACCCAGGCTGGAGTGCAATGGTGCAATCTTGGCTCACTGCAACCTCCGCCTCCCAGGTTCAGGTGATTCTCCTGCCTTAGCCTCCCACGTAGCTGGAATGACAGGCTCCCGCCACCATGCCCAGCTAATTTTTGTATTTTTAGTAGAGATGGGGTTTCACCAGGTTGGCCAGGCTGGTCTTGAACTCCTGACCTCAGGTGATCCACTTGCCTTGGCCTCCCAAAGTGCTGGGATTACAGGCGTGAGCCACTGCACCCAGCCAAGAATGAGATTATATCTTAATGTCACGCTTCATTGTCAGAAATATTGCCAGAAAATATTTGAACAGAGATTTATCCAAAGAAGATATACAAATATAAGCAGGTGAAAAGATACTCAACATCATTAGCTATTTAGGAAAATGAAATCAAAACCATGAGGTATCACTTCATACCTACTAGGATGGCTGTAGGTATGTGTTGTAGGACTAGCAAGTGTTGATAGGAATGTGGATAAATCAGAACCCTCATACATTGTTGGTGGGAATGTCAAATGGTGCAGACACTTTGGAGCAGTTTGGCAATTCCTCAAAATGCTAAACATTGAGTTGTATGACCCAGCAATTCCACTCCTAGGTACATACTCAAGATAAATAAAAACATATGCTCAAACATTTTTCTTGAATTTCATAGCAGCACTATTTGTAATGGCCAAAAAGTATACATAATTCAAATGGCCATCATTATTTTTACCAATAAACAATATGTGGTATACGCACATAATGAAATATTATTCAGCCATAAAAGAAATGAAGTACTGATTCATGCTACAATGCTGATGAACCTTGAAAACACTATCTTAAGTGAAAGATGCCAGACAAAAAAGGCCACTTATTGTGTGATTCAATTTATACAAAATATCCAGAATAGGCAAATCCATTGGGACAGAAATGAGATCACTATTTTCCAGGAGCTGCAGTTAGGGAGGAATGGGGAGTGACTGCTAGTGGGTATGTGGTTTCTTTTTGGGGTGATCATCATATCCTAAAATTGATTTATGGTGATGATTATACAAGTCCGTAAATATATGAAAAAAGCCACTGACCTGTATACTTTAAATGTATGTATTATACAGTATATAAATTGTATCTCAATAAAGCTGTTACAAATATCAAACAGAAAGCAACAGGCAAACCAAAAAGATATGTTGTATAGAAAGTAGAGTGCTTTCTCTACTTCTAGCAACACTTCTAGAAGGGGTGGGGATTGGGTGTTCTGGGCTGGTGAGTCCCACCTCATTATACCTGAGTGGGGTCCTCTCTCTCAAAGTCTTTTTTTATTTTTAAATTTTATTTATTTATTTATTTTAGAGATGGGTCAGCAAAGCCCAGGCTGGTTTTGAACTCCTGGCTGCAAGTGATCCTCCTGACTTGGCTTCCCAAAGTGCTGGAATTATAGGCATAAGCCACCATGCCTGGCCCTCTCTCTAAGTCTTGCACCTGAAAGGTAGCTTATAGATCCTCCTTTTCCACTTTAAAAGGCTCTTCCCCTCGGAGCTTCTCCTGGGGCTACAGCTGCTTCTTCTCTGGGGGCACTACCCAGCTGTGACAACCAGGCTGAGGGTGGATCAGACAAGAAATCATTATCTCAAAGGAACGAAGAAGAGAACACTTTATGCTATAATACATAGGATAGAGCAACAGCAAAACTCTCACTGTAACCCTCACCCTATAGAAGGCAAGCCCCTGAGCCCAGAGTGAAGGTGTATAGCAAGGAGGTAGTGTATATAGGTTAGTTTGGATTCAGTATTACTTACAATGCACCTTATACATTAAGTATCAGAAGATTATAATAGCAATAGGTGACTTTTATTGATCACAACAACCCTAACTAGAAGGAATTATTATCCTCATTTGACAGGCTGGCAAAGGAAGGCTTAGAAAGACTTAGTAACTTGTAGATCATATAAACAATGTGGCTGGGATTCAAACTCTGAGAGTTCAAACTCTAGAGTCTAAATTCTAAGAAGCATTAGATATCATCTGGCCTAATTCTTTATCTTATGGGGCAGAAACTGATGTTCAGAGGGGCTAAAAGATTTGATCAATATGACACAGCTGGCTAGAGACAGAACAAAAGGCCTAGACTCATAATCCTGTTCAAAGTTTCCCTGACCTTTTTTAGATGTATAGTACAGATATCAAAGAAATTCCCAAAAGTCAGGATTTCATATCCAGAGTTATTTAACTATTAGAGATAATGATTAGCATCATCTAATAGTCCTAAAACTATTGCAAGCAGGTGGGTATGTATTGCTTTCTTAAGGATTTCTAAGAAAGAAGTCTTCAAAATCTTCAGGGAGTTACATGAATGTCATGATCTTTTTCTATTAGTTTCAACATCCCAGAGAAAGGAAATCACCAAGTGAAGTGTTATCCTCCTACAACATGAGTTGTGTCATATCATTCCTCTTAAAAAAAAAAGGAGCCCCTAATTCTTAGGGTGACATTCCTAGATCCAAACTTCTGCTTCTATTTCATTTCTCATGTCTCTTTACACAGGGACTTCTTTCTTGTTTGGAGAAGGCTTGGCTCTCCAGGGTTTAGGCACTTAGTCCCCAAATCACAAACTCCTAGAACTGGAAGAGCCCTATTAGAAATCCGGACCAGCCCATTGCCCTTTCTCTCTAAGGCAGTGACTCTCAGCTTGGGAGGAGATGATGACAGTCTTGGACAGGGTTAGAGCAGGGTAGCTAGAGGAGGGGAGAACATGCTATGTTTCTGAAGTATATATTCAGCGTTATAAATGGTTTTATTCATGCTAGCAAATCTATTTTGAAGTTTCAAATCATATTAAATGTGGATACAACGTTTTTTTCTTTAACATTCTGGGCCAAAGAGTGTTGAGAAAACTTTACTTTAGATAAAGTTCCTATATTCTATGAATCCAGATAAAGACAGTAGAACCAACCCTAATATCAGCACCACTATCTACCACCTTTGTAATCATCAAGGAGTTCAAAATGGTGGCCCCTGTTTCCCCCAAACTTCTTGGTAGCCTCTAAATGGAGTTTAAAATATGATAGTATTGGAAGCAAGGAAAATTTTCTTATCTGTTCTAAAAGTAAATCATTACAAGCTATTAGCTGTCTAGAATTATTATCATCATCATTAGTTATTGAGTGCTTGATTCAGGGTCAATCACCTTGGTAAACACATTTCCTCAAATTCTCTTTTAATTCTTGCAACATCCCTACATATTAGATCAATGTTATAAGCACCACTTTACAGATGAAGAGACTGAAGAATACAATAGTTAGGAAACTTGCCTGGAGTCACACTGAAAGTAAGTGGTGAGCCTTGGATCTGAATTCAAATCTGAGCCAGGGCTCTTACCCAGGGCTACTGTCTTGTGCACTAAGTGAACAGTGCCCTCTGGAATTGTGCAGAGTCTTTGCCTCTTCCTGTACAATCCAACAGTGAGTCATCCGGGTAGACAGATGTAAAAGGGGCATGAAGTGATTAATGGGGAGAAAACAGGACAGCTACATTGCAGAGACAAGCCTTGAATGTGGTTAAAATGCCTGGACACCTCTTGGTCAGCAGTGAAGAGCAACTAAAAAATTAAGAACAGAGGGCTGTCTCTTAGTATTACCATAGGGACAAAAAATGAATGTGAAAAGCAAATGAATGAATGTAACCATTTGTTAATAGTTGTTGTGTAATTCCCCACGAAAAGGATGGCAGAAACTAGGCAAATTAAGAAATTTGGTTCTGGGTGGATTTTTATTAGCAGGATATCTGGTTCTCTCATTGGCACAGATAACAAAAAGTCACTTGTATCTGACTCCCTAATAGGCATCTTGCCTTGTTTGGAATAAGAACAGTAACTAAGTTTCTGCATCTAGTTTGAAATCCCACTTGAATATCATTATACTTTAAAACAGTGTGAAGTAAACATCTTTTAACTGTTAAGAGATGTTAATAAAGAAATCACACTGTAAAATGTAATAAAAAAATGCTTTAAAAAAAGACAATTTCATTCTACACTTTCTGTGACTTTAGCCTGCTTATCTCATCCATTGGTTGGTGACCAAGCTATTGAGCACCCAGCAGGGAAGCCCGCCTGGTGTTTATATGACAGTAGAGCGAATTTGTTTCAACTTACTTGCAGAAGTGGATTTCAGAGGAAGGGATTTGACAAAGTTGTTAAACCCCGTGGAGGCAGAAGAGGAAAGCTGGGATGGTTACAGAGCTAAGCACTGTCATTTTGAAATTCGTTTTGGCCCCCAGAGTATAAATACACCTCAGTATTTTTGTTAGGATTGCCAGAAAATCAGCAAGTGCTCACTTTCTTTTGCCAACAAAAGCATGACTCTCTGTGCAAAAATTTTCTGCACATTGTATAAACAAGAACATTCAGAAAATCCCCTCTTGCTGAGAGATATGACAAGAGATATATTAAACCATGCTGTAAAATAAAGCAGATACTAAGTACACCACTGTGTTCATCAAACACAAGAAAAGCTTTTATATATCCCTTCTGCCACAAACTTCTACATGTCATCCTATCCCCCAAAATATCTCCCCATACTGTGCTGGTCTGAGGATGGTGGCTTTCACCATCCAGGCTTTCACCTTTGTTTGCTGTGAGTCTTCTCCAATAGGCATTACCTAATCCATTACCTACATTTTCTCACCACTGCACCCTAGTTTCCCATCCCTGCAGGCTATTGTGTTGGCGGTCTCCAAGTGATCCATGACCTCCTATCCAAATCTCAGGCTAAAACTTTTCTTCCTCACAGAACCTTCCAGTTCAAAAAAGGCCATTGGAAGATCTTAATCAGGAGTTGGCAAACTTTTTCTGTAAAGGGCCAGATGATAAGTATTTTAGCCTTTGTGAGCCATTTGATCTTTGTTGCAACTACTCAGCCCTGACACTGTAGCACAAAAGCAGCTGTAGCCAACACATAAATGAGCATAGCTGTGCTATAATAAAATTGTATTTATGGACACTGAAATTTGAGCTTCATATAATTTTCACCTATCGCAAAATAGTATCCTTTTAGTTTTTCCAAGATCAGATGAGAGCGGGTGCGTTCCAGATGGGATGGCCGTAGACTGATTTTTAAAATTGTTAAAAATGAGATGCTTGTGAGGCTATGGAGAAAAGGGAACACTGCATTGTTGGTGAGAATGTAAATTAGTTCAGCCACTGTGAAAAGTAGTTTAGAGACTTCTCAAAGAACTTAAAATAGAACTACTATTCGACCCAGCAATCTCATTGCTGGGTATATACCCAAAGAAAAAGAAATCGTTCTACCAAAAAGACACATGCACTTGCATGTTAATTGCAGCACTATTTACAATAGGAAAACATGGAATCAAGCTAGGTGCCCATCAATGGTGGATTGGATATACGTATATACCATGGAATACTACACAGCCATAAAAAAGAATGAAATCATGTCCTCTGCAGCAACATAGATGCAGCTAAAGGCTATTGTCCTAAGTGAATTAATGCAGGAACAGAAAACCAAATACTGCATGTTCTCACTTAAAAGTGGGAGCTAAACACTGGGTACACATGGACATAAAGATGGCAACAGTAGACATTGGAAACTACTAGAGGGGGAAGAGAGGGAGGTGGGCAAAGGCTGAAAAACTACCTATTGGGTACTATGCTCACTACCTGGGTGACAGGATCATTTGTACCCCAAACCTCAAGTGTCATACAGCACACCCATGAAACAAACCTGCACATACATCCACTGAATTTAAAATAAAAGTTGAAATTATAAAAACAAAATACACTTTAAAAAGTTCTCACCATAAAAGTGATAAGCATTTGAGGTGACGGATATGTTAATTAGCTTGATTTAATCATTCCTCATCGTTCACATCTATCATAACATCACTTTGCACTCCATATATATATAATTATGTCAATTTACAATTAAATTTTTAAAAATTGTTAAAAATGTAAAAAACATTATTAGCTCACAGGATGTGCAAAAACAGGAGATGGGAAGGATTTGGTTTGATGTAGGTCATCCTCTCAGCTAAAACCAGGGGTTTCTTCCCAGCTTTGCAGCTGGGCAGCCAGGCTCTGTGTGAAATTTCTCCAGTTATAAGAAACTCACTACTTCAACAGGCAGCCTTTTCTAAGGCTGAGATGAAATAACTGGACCTAGCTCTGCCTACTAAAGACACAACAAATAACTCAACTTCATCTTTATGGCAACCCTTAAAATATTGAAATGTACCTGTCTTGACCATCTTGGAAGTCTCCTGTGTAGGAAGTCCAAGTTTCTTTTTTTCCTTATCCCCCACTTTTTTTTTCTGAGAAAGGGTCTCACTCTGTTCCCCAGGCTGGAATGCAGTGGCACGAACTCAGCTCACTGCAGACTCAACCTCCCGCACTCAAGTGATCCTCCCACCTCAGGCTCCCTGAATAGCTGGGACTACAGGCACGTACCCCACACCTGGGTAATTTTTTATTATTTGTAGAGACCGGGTCTCGCTATGTCGCCCAGGCTCGTCTCAAACTCCTGGACACAAGTGATCCTCCTGCCTTGGCCTCCCAAAGTGCTGGGATCACAGACATGAGCGCCTGTGCCCGTCCAGCCCAAGTTTCTTTAACTACTGTTGTACAACATGGTTTTTCTGTTTGGGGCAGGGGGGGTCCTCTCTGCTCTAGTGAAATTCTCCTGCAAATGTCAATTCAAGTGTGCCCACTTTAGGGAGAGGAGAGTAATGTTATGCCATTCCACAATGTTTGCCATTGTGCCATTCTGAATGCTCTGTTAATGTACTTCTCAGCTTCCCTGGCTCAGGGTAATATGATAATCATCTTTAAAATTTTTCCCCATTGGTTTTTCTTTTTTCTTTTAGTCACCCTATGAGGCTGGGGCCCCTTAATTTCTCATCACCCACACTTGCCTGATTCTCTTGTGATGCCCACATGATCCTTCTCACTGGATCCTTTTATGATCTGCCATGTCAGGGGGTGTTACCAAAGCTTGATCCTTGAAGCCTGTGATCTCTCTCCCACTTTATGTCTTAGAAGACAGATTCTCATGGCTCGCTCATCCCTTCTATAACAATTATTCCAAAACTGTATCTGCATCACCAATCTAGCACACGAGCTCCATGCTCCCGCCTTGCACTGCCTAGTAGGCATCCATTTAAAGATCATACTTTACTCTCATCCTAGAACCAACATGTACCAAACTAGATATTTCTTCACAAGATGATGACGATGATGATGATAATAGTCACAATGGAGATAGCAATTAGCACTTGTTGAACACCTACTATGTGCCAGGCACTATCCTGAGCTAAGGATTCATTATCTTTCGTTGTTGTTGTTGTTTTTTGAGTTAGGGTGTCACTCTGGCAGCCAGGCTGGAGTACAGTGGAACAATCCTAGCTCATTGCAGCCTCTTATTACTGGGCTCAAGTGATCTTCCTGTCTCAGCCTCCCCAGTAGCTGGTACTACAGGCGTGTGCCACAATGCCCAGTTAGTTTTTAAATTTGTAGAGACAAGGTCTTGCTGTTTTTCCCAGGCTGGTCTTAAACTGCTAGCCTGAAGCAATCCTTTTGCCTCAGTCTCCCAAAGCACTGAAATTACAGGCATGAGCCACAGTGCCCAGCCAGGATTCATTATCTTTTTAAAAAAACGTAATTAATTAATTTAATTTTGAGACAACGTTGGGCTCTATCAGCCAGACTGGAGTACAGTAGCGCCATCTTGGCTCACTGCAACCTCTGCCTCCTGGGCACAAGCCATCCTCCCACCTCAGCCTCCTGAGTAGCTGGGATCACAGGGGGGCACTACCACGCCTGTAACTTCTGTATTTTTTTATAGATGGGGTTTCACCATGTTGCCCAGGCTGGTCTCGAACTTGTGAGCTCAAGCAGTCCACCCATTGGGATTATAGGCATGAGCCACTGCACTCGGCTTGGATACATTCTTTCTAAACCTTTACAAGAATCTATGAAGAAACTACTCTTAGTCCCCTTTTATAATTGCAGAAATAGGCTCAGGGAAGTAATTTGGCCAAATACACTGCTAATAAGTAACAGGGTTAGGATTTGAACCTTTGAGTGTATGAATTAAAGCACATGCTCTTGACCTCTTTGGCTGGTCTTTGTAACCCAAAATGATGTCATGGGTGCTCCACTTATTCCGAAAGCCACGCTTGGAAAGCCTGAATTCAGTCTTGACCCCTCCCTCTCCTTCAGCCTCCCTATGTGAACAGTCACTGAATTACTGGGACTCTTTCTTCTAGGCATCTGGGAGCCATTTTTCCCTTATATTCTCACTGTCATCCTAAATCAGGCCCCTTGTCATCTTCTGTTGTTTACTGCAACTCTCTCCTGATGGATCTTCCTGCACCCAGGTCTTCAGTCCATCATGCATGATCCTGCCCAGAATATGTTTGAGCAAGCTGGGTCTCTCACTTGAGACATCTTCCTGGCATCTATATCTTTTTATTCATTTATTTGATCCACCTTAGAACTGTCCAGCCCTCACTTGCCTGGGGTCCTCATCTTGTGGGGAGAGGAGGGAAGGGATACTAGAATGTATGTCAACTGCCAGGTAATTTAAATATTTCACAGGTGAATCTTTTTTCCTTTATATATATTTAATATCTATATTATATGTATGTGTACTATATATTATATAATATATATTAAATATGGACTATATTAATATTATATATCTATGTCTATATATAGTCTTTAGTAGTTTCAAGAGTGGTGTGTTTTGGAAAATTGGAGAAAGATTAGGAAAATAAAGTTCCAGGTTAAGTATATTTGAGAAATGCTGGTGAGTTAAAAGTGTCTTTATGACTGGACTTCTTCAGCCTTCAGTATACTAACATGCATGGCGACTATCAATACACAAGTGGAAAGAGCTGCAAAAGGGTATTTGAAATTCACTGGACCACAAATTTTTTTTTTTTTTTTTTTTTTTTTACTTTCTCCTACTGAGCATATTGAGAAACCAGGGTTCTGTAGAACAATTCTTAAGAAAAACTACTCTAGGAATGTCTATCAAAATGCTATACAGGGCTGGGCATGGTGGCTCATGCCTGTAATCCTGGCACTTTGGGAGGCCAAGGCAGGTGGATCACCTGAGGTCAGGAGTTTGAGACCAGCCTGACCAACATGGTGAAACGCCATCTCTATTAAATTCAAAAAATTAGCCGGGAGTGGTGGCACATGCCTGTAGACCCAGCTACTTGGGAGGCTGGGGCAGGAGAACTGTTTGAACCCAGGAGGTGGAGGTCGCAGTGAGCCAAGATTGTGCCATTGCGCTCCAGCCTGGACAACAAGAGCGAAGCTCCATCTAAAAAGCAAAACAAAACAAAACAAAACAAACAAACGAACAAACCAAACCAAGCTATGCAGGCTGCAGGAGTGAAAGTCAGCAGTGATGGACAGTAGGAGCCCAGGACGTGGAGTCAGAAGGATAGGCCGGAGTCCAAGAGCCACACAGAGAGGCCGTGTAAGGGTTAATGTCATAATGTATGTGAAAGGCTCTGCTTAAGTGTAAAGCTGTGGTGTAAATGTGCACATTAGTTGACAAATGGTTTAAATTTAAGTATACTTCAAATTTTTTCCCTAAGATTGGTTGTTGGTTTCCATAGCTAAAAATTAAGAAAACATATTTTATACAGCAACAGAGAACTTCTTAGGAATTATTAAAGGACTATAAATATACAGGTTTTTTATTCTCTCTACTTATAGGGAATATTTGTTGCATTTGTACACTTGATTGACCCAAATAGAGAACTATCACAAATACAAGACAAATTTTACTTTTCATTGAGGAGAATATTTTACAAATTACAAAATGACTTATAACAAGACCACTATAACATGAATTATGGTGCTGGGGGGTGGGAGGATGTGATTTAAGGGAACTGGGACCTCATGGTAGCTGTGAGTACCTAGGGAAGGGGGCAAGTGGGTTCCATGGTAGCTGTGCGTACCTAGGGACCAGGGCAGTGAGATGGAGAAAAGAAGAGGGGGTTGTAGGGGCTGGAAATGTCAACAAACTTCTTGGCTGGATTTTTGTCTAGGGCCAGTCCGGCATGTTTTCCACCCTAATGATTTACATACAACTTTAGTGTCTGTCTAACTTTCAAAGTATGAGGTGTGATGAAAAGGAATGAAACTTGTGTTCGCGTGAGGCTTATGGAATCTGAATCGTGGGATTAAGATTTCACCTTGTAAGTCCATGTGCCAGGGCAGGAGGGATCCAGACTCATCACCCACAGCATCTGTACTGCTTTGACCTGCGGCTGAGTCCTCATTCTTTCCCTGCTCCTTCCCTGGCCCTTGAGGAATCTGTGGCCAAGCTGCTTGGGGAGGCTGAGGCATTAAGGCCCAGACCCACCTCCTCTACTACAGTTTCCAAAAGCACACTCTGTAATGGGTACCGAGCCATCGGGTATCCAGTACCCAAGTATTTTTATGAAATACTCATTCTGAGGGAGTCACCATGTACCTCAGCATAAGTCCATGAGAAGTCCTGCAGTGAAACAAACAACTTACTTATCATTGCTTTCCTAGCATGTGGCTTATGTGTTAGATGATGGGGCACTGTTTTTACACGGAATGAATACTGACATCCCATATCATGTTGGGAGATACTGCCCTGCCCTCACTTGGTTACCCCTAAACTCCCTTCCAACAAACCAGAATTTAATGCCCATGTTTCTTTATTCATGATATTTCCTATTACAAGTATTTATATTGCAACTAGATGCAGTAATGTGTGTGCACGCACACACACACACACACACACACACACACACACACATATATGTTTCATCTTGGCTTAGCCACTTTCAACCTATGTGATATTGGGCAAATTCTGTAGCCTTTCATTACTTATTAATTATTATCATTTTTTTAGCCCCATGTCTTAATTTATCTGTAGCCTCTCTCTCAGTTTTGTTATTTGTAAAATAAAGCCATGGCTCCCACCTTTCAGGGTTGTGTAAAAGCTAAATGAGATTAGGGTTGTAAAGTGTTTGGCTCAGTGCCCAGTGCAAGGCACAGGATTCACAGCAGCTTCATCATCACTCTCTCCATCATTATCATCATATCAACGAATGCGAGAGAAATTAGATGTCCTCAAGTAGCTAATTGTCAAATTAAGTTTTTTTCCCTTTTGATAAGATAATTTGACTTGCATATCAATTATGTATCTTGGTTTTAGGAAGAGGTTTCACAGAGGAGACACAAAATGGAGAAACATTTGTTGGATGATTGTAGAGTTAAGGAGATTCACATCCAGTTGAAAAAATGTTCTGTTAGGCCAACCCGATGAATAGTCTCTAGTGACATGCCATAAGGCTTTCTATTAATTCCTATTAGATTTGACATTTTTACCAACAATTTGAACAAATATACATGGCACATATTTATCAAATCTGAATATGAAAAAATCTAGAGTGTTAGTTAATTCAATACAGAGCTGAATTAAGATTCAAAATTATTTTGATAGGCCTGAATGCCCCAAAATTAAAATGTAGTAGACTTAAATATAAAATACTATGCCCATGTGAGAAAATAATAAATGAAACAACCTATGCAGAGAAATGATGAGCTTGATGGCTGTTTATATGATAAAAGTCTAGCAGTTTTAGTTGATCATCAACCAGGCTAATAATTAGAGCTAATAGAGAAAAGCAATTAATTTAGCAGGAATTAAGAGCGGAGAATTACCCAATTGAGAGAAGGAAGAGACTCACTGTTCAGAACAGATGAGGAAGCCCCATTTTTACCTTTTGCCAGATGACGTAAGTTCTGAAGATATGGGGAATGTCCAGCCTCAAGAGAACCAAACCAAAGGAAGATATAATTTTTACTATTCCTCCTGGGGACTGACAAGTGGAATTTGTAAGGAGAAAGAATTCCGCCTGTTTTAAGGAAGACTGTTAAAACAAATCGAGCCGCATCCTCACAATGAGTTTGTTGAAATGGAGCGAAGTCCGTCTTCAAAAGTTTTTAGCAAAAGCTGGGCAAGAAGCTGCAAGGAAGGGATTCTTACATTTGGTGAATGACATGAGTCCACATTACCTCCAAAACTTCATCAGTGTGAAAGTTCAGAGCTGTGCCTGACAAAAGCCTTCCCAATCTCCAAAGCTCTGAAGCCTTTGGTCATCCTCAATGGAGATGTGCCTGTGTGATCTCCCTCTTCAAATCTCATGGCATGCACAGTCTTTATCTCTCATTCTGCACAAATCACACTAGTTACCATTTATTGAGAACCTATCCTGTACTTGATTTTATATATGTTATCTTGTTTAAGTGTCCCCATAACCATGTGAAATTAATTAAATTATCCCACTTCATAGATGAGAAATATGAAGCTAAATTCTGTTTTTTAAATCACTCACTTGCCCAGGGTCCCACAGTAAGTGGCAGAACCCCATGTTCATGCCCAGACATTTTTTTTTCTTTTTAGGTGGAGTTTCACTCTTGTGGCCCAGGCTAGAGTGCAGTGGCACAAACTCAGCTCACTGCAACCTCTGCCTCCTGGGTTCAAGTGATTCTCCTGCCTCAGACTCCCAAGTAGCTGGGATTACAGGCACACACTACCATGCCTGGCTAATTTTTTGTACTTTTAGTAGAGACAGGGTTTCACCCTATTAGCCAGGGTGGTCTCAAACTCCTGATCTCAGGTGATCCACCTCAGCCTCTTAAAATGCTGGTTATTACAGGCGTGAGCCACTGTGGCCGTATGCCCAAACTTAATGATGGAATTATACTCTTTCCTCTTTCTACTAACTCATGGCACTTCTCTAACCATGATCTCTTACACAATAGTTCATGCCTGGCATTGCTTTATCCCCTTTTGTGTATATTTATTCATTATTTTATGTCTTGTATGCCTTGAACTAGATTGTAAATTCCTCGAACAAAATGACCCATGTCTTGCTTTTCTTTGTATTTCTAACAGTACCTAATAGGATAATTATTTACACTAATTAGCATTATTCATAAAATACTATTACACATCTACTATATAGATGGTACCATGCATAAAAACCAGAGATATAGCAATGAACAAGTTAGAAAAGTTTCTAGCCTAAGGAGATAGAAAAAAAAAAATAAGCAAGTCAAGTTCCCTGGCTCTTGAGCTAAGACATGACCAAGGGAAGGCAGTAGCTGTGATATGGTCTGAGAAAGAAGGTCTTTTGCAGAGGCAACAACAACTGCAGAGGCTATGTACAGAAAACTAACTTGGCATGTCCAGGGAACAGAATGAAAGGTTGTGTGGCTAAAACAGAGCCAGAGAGAGGGGTGAGTGTATAAAGTTAGGTTGGAGGGCCGGGCGTGGTGGCTCGTGCCTATAATCCCAGCACTTTGGGAGGCTGAGGCAGGCAGATCACCTAAGGACAGGAGTTCAAAACCAGCCTGGCCAACATAGTGAAAGCCTGTCTCTACGAAAAATACAAAAATTAGCTGGGCATGGTGGCAGGTGCCTGTAATCCCAGCGACTAGAGAGGCTGAGGCAGGACAATCACTTCAACCCAGGAGGTGGAGGTTGCAGTGAGCTGACCGTCGTGCCATTGCACTCCAGCCTGGGCAACAAGGGCAAAACTCCATTTCTAAATAAATAAATAAATAAAGTTAAGTTGGAGAAGTAGGCAGGAGCAAAACCATGCAGGGTCTTGTTATCTTGGATTTTATTTCAAACGCAAAGGGGGGCCGTTGAAGGGACACTTAGCAGGGGAGTTACCTTTATGCTTATAAATGATCACCCCGATTGTTGGGTGGAGAATGGATTATAGCATTTGTCAGCATGAAAGCAGTGCTGGAGATAAGTGCAATGATGGCTGGTTTCAACCTAGCTTAGCAGATGAAATACTAAGGAATAGGCCAATTCAGGGGGTATTTTGCAAGTAATGCAAATGAAACTTGCTGATAGTTTATGCTATGGTTTGGATGTTTGCCCTGTTCAAATCTCATGTTGAAATGTGATCCCCAATGTTGGGGCCTCGTGGGAGGTGCTGGATCATGGGGTGGATCCCTTATGAATAGCTTAGTGCCATCCCCTTGGTGATGAGTAAGTTCTCACTCATTTAGTTCACTCAAGATCTGGTTGTTTTAAGAGTCTGGGACATCCCCCTTTTCTCTCTCTTGCTCTCATTCTTGCCCCATGACGTGCCTCCTCCTGTTTCACCTCCCGCCATGAGTAAAAGCTCCGAGGCCTCACCAGAAGTGGATGCCAGCACCACATTTCCTGTAAAGCCTGTAGAAGCATGAGCCAATTAAACCTCTTTTCTTCATACATTACCCAGCCTCAGGTATCTCTCTATAGCAATGCAAGAATAGCCTAGTACAGTTTAGATGTCAGGGTTTGAGGAAAGAGTAAATCAATCAAACTCTGGTTGATGGCCTGAACACTTCAGTTGACACTGAAGCTGCTAAGTGAGATGGGGAGGGCAGCAGCACTGGGTGAGGGGGGAAGGTCCTGGATGGTATGTGAATGGTGTGGAGGGAGAAGTTAATTCTATTTTGGCCATATTTGAGATGTCTTTTAGACATGACTAGAATGTAAGCTCAGTGGGGCAGGAGCTTTGTCTGTGTTGTTCTGTGCCATATTCCCCATGCACAAAACAGCATTTAGTACAAAAGTTGGTACTGAAATCTTGTTGAACAAAAAAAGCCAAGGTGAGGCATTGAGAAGGCAGTTG
The DNA here is from genome assembly GCF_000001405.40 of Homo sapiens. Lineage (NCBI taxonomy): Eukaryota > Metazoa > Chordata > Mammalia > Primates > Hominidae > Homo > Homo sapiens. The sequence continues at coordinate 94,183,257 of NC_000010.11, read as the reverse complement.
GATTTATGAATGTTTAAATCTTTTGGGCAAATGCAGATCCTCAGTAAAGCATAAATACATTCCTCCTTGGCTCTCACATGTGCAGTAAAAATCTCTAAAAGTGGTTTTTCAAAGAGCAGAATTAAACATCCTAATAGGGTCAGCTAATGCCGTCCTGAAAAGAGGCTCAAAATCCTAATCTCTGACCAAAGCTGACCTGATCTTTCCCACAGTGTTCAGAGTCATTTAAGTGATCTGATGGCAAAGGCCTTGAGGAACTGCTGCAGTGCTTCTCTGGGTCATGTTTATTATTTTTAATAGTAATAACACTGCTCACATAGGTCAAAATTCCTATTCATCTATTTGCTGATTTCCACCGGATCCATTATTGTTTCTACCAGTCTCAGGACAGAGGTGTTAACTGATACCTGCTTTAAAACAGAATTAAACATGTCTCCAATAAGTCAATGGCTTTGACAGTTAACTTTCTGGGCCAGTTAAATTCTAGAGACACAATGTGAGCTTTAAGAAGGAGAACTAAGAATTAAGATAGCCTATTATAGTAATAAAATAGTCTAAATATTAAAGGTTTCAAAATCACATCCTCCATTTTGTAGTACTATGAGCAAACAATGAAAAAAATACAGAAAGAAAGGAAAGAAGAAAAGGAAGGAATGAAGGAAAGAAGAAAGAAAAGAAATGAAGATGGGGCCAGGCATGGTAGCTCAGGCTTATAATCCCAGCACTTTGGGAGGCCAAGGCAGGTGGATTGCTTAAGGCCAGGAGTTTGAGGCCAGCCTGGCCAACATGGTGAAACCCCATCTCTACTAAAAAAAAAAAAAAAAATTATCCAAGGGTGGTGGTGCACATCTGTGATCCAGCTACTCGGGAGGCTGAGGCACGAGAATTGCTTGAACCTGGGAGGCGGAGGTTGTAGTGAGCCGAGATCATACCATTGCACTCCAGCCTGGGTGACAGTCAGACTCTGTCTCAAAAAATAAAATAAAATAAAAAAGAAATGAAGGCAGGGAAAACAACCCATTACATTTATTTAAATGTACGTGGAACAATTCTCAAGTATCTGCACTAATGGATGACCCCAAAGATAGAAACCATTTTCCTCCTGTTTCAAAATGAAGTCCTCCATGGCAGTACTATGAGCAAAAAATGAAAAAAAAAAAAAACAGAAAGAAAAGGAAGGAAGACATTTTCCTCCTATTTGCTTTGGGATACAGCTTTGTTCTCTTTGAGTACTGCTGTGACTGATGTTCTAGAGCAGTGATTCTCAACTATTGGTGTGTTGGTAGCATCAGCGTTATCTCGTGAAGTTATGTTTTTTCCTTTTTGTTATTTTAAATTTTAGAGAAAGGGTCTCACTCTATCATTCAGACTGGAGTATAGTGGCATGATCCTACCTCACTGCAGCCTCAATTCCTGGGCCCAAATGTTCCTCCCACCTCAGCCTCCCCAGTAGCTGGAACTACAGGTATGCACCACCATGCCCTGTCAATTTTTTAATTTTTTGTAGATACAGGATCTTGCTATGTTGGTCTTGAACTTCTGGTTTGTCTTGAACTCCTGGACTCAAGCAACCCTCCTGCCTCAGATGCCTAAACTACTAGGATTGTAGGAGTGAGCCACTATGCCTGGCCTTCATGGAGCTTTTTATCTTTTTATTTTATTTTATTTTATTTTATTTTTTTGAGACAGAGTCTTGCTCTGTCACCCAGGCTGGAGTGCAGTGGTGTGATCTCGGCTCACTGCAAGCTCCGCCTCCTGGGTTCACGCCATTCTCCTGCCTCAGCCTCCCGAGTAGCTGGGACTACAGGCGCCTGCCACCACGCCCGGCTAATTTTTTTTTGTATTTTTTAGTAGAGACGGGGTTTCACCATTTTGGCCAGGATGGTCTCGATCTCCTGACCTTGTGATCCACCCATGTTGGCCTCCCAAAGTGCTGGGATTACAGGCGTGAGCCACCGCACCCGGCCCATGGAGCTTTTCAAAATTATAAATGCCTGGGCCCCACCTTGCATCCACGGAGGCAGAATCTCTTGGGGGTGGGCTACGGATACGTGCACATTTTAAAAATATTCTGATTCCCATTGTCTTCATTCCGCTGATCAGTGAGAACTACTGTTCAAGGAAGTCACATTAGATGGTTGAAGAATGAGTGCATGCGTGCCAGTCCTGTCTGACAAGGTGCAAGGCAGCCCCTTCCCACTGCCTCCTCCTGCTGCCCCAACTGGGAGCACAGGTAGGACTTAAGATTTTGAATTTCAAAGCTATCTGTCTTAGTCCATTTTGTGCTGCTATAAGAGAATACCACTGTGTAATGTATAAAGAGTGGAAATTTATTTTCTCATAGTTCTGAGCCTGGGAGCTCCACAAGGTGCTAACAATTTCAGTTGTCTGGTGACAGCTGCATCCTCTGAAGGGGACACTGTGTCCTCACATGGCAGAAGGTGAAAGGGCAAGTAAGCTGAATGCTGCATGAAGTCTCTTTTACAAGGGCCTTAATCCCATTGACGATGGAGGAGCCCTCACAGCCTAATCACCTCTTAGAGGTCCCAACTCTTAATCCCACCACAGTGGCAACACCTGAGTTTTGGAGTAAACACATTCAAATCATAGCACCATCACCGCTAAGGGTGTGGGTTTCATGTAAAATAGGAATGAACAGACAGAGAGGTGGAAAAATGTAGTAGAAATGATGTGGTCAAGAGAGGAATATAAATAAACTCCTTTAGATTTTGGGGGCAATCTTTCTCAGGCATTTCACACCAAAGGAAACCTCAGAGCCAAGAAGGGAACTTGAAAAGCCAAAAATCTGAAATCTGCCTTCTGCCTGGTGCTGTGGAAATGATAAATTATCCCCCATGCTCTAATATTCTCAGACATTGAGATGCTGTTGTCCTCCCTATTTCAAGGGCCACAATCTCCTAGTTCAAAGGAGATGCTGCATTTACAATATCAGGAAGTCAGCACATAGGTTAAAATCAACAAACAGGTCAACATTTTTACACATATTGAAATCATAAAAAAATTCTGAATCCTATTGCGAGGAAAATGGTTTCATTTAGAGTAAGAGAACCGAGTGGTGGAAAGAAGGTCCCTCAGCTTTTGATTCAAAAGTATCAAGCAGATGAGCCAAGAATGCTGGCTCTGGAAGCCAGAACAACTGGGTTCAACTGTCACCTCTGAAACCACAGGTCATTCATTTAGTCTCTCTGTGTCTCAGTTTTCTCACCTGTTAAGTGGGGGTGATCATAATAATAAAAAACGGAATTTATTATCATTAGTTATTCTAATAATGCTGTTATGTTAGTGGTTTTTTTTTTTTTTGGGAACTAACATCAAACCACTACTGTGTCTTTGGTCCCTGATAAGTGCTTTAAACATGTCATTTCTCTGAATACTCATATAAAGCATTTGGGGTAGATATATTATTAGCCCCATTTAAAGATGAGAGATTAGGCCGGGTGTGGTGACGTACGTCTGAAATCCCAGCACATTGGGAGGCCAAGGCAGGTGGATCTCTGGAGCTCAGGAGTTTGAGGCCAGCCTGGACAACACAGTGAAATCCCATCTCTACTAAAAATACAAAAATTAGCCAGGCGAGGTGGTGTGCACCTGTAGTCCCAACTATTTGGGAGGCTGAGGTGGGAGGATCGCTTGAGCCTGAGAGGCTGAGGCTGCACTGAGCAAAGATCAGCCACTGTACTCCAGCCTGGGCAACAGAGACCCTGTCAAAAAAAAAAAAAAAAAACTAAACTAAAATAAAAATAAGATAAAGATGAAGGGTTAGGTATCTGGCTTGAGGTTGCACAGCTGGGAATGGTGGATCAGAACCCAGGCAGCCTGACTCCAGAGCTGCACCTGAATGATGTCAAGCCTCCATGCCCCTCTTATTTCTCAGCCCTACGTGTTACTCTGGGTGAGGAAAGCCCTGTGTGGGTGCTGACTGCCAGGAACCATGAGACATGATTTGCTGTCAATCAGCTTCAGGATGGAAGTGCCATCTACAGCTAACCTTGCACTTAGGATGCCGCCCTGCACAGCTGAGTTTCTGTAGTTTATTTGCCTACTGTATTTTTTTTAGTCAAGAAATTTCTGGAGTAAAATATCTGTTACTCCTGGAATGTGCTGTGAAATGTTCCAGGGAAAGAATACAATATCTGCTCTGAGAGGGGAGATGTGCTTTGTCAAGGAAAAATTTGATTTTCCAAAGTGAGCTGAAATTTCCCTTACCCTGAGGGGGTTTTTATCAGCAGTTTATCCTGTGAGTGTTCAGATTTGAGGAAGGAAGTTTGTAAAGCAGCCCTGAACAGATGATTTGCTCTGCTGTCTGCTTTTATAAAAGAGGGGGAAAACTTTGATTGAGACGTTTCTAAACATGGTTCAATATACAAATTCAAAAACCAATATTTTTTCTAAAACATTTCAAGTGAAAGAACCTATTTGGACATGACACTGCCTCACATCGTTATAATATGCTATGCTTTCTGCTTACTGTGCTGAAATGGTCTTTCCATAGCTATGACCAGACAGGCTTTTAGATGCTGGAATCTGCCAAAGCGATCATCATTGCTATGAAGTATATAAGGAATTCTGGCTGAAAGCTCAAACGGCTCTTCTTTGACCAGATGGTTTATTTATTCTTACTACTCTTTACCAGGAAGTTAAGCTGCATCTTGGCATTCTTTACAGAGAGGATGGCCTTTAAACTGTTGAACTGACATCTGGTGAAACCTACTGGACAGAAGGAACAAGCAACAACTGATTGTCACTTTGGGCTGCCCAAGATTGCATGGCTCAGGGAAGCTAGCTGATGAATGCTCAGGTTGACCACACAGAATTGGGGAGGGGAAAAGACACCCAGGGCAGAGCCACATGGAGGCCTTGTAGAAGCTGCTGGGGTCTCAATAGAACTGGGGGTCTCAATCTAGGACTCATGACCTACCCTCAGACCAGCTGGTCTGAAAGAGAAGCCCTGCTGAATGGTGTTGCCAAGAACCACCCAACAAGCAAAAACTGCCCTCTTAGGACATAGAAAAAAGTGAACCTGCTTATGGCCCCTTGAAAATCACTTTCCAGCCAGAGATATCAACTGTCTGTTACACAAAAGAGTGCCTGGAAGTGGTGTGGGTGGTGACAGGTTATGAAGTCAAAAATTTGCTTGTGTGATCGATCCCAAGGACCAGCTGTAGATGCAATGAAGGGTTCCAACCCCCAAAATCATCATTGGTGAACAACACAACAAGAGCAAAGGACATATTAAGGAGACATGAAGTTTGAGAACTAGCAACTCAGAACTGTGATGCCAAGATCCTCCCCCTCACTCCACGTTCCACCAAAGTGCTTCTCAGGAAAGAGGGGAGAGGTAGTGAAGGGAGGAAGGATGCCCTGCAATCTCGATTTGCCTCTCCTCTCTTTTCACCTGCATGCACTAAAGTATGTAATCTTTTTGGTAAAATTGTCTATAAAAATGCCTCTGCATTTCCTCTAGAAAAGATAAAGGGCTTGGGAATTTATTTTAGGAGGAATTTTTTAAAAGTAAGGTCATAAGGAATGTGGGCTAGAGGTATAAGCTAGATGCAGGAAGATGAAGGATAGGAAAAAAGAACAATATGATTTGAGACTGTCAAAGTGAGAGATTTCGTGGGTGGTCAAGAAGTGAGGCTGCTCCACCTGAAAGGAGAGAGAAAGAACACTGGCTTCTAAGAGCTTCAGATCAGGAATATGACTACAGAGAGGTGTCCAGATTAAGAAAGTTCGGGAAGACCTGTCTCTCAAACTAAGCAAAGCAGGATGAAGCCTACGTTCAACACAAATCTTGACTAGCTCTGCCTGAGGACTGACCCCTCCTTGTGCTTCTGTTTCTTTTCAAGGATAAAGAGAGACTGCCTTTAAGAAGTTTCTCTAGTGTGTGCATCACAGTCTAATAGGGCATGAGAAGGGGGAATGGGGAGGAAACACTGCTTCCAAGCCACAATCCAAACTGATTTTAAATGATTTATCTCCAGGCCTTCATTAATGTAAGCTGAACCTTTTCAGTAATTTCATGGTCGTACTTTGAGTTGCATTTTAACCATGCTTTCCTAAGAATAAACATTATGCAAAACTGCCCAAAAAGTATTAGGAATTTTCTTCCTTTTTCTCACATTACAGTTAAGTCATTGTGTAGAGAGTTGTTAGAATATAGAAACTTCTAGCTCATAAGCGTGGTTCTGGGGGCAATCTGGAACAAGCTGCCTCCCTAAACCATGAGTCTTGCTCATGACAAAAACTGTCTGATTGTCTTCTTGTCTGGACTGCCTTCCATTTCCATGAACTTCCCCCTCTATTCCTCCCATCTCTCAAGACCCAGCCCCAGACTCGAGGGCTCAGCAGAATGAGCTCTTGTCACCCACCTGGACACCCCAGCCTTCTCTGTTGGTGCCACTCTCACTGCACTTACTTTCTGCCTTTTTTGGTAGATATTTGTGTCCATGTCTCATAGCTTCTGGCAGACTGCTATTTACTTTCCTTAGTGCATATCTACCACAGTACACTGCTTCTAAGAAGTCCTGGATTAACTGAATGGATGCACGAGTAAATGCATTCACTTCCCCCCACCCCAAGTGACTAGCACCGGCAATGGAGCTAATATTCTCTTTCTTGTCTTTAAGATACTATAACATTCCAAGGAATATACATCTTTCCACTGAGGAAAGTGCATTTATTTTGTGTATCCAATTTTGGCAGAATCAAAGTATGGGCTTATAACATCAATTTTCACCATATACTGCTAATTTCTTATTTTTAAAAAATATGTTTGACATGCCAATGGAAAAAAAGAGAAGACGAGAGAACAGTAGGTGCTCAATGTGTCTGTTTTTTGAGACAGGGACTTACTCTGTTGCTCAGGCTGAAGTGCAGTAGTACGATCTTGGCTCACTGCAGCCTCGACCTCCCAGGATCAGGCAATCCTCCCACCTCAGCCTCCCAAGTAGCTGAGACCACAGGCATGCACCACCATGCCTGGCTAATTTTTTGTACTTTTTGTGGAGATGAGGTTTTGCTATGTTCCCCAGGCTGGTCTCAAACTCCTGGGCTCAGGCCATCTGCCTGCCTCAGGCTCCCAAATTGCTAGGATTATAGGTATGAGCTGCTATGCCCAGCCAATAAGTATGTCTTCAGTGATCTCGCAACCCCACTTCTAGGTATATACCCCAAAGAAAGAAAACCAATCTATTGAAGAGATATCTGCACTCCCATGTTTATTTCAGCACTATTCACAATAGCCAAGATTTGGAAGCAACCTAAGTGTCCATCAACAAGATGAATAGATAAGAAAATGTAGCACATATATATAATTCAGCCATAAAAAAGAATAAGATCTTGTAATTTGCAACAACATGAATTGAATTGAAGGTCATTATGTTAAGTGAAATAAGCAAGGCACAGAAAGATAACCTCTGTGTGTTCTCACTTATTTGTGGGAGCTAAAAATTAAAACAATTGAACTCATGGAGACAGAAAGTAGAAGGATGGTTACTACAGGGTGAGAAAGGTAGTAGAGGGGAGTGAGGGAGGAAGTGGGGACAGTTAATGGGTACATACAATAGTCAGAAAAAAATGTAAGATCTAGTATTTGATAGCACAAAAGAGTGATATAGTCAATAATAATTTAATTGTACATTTAAAAGTAACAAAAGGAGTGTAATTGGATTGTTTTTAATACAACGGATCAGTACTTGAGATGATGGATACCCTATTTACTCTGATGTAATAACACATTGTATGCCTGTACCAAAATATCCTCTCTATCCCATAAATATATACACCTACTATGTACCCACAAAAATTAAAACTAAAAAATTGAAATAAATAAATCTCTTGAGTGAATGAATGAATGAATGAATGAGGGAGTAATGGCAGGAACCTAGATAATGGGAAACTGGATAAAAATCAGAAAGAGAAGTAGAAAAAAGATAGACACACAGGAGATTTTGAAAAGAAATAGAAAGAGAGGGAGGGAAGAGGGAAAGGAGACCCAAGGCTAATGAAATTCTCAATTAGCAAGTCAGGTTTTACTACAGACTTGAACCTGATAATTTAACAAGAGAGAAGCAGCTGGGTGAGAAGAGATAGACTTTGAAGAAAGATCTGGATTCTGATATCCACTCAGCTACTTAGACAAGTGACTCAATCTCTCTGAGCTCACTGCTTACAATTTTTTTTTATTTTGAAGTAATTTTAGATTTACAGAAAAGTTGCAAAAGACAGTACAGAGAGTTCTTGTACACCCTTCACTCAGCTTCCTCTAATGTTAGCATCTTTCATAATCATAGCACAATTGTCAAAACCAGGAAATTAACATTGATACAATCATACTAACTAAACTATGAGCCTCAGAGTTTCTCCAGTTTTTCCATTAATGTCTTTTTCTAGTCCATGGTCCACTAGGATCCCACACTGCATTTAGTCGTCATGTCTCCTGGTCTCCTCTAGCCTTTAACAGTTCCTCAATTTTTTCTTACCTTTTATGACCTTGATGCTTTTGAAGAGTAGAATGTCCTTCAATTTAGAGTTGCCTGATATTTTTTTTCATTGCTAGATTTATGTGGTGTGTTTTTGGCAAGAACACTATAGAGATGAAGTCCTGCCTTTCTCAGGGCATCATATCAGGAGGCATATGTTGATATGTCTCATTACTAATCATGTTAGCCTTGATCACTTGGTCAAGCCAGTGTCTACCGGGTTTCTCCACTGTTCTATTTTCCCCTTTGTATTAATAAATACCTTGTGGAGAGATGCTTTGAGACTATTTGCAAATGTCCTATTTCTCATCAAACTTACTTTTGCCCAATAATTTTAGAATTCATCAGTAGTTCTTGCCTGCAACAGTTATTACTGTAGTATTCTAATGATGATTTTCTATTTTTCTCATTCTTTCTACATTTATTAATTGAAATTTTTCTATAAGTAAGTGCTGTCCCTACTCCCCAACCCCACCACACTGATGTATTTATATCGGTATGGATTAAAAAATATTTATTTTACTCTATGGGCCATAATCCAACACTGTCATTATTTATTTTGTTGCCTAAGCTTCACTTTCCTCATCTGCAAGACAGGGTTGATGACAACTGTCATAAGAACTGAATGAGATTTTAAGAAATGTGAAAATGTCCAGTCCAGAGCATCTATTAAATAAATGCAAACTCCATTTCTTCCTTTTCTTTACAGTATGTAAAGCCATGCTAATTTCAAGGCAAGGTCACTCAAAATAGGTGAAAAATCTGAATTTGAAAATTCTCTTTTGATGTAATGGAACTTTTCTACTTTAAGGTATACAAAAGAACTAGAATTTAGCTATTCCAGTCGTGTCCAGTAGAGATCATTTGGGATCTGACTATGTAAGACTGATTTTTAATCAGCATACCCATAATTTGTATGAAAATAGATGCTTGAGAATACTTGAAACAGACTGTTCTCTTAAGTAGTTTAAGTGTTTTCCCAGAAATCTTGTTTACGTTCTGAAGTTGCTTAGCTAAACTATTTTCAGAGATAGTCCAAAGCCTGCCTCTACCCAGCTGTAGGTCATATCATCTCTAACTCTGAATTAGTGAAATCACTGATTCGTCTTTGATTCCCAAGGTTATGGAAGTGAATGGAAGAAATCCAAGTTTAGTTTAAAATTAGATTTTAAAAGTTTTGGCAATTCACTTTTAAGTTCAGGTCGAAATTTAAAAATAAAGACAAGATAGGGTCCTAAGGATGTGAGAGTGGGTAGATCTGGAAGTTTAAAATAATTCATGAAATACAGTGAAATCCACTAATAAAATCACTCAGTTTACTGGAACTTTCATTTTTCCATCCCATTTTTATCAGTAAGGAAAATCAAGAACATCAGGAGTTTTATTTTTAAAAACAACTTTGGGGCAGTGACATTTGCAAGCTCTCATGTGGACTCCCAGAGATTCTGTCTTACTCAGTTTGGGGGTGGGACCAGGAATCTGCAGTTTTAGCAGGCACCACCCCCCAGTGCAATCCTGCTGCAGGTGGGAAGCAGCATCCTATAGTTATTCAAAGCCCAGGGCCTGACTTTGTGGGCTTAAACCAAAATTGCCACCTACCACTTGTGTAATCTTGGGAAAATAACTTCATCTCCACATACTTCAGTTTCTCATTGATAAGATAGGGCTAATGACAATATCTGTCTCCCAAGGTTGTTGTAAGGAGCAAGTAAGTGGTACATATAAAATGGTTAGCACAACAGTGCCAGATAGACTGGTGTTCAGGACATGTCTGGATACAGAACCGCTTGAGCTCAGCCTCTAACACTCGTTGTATTCATGGGCCTTATCATGGTCACTGACATTTACAACCATCATCAGGATTTTGATTGGCAAGCTATGGAGGCTGCAAAGTGAGCTACAGTTAGAAAGTGTTTTGTGTTTTTTTCTAAAGATGGTGTCTCACTCTGTCACCCAGGCTGGAGTATAATGACGTGATCCTAGCTCACTGAAGCCTCTAAACTTCTGGGCTAAGGGATCCTTAGAGGGTCTCAGCCTCCACAGTAGCTGGGACTGCAGGTGTGCACCACCATGCCCAGCTAATTTTTAAATTTGTACTGACAAGGTCTTGCTATTTTGCCCAGTCTGGTCTTGAACTCCTGGCCTCAAGCGATCCTCCTGTCTCACCCTCCTAAAGCACTGGGATTACAGGCATGAGCCACCGCACCTTGCCAGAAAGTGTTTATGTAACACAGGATGACAGATCCTCAGACAATCAGAGATATATATGACTCAGAATAGGAATATCCTGTTAGCATTTAGGTAGAGTTTACTAAATGACCAAAATAGGCAACTACTCTGTGTTCAGCCAACTAACAACCAACAAACATACCAATTAAAATTTTGTGATTGAATACACAAAACAAAAGAAATTAAATCTAAAACATAAAATGTAGAATAGAAAACTCTGGGTGTGGGTTACATTACTAAGAGAAAGTGCCTTTTAAGCCCAAGAGTGCAGTCCGCCCAACCCCAGTACTGCATGGAGACTCCCTGCTCTTTCCTGACGCTCCTCCCTATCCCAGGGCCACAGGGATGTCAGCCAGTGGCTCTTGATCTCCCAGTGAGTCCCTAGACCCCCACGCAATGGCTTTGTCCTAAGTATTCCCAGACTCCAGTCACACCTGTCTTCTTCAGAACTGGCTTCTAATGTGGTCTCAGAGGCTTTGGATTGATATTCTGGGGCTGAGGATCTTCAGGGGATGCAGAGAGAGAACCGAGGTGATTCACTGCCCCTCAATGAATTGCCCCACGTTTCCTGCCTTCTCTGGTGACCTAGGTGTTTCTGCTGAGGGAGTCCTAATAATGGAAGGGGGTCAGGGGGTTGGTTATACGAATGTGGTCAGGGATCATGCTGTCAAAACTCAAAATTGAGACATGTGGTTTTAAAAGCACCTTTGGGAATGAGGGGTTGGTAGGGGAGAGGAAGGGGTTGGAGATTGGCATTCTGGGTGCCCAAAGGGACTAGGATTGGTGGACTGGGTAATGCAATAGAATGGAGTTGAGATCAATTAGGCTTAAGGGCAAGTTGGGGTACAGTGAGAGGAAGGATTGCAATGTGATGTCTGTCTCTTTGCCTGGAAAGAAAAACAGCCATCATGGAAGTGGCAAGACAGAATGAAATGAACACATCAGGAACAGACAAACCTAGAAGGGGAGGTATGCTTGAAAATCACTTACGGGTGAGTCAAATACCAAGACATCAAAAAGTGGCTTCTTACCTCATTAAACCTCATCACCAGATCTTCAAGGGCATTGTGCTCTCCATTCTGAGTGGTAAGAATCGACGCTGAGATGGATGCTTTGAGGCAGGGCAAGGAGCTCTGGCATTCAGGAGTGCCCAAGTCCCGTGTTAAGAAGCAAAGGTAGTCGACTGGCAAGACCCTGCGGTAAATAGTCTGCTCTTGCTCCATCAGGATGCTGGCGACTTCCTCTGGGAACTGGATGAGAGGCTGCAGATCGATCAGCTCCTTGCTGATCCCAGCTGAACTTGAAGGGAGGGCATTGGAATTGGCCACAGAGGGGCCTGGCTGGCGTTCTAAAACAAAGCAACAGAAGTCGTGGTTACATCAAATCTGGTGTCCCCTGCAACAGATATTTACTTGAGAGCCATTCCAAATCTTGTATGTTCTTTAACCAAATCCTCTGCTTAGTGAAGAGTTCTGTACTATTTTTCTTTTTACAAAGACCTTTCTGATATCTGTCCTATTTGTCTTCTAGTCACCTAATGAGGTGGGGGTGGAGTGGCGGTGGTGGTGGTGGTAGGGTTGGTTTTCCATTTTCAGCAGCAGCATTAATCTAGCACATAATTCCCCAACCAGTTTACTATGATACTTTGTAAAATACCATTTGCTTCCTTATCCTCCTTTGCTAACTACCATCAGAATGACATGAAATGAGGGTAGGTATAAGCATAGCCAACTTAAATGGAAGAGGAAAGAAGGCTGTGTGGTGAAGAATATGTATATGCATATTATGTGTAAATAGGCAGGACACCTGGGGACCCAAGGACTCTCTGGACAAAAGGTTTCAAAATGTCATGGTATTCTCTGCCAACCTGTCACCCTCAAAGAGTGGCTTTGATTTCACTGATATCTATTTGGGAGTTTGCAAGAACAGAACCATCTACAAACATAAGAAAGGAATAGGTAATAAGGAGATGTATCTAAATAAATAAATCTTAACTGCCTGGCCCACAACTGGTAGCAAGAAGGTGACAGAGGGATGCAGGAGAGAAGGTGGCAGTTCATGAGATGGAAGTACCAGAGTAGGGGATGCCTAGGCTCAAAATGATTTCTGTAATTAGAGCCACATACTTGCCTTCTCTTTATTTTGACACTGTCCCAGGCTGCCTCTTAACTTCTTACCTGTAATTCATTCATTCAACAAACGGAAAGTCTCTGATGAGCCCTAGAACAGAGTTTTCCAAAGAATGATCTCTGGAATACTGGCATTTACAAGAAAAACAGTTTTGTGGTCACCTGAGTTGGGGAAATGTCACATATTCATGTCACTCATTCTCTTCCTGGAAATACCTGTCATCCAGCCTGGACACTGGGTAACAGCAAAGTTCGTAAGGATGACTTCCTTCACATTCAGACCTCAGTATTCTCTGACTCTTTTCTAAATCTCCATTGCAGAAAACTTTGGAATTATCACTCCAAACTGCTTCATGTCTGTATTATTAAACTCTGAAGTCATCATCCCTGAATTTGACTTCTTTCTTCCCTTTTATTCTGTCTAACAAAATTTCTCTGTCCTCAGCAAACTTCTAGTTCCTTGGCCTTCGTCTGGTGCTACGATAAGCATTTTAGATGGCACTCACCAGCCAGAGATTCCCTAAGAAGACAGCTTGACTTTCCATCACAGGCATGTCCCAATCCCCAGTGCTGGGCAGACTCAAACCATCCATTCCTTGGCTTCTGGGCTGCTGTATGATGACACTGACAATTATGCTACTTAGTGATGGGGCGGGTGCTAATTCCTATTATCTAACTTCAGCTAGGCCCTCAGGGTGACTCAAAGTTGACACAAACTTATTTATTTTTTCCTAAACAACTCACTATCCTCTTTTCTATTCTTCTCACATTCCCAAACCTGCGTTTGCTTTCCTCACAGTCATTCGACTGTTTCTTAACTATGCTGAGACAGTGTAGGTCATGTCAGAAACTCCTTCAATTCAGATACCTTATATTTCTTCCATCTTCTGCTTCCCTGAGAATGGCATGTGTTTCCTCCTCTCCAAGGCCCACCCAGGTTTGTGATTAAATCTACCTTTGTCTCCTCCAGAACTTGCTTCAGTGGTTATCTCCACCTTTAATCCCTCACTTTCTACTGACTTCTTTGCATACCCAAATGTTCAGTTTCCTTTTTCCTTAAAAACTAACAAAAACGACATCCCTTATCCTTTAAACTCCAAACCTCTCTATCTTTTCCTTCACTATGTCCTTCTATACCAGGTAACCCACAGTCCCTGATTCCTTCCTCCATGAGTATGGTGACTATATCTTCTGATCAAAAAATCAGGCCATGCTCTCTGGCCAAATTACTAAACCAATGAGGACATGGGACAGAAAAATGGAAACCAGGTTGGTCCTGGTTGACTCTAAGCATTTTAATACATCTTTTGGACCAAATTACCAAAAATCTTCTGTAACAAAAAATGGAGACTATTAAATTATATTTGGTTCTATCTAAGCTCATATTAAAAAAAAATTAAAATCAGGTTGATGCTTAAATCTACCCTAGATGGCCTCCCCCTCCAGCTTTCTGAATAGTTTAGAAACTGCCTAAGTTTCCTGAAAATTGAATCAGAATGTGGCTTGATGAAAGAGGCCAACCGAAATTTCTAGATACTGATAATATATGTACAGTGGAATTAGCCAAATATAAGAACTCTTCTCAGAAGTAACCAACTCTAAGACATGATCTCGAACTATAGCACTCTGCAGAGGAAATAAAAATAACTCCAGTCACTTCTCTAATATATAAGAGAAGAGATAATGTAATACAATATGCAAATAATGTAAGATAAGATGTCATATGGGAAACTGCAATACATTTGAGATATGAATCACATGCTGTTACAATGAATAACAAGTCTAGTGACTGGTGGGAAACAGCAATAAGAGAGGCCCAAATAAATTAAAGAATAAAAAGAAACCTGGTCAGTGTAACCCTAATAAATCTGGCGGTCCCAGTATAAGCATGTATCTCAGTATAAGCATGACATCACACTCAAAGGAACACAAATTGAATGCTAGAAGCTTTGAAACAATGTCAACCTTTCATGTAGGTTTCCTTAAAGCTGGAATACCCAGGGATTTCATATTGTGTACCACAAAAAACATCCCAGAAGTCTTCTTGGGGCATAATTCTTTGTCTTCTAAGTTCCATACTTTTAGCAGCTGTTAAAAACACTTCCCACTTTCCCTCATCCTTGCTGAGCTCTCCCTATTATGTCCTCTTTCCTCTTCATAGGACACATTGCCCTAGTGCTCAGCTGTAACTCACCTCTGGGCCTTGCTCTCTAACAACATGGGCCACTGGAAGATGGATTTAAAACCGAGTAGCTCTAGGACCCCTGGTCCTTCCTCATGATCCATGAAGCAAAGTTCATAAAACCCACTGGACACTGTGGCTCTTCTCTTTTTAGAAAGTTTCTGGTGAATAAAATTATCCACCTCATTGTTTGCTCTCAGTCCCATATTCTTCAGTTAATAGTCATTCTAGGTCGGGCGCAGTGGCTCACTCTTGTAATTCCAGCACTTTGGGAGGCCGAGGCTGGCGGATCACTTGAGGCCAGGAGTTCAAAGCCAGCCTGGCAAACATGATGAAACCCTGTCTCTACTAAAAATACAAAAAATTAGCCAGGCACGGCAGTGGGTGCCTGTAATCCCAGCTACAGGATTAGGGACATGGATGAAGCTGGAAACCATCATTCTCAGCAAACTATCGCAAGGACAAAAAACCAAACACCACATGTTCTCACTCATAGGTGGGAACTGAACAATGAGAACACACCGGGGACTGTTGTGGGGTGGGGGGAGGGGGGAGGGATAGCATTAGGAGATACACCTAATGCTAAATGACAAGTTAATGGGTGCAGCACACCAACATGGCACATGTATACATATGTAACAAACCTGCACGTTGTGCACATGTACCCCTAAAACTTAAAGTATAATAATAATAAAATTAAAAAAAAAGAGTGCCTACTATGTGCCAGGCTTTGTTTTCAGCTACCCTGATGTTGAAATTTAGTGAACAAGAATAAAGTTTTGTTCATATGGAACACCCTAGGAAAGGACATAAACAATAAGCATAGTAAATGAGTAATGATGCATATGAGAAGGTGATAAAATTGTTATGGTTAAAATCAAAGAGGGTTCCTGGATGTAGGTGGGAAAGGTGTAGTGTTACATAGCATACCTTTTTTTTTTGAGATGAAGTCTTGCTATGTCATCCAGGCTGGAGTGCAGTGGCACGAACCGCCGCCTCCCGGGTTCAAGCGATTCTCCGGCCTCAGCCTCCCAAGTAGCTGGGATTACAGGCGTGTGTCACCATGCCCAGCTAATATTTGTATTTTTTAGTAGACACAGGGTTTCGCCATGTTGGCCAGGCTGGTCTTGAACTCCTGCCCTCAGGTGATCCACCTGCCTTGGCCTCCCAAAGTGCTAGGATTACAGGTGTGAGCCACCATGCCTGGCCCACATAGCATATCTTAACTAGACTGTTAGTGATTGTCTCATATTTTTCTGCAAAAGTGGGCAAAACTTTACCCTCCAAGGTGCCCGTAGCTTGGTCATAATCACCCTTTCTCATGTCTCAATGGAAGCCATTAATTGAGCTCTTAGTCCTCACCATTTATTAGCCTTTTGTGTTAAGTAACACATTTAATTCTCACAGTGAACCCTGTAAGGTGGTGTGATTATCCCCTTGCTATAGACGATAAAAAACAGGTCAGAAATGTTAAACATTTTGCTTAAAGACAAGCTGCTATTGAGAGACAGGGCTGAAATTTAATTGCAGCTCTGACTCCAAAAATCTGCCCTCTGTTACACTCAGCATTTTGAGGGATCCTTTGCAGAGGAGACATATTTCTACACACACACACACACACACACACACACACACACCTTTTTTCTCTTCTGGGTAGAGAATGGAGTTGAAGAGTTAGGCAGGAATACCTTACAGGATTCTGACTTTAGAAGGCATCTCCTCCCCAAGCCAGCTGAGCAACCTTCTGATCATGATTTTAAATTATATCTTATCAAAACCCGGCAGAATCTCCATGTACCTATGTTTCAGAAACTTTATCTTTCATTCTCATTCCATGTGAGGGGTGGTGAAATGGGCACAAGCTTTCTTGAGAGGCAAAACAAAATTTTAAACGTGTATTCTTTGTACTAGAAATCTTACTTCTAGGATATTATCCAACAGAAACTCTTGCAAAAATATAGACCAAGTGAGGTAAATGTATATGTACTGAAACTGAATTTATTTCACAAAAAATTTAGGACAAAAAAGCAAGTTGAGAACAATGGAATATTATCCTATTGAGGTAAAAAATAATTTTGTAAATATAGGTATATGTTGCATATCTGTCCAGTGAACACCAAACAAATAATAGTGTATAACTTACACAGTTCTGTTTTGCTCAACTTTTTTGTAATGCACATATAACAGTACTTTTGAAAATAGATCAAAATGAGCCAGGCATGGTGGCTCACACCTGCAATCCCAGCACTTTGGGAGGCGAGGAGGGTGGATCAACTGATGTCAGGAGTTGGAGACCAGCCTTGCCAACGTGGTGAAATCCCGTCTCTACTAAAAATACAAAAAGTAGCCAGGTGGGTGGTGGGCACCTGTAATCCCAGCTACTCGGGAGACTGAGGCACAAGAATCACTTGAACCCAGGAGGCGGAGGTTGCAATGAGCTGAGATGGCACCACTGCATTCCAACCTGGGCAACAGAGCAAGACACCGTCTCAAAAAAAAAAAGATCAAAACGATATCCAAAAAATTCAAGGCAACAAAATCTCAATCTTCTCATGCTCAAAAACCTGGTTCAGCTTTTTTTGGCCTGTTCAGATTTTTTTCCAATATATATGGTAATACTGTTTTTTTGTAAGTTACTTAAAGCTAAAATTAGAGGGGGGTGGAGCCAAGACAGCCGAATAGGAACAGCTCCAGTCTACAGCTCCCAGTGTGAGTGACACAGAAGATGAATGATTTCTGCATTTCCAACTGAGCAAATGGCACACCAGGAGATTGTATCCCACGCCTGGCTCGGAGGGTCCTACGCCCACAGAGCCTCGCTCATTGCTAGCACAGCAGTCTGAGATCAAACTGCAAGGCGGCAGCGAGGCTGGGGGAGGGGCGCCCGCCATTGCTGAGGCTTGAGTAGGTAAACAAAGCAGCCGGGAAGCTCGAACTGGGTGGAGTCCACTGCAGCTCAAGGAGGCCTGCCTGCCTGTGTACACTCCACCTCTGGGGGCAGGGCAAACAAAAGGCAGAAGAAACCTCTGCGGACTTAAATGTCCCTGTCTAACAGCTTTGAAGAGAGTAGTGGTTCTCCCAGCACGCAGCTGGAGATCTGAGAACAGACAGACTGCCTCCTCAAGTGGGTCCCTGACCCCCGAGTAGCCTAACTGGGAGGCATCCCCATAGTAGGGGCAGACTGACACCTCACACGGCCGGGTACTCCTCTGAGACAAAACTTCCAGAGGAAAGATCAGGCAGCAACATTTGCTGTTCACCAATATCCACTGTTCTGCAGCCTCTGGTGCTGATACCCAGGCAAACAGGGTCCAGAGTGGACCTCCAGCAAACTCCAACAGACCTGCAGCTGAGGGTCCTGACTCTTAGAAGGAAAACTAACAAACAGAAAGGACATCCACATCAAAACCCCATCTGTACGTCACATCATCAAAGACCAAAGGTAGATAAAAACACAAAGATGGGAAAAAAACAGAACAACAAAACTGAAAATTCTAAAATTCAGAGTGCCTCTCCTCCTCCAAAGGAATGCAGCTCCTCACCAGCAACGGAACAAAGCTGGATGGAGAATGACTTTGACGAGTTGAGAGAAGAAGGCTTCAGACAATCAAACTACTCTGAGCTAAAGGAGGAAGTTCAAACCCAGGGCAAAGAAGTTAAAAACCTTGAAAAAAGATTAGACGAATAGCTAACTAGAATAACCAATGCACAGAAGTCCAGCTGAAAACTATGGCACGAGAACTACGTGATGAATGCACAAGCCTCAGTAGCTGATTTGATCAACTGGAAGAAAGGGAATCAGTGATGGAAGATCAAATGAATGAAATCAAGCGAGAAGAGAATTTCAGAGAAAAAAGAATAAAAAGAAATGAACAAAGCCTCCAAGAAATATGGGACTATGTGAAAAGACCAAATCTACATCTGACTGGTGTACCTGAAAGTGATGGGGAGAATGGAACCAAGCTGGAAAACACTCTGCAGGATATTATCCAGCAGAACTTCCCCAATCTAGCAAGGCAGGCCAACATTCAGATTCAGGAAATACAGAGAATGCCACAAAGATACTCCTCGAGAAGAGCAACTCCAAGACACATAATGGTCAGATTCACCAAAGTTGAAATGAAGGAAAAAATGTTAAGGGCAGCCAGAGAGAAAGGTCGGGTTACCCACAAAGGGAAACCCATCAGACAAACAGCTGATCTCTCGGCAGAAACTCTACAAGCCAGAAGGGAGTGGGGGCCAATATTCAACATTTTTAAAGAAAAGAATTTTCAACCCAGAATTTCATATCCAGCCAAACTAAGCTTCATAAGTGAAGGAGAAATAAAATACAGATAAGCAAATGCTAAGAGATTTTGTCACCACCAGGCCTACCCTAAAAGAGCTCCTGAAGGAAGCACTAAACATGTAAAGGAACAACCGGTACCAGCCACCGCAAAAACATGCCAAATTGTAAAGACCATCACGGCTAGGAAGAAACCGCATCAAGTAACGAGCAAAATAACCAGCTAACATCATAATGACAGGATCAAATTCACACATAACAATATTAACCTTAAATGTAAATGGGCTAAATGCTCCAATTAAAAGACACAGACTGGCAAATTGGATAAAGAGTCAAGACCCATCAGTGTGCTGTATTCAGGAAACCCATCTCATGTGCAGAGACACACATAGGCTCAAAATAAAGGGATGGAGGAAGATCTACCAAGCAAATGGAAAACAAAAAAAGGCAGGGGTTGCAATCCTAGTCTCTGATAAAACAGACTTTAGACCAACAAAGATCAAAGGAGACAAAGAAGGCCATTACATAATGGTAAAGGGATCAATTCAGCAAGAAGAGCTAACTATCCTAAATACATGTGCACCCAATACAGGAGCACCCAGATTCATAAAGCAAGTCCTTAGAGACCAACAAAGAGACTTAGACTCCCACACAATAATAATGGGAGACTTTAACACCCCACTGTCAACATTAGACAGATCGATGAGACAGAAGGTTAACAAGGATATCCAGGAACTGAACTCAGCTCTGCACGAAGCGGACCTAATAGACATCTACAAAACTCTCCACCCCAAATCAACAGAATATACATTCTTTTCAGCACCACACCACACCTATTCCAAAATTGACCACATAGTTGGAAGTAAAGCTCTCCTCAGCAAATGTAAAAGAACAGAAATTATAACAAACTGTCTCTCAGACCACGGTGCAATCAAACTAGAACTCAGGATTAAGAAACTCACTCAAAACCACTCAACTACATGGAAACTGAACAACCTGCTCCTGAATGACTACTGGGTACATAATGAAATGAAGGCAGAAATAAAGATGTTCCTTGAAACCAATGAGAACAAAGACACAACATACCAGAATCTCTGGGACACATTTAAAGCAGTGTGTAGAGGGAAATATATAGCACTAAATGCCCACAAGAGAAAGCAGGAAAGATCTAAAATTGACACACTAACATCACAATTAAAAGAACTAGAGAAACAAGAGCGAACACATTCAAAAGCTAGCAGAAGGCAAGAAATAGCTAAGATCAGAGCAGAACTGAAGGAAATAGAGACACAAAAAACCCTTCAAAAAATCAATGAATCCAGGAGCTGGTTTTTTGAAAAGATCAACAAAATTGATAGACTGCTAGCAAGACTAATAAAAAAGAAAAGAGAGAAGAATCAAATAGACGCAATAAAAAATGATAAAGGGGATATCACACCGATCCCACAGAAATACAAACTACCATCAGAGAATACTATAAACACCTCTATGCAAATAAACTAGAAAATCTAGAAGAAATGGATAAATTCCTCCACACATACACCCTCCCAAGACTAAACCAGGAAGAAGTTAAATCTCTGAATAGACCAATAACAGGCTCTGAAATTGAGGCAATAATTAATAGGTTACCAACCAAAAAAAGTCCAGGACCAGATGGATTCACAGCCAAATTCTACCAGAGGTACAAGGAGGAGCTGGTACCATTTCTTCTGAAACTATTCCAATCAATAGGAAAAGAGGGAATCCTCCCTAACTCATTTTATGAGACCAGCATCATCCTGATACCAAAGCCTGGCAGAGACACAACAAAAAAACAGAATTTTAGACCAATATCCCTGATGAACATTGATGCAAAAATCCTCAATAAAATACTGGCAAACCGAATCCAGCAGTACATCAAAAAGCTTATCCACCATGACCAAGTGGGCTTCATCCCTGGGATGCAAGGCTGGTTCAACATATGCAAATCAATAAACGTAATCCAGCATATAAACAGAACCAATGACAAAAACCACATGATTATCTCAATAGATGCAGAAAAGGCCTTTGACAAAATTCAACAGCCCTTCATGCTAAAAACTCTCAATAAATTAGGTATTGATGGGACGTATCTCAAAATAATAAGAGCTATCTATGACAAACCCACAGCCAATATCATACTGAATGGGCAAAAACTGGAAGCATTCCCTTTGAAAACTGGCACAAGACAGGGATGCCCTCTCTCACCACTCATATTCAAAATAGTGTTGGAAGTTCTGGCCAGGGTAATCAGACAGGAGAAGGAAATAAAGGGTATTCAGTTAGGAAAAGAAGAAGTCAAATTGTCCCTGTTTGCAGATGACATGATTGTGTATCTAGAAAACCCCATTGTCTGAGCCCAAAATCTCCTTAAGCTGATAAGCAACTTCAGCAAAATCTCAGGATACAAAATCAACGTGCAAAAATTACAAGTATTCTTATACACCAATAACAGACAGAGAGCCAAATCATGAGTGAACTCCCATTCACAATTGCTACAAAGAGAATTAAATACCTAGCAATCCAACTTACAAGGGATGTGAAGGACCTTTTCAAGGAGCACTACAAACCACTGCTCAGTGAAATAAAAGAGGACACTAACAAATGGAAGAACATTCCATACTCATGGATAGGAAGAATCAATATCGTGAAAATGGCCATACTGCCCAAGGTAATTCATAGATTCAAGGCCATCCCCATCAAGCTACCAATAACTTTCTTCACAGAATTGGAAAAAACTACTTTTAAGTTCATATGGAACCAAACTTTCTTCACAGAATTGGAAAAAACTACTTTTAAAGTTCATATGGAACCAAAAAAGAGCCCACATTGCCAAGTCAATCCTAAGCCAAAAGAACAAAGCTGGAGGCATCACACTACCTGACTTCAAACTATACTACAAGGCTACAGTAACCAAAACAGCATGGTACTGGTACCAAAACAGAGATATAGACCAGTGGAACAGAACAGAGCCCTCAGAAATAATGCTGCTTAGCTACAACTATCTGATCTTTGACAAACCTGACAAAAACAAGAAATGGGGAAAGGATTCCCTATTTAATAAATGGTGCTGGGAAAACTGGCTACCCATATGGAGAAAACTGAAACTGGATGCCTTCCTTACACCTTATACGAAAATTAATTCAAGATGGATTAAAGACCTAAAACCATAAAAACCCTAGAAGAAAACCTAGGCAATACCATTCAGGACATAGGCATGGGCAAGGACTTCATGTCTAAAACACCAAAAGCAATGGCAATAAAAGACAAAATTGACAAATGGGATCTAACTAAACTAAAGAGCTTCTGCACAGCAAAAGAAACTACCATCAGAGTGAACAGGCAACCTGCAGAATGGGAGAAAATTTTTGCAATCTACTCATCTGACAAAGGGCTAATATCCAGAATCTACAATGAACTCAAACAAATTTACAAGAAAAAAAGAAACAACCCCATCAAAAAGTGGGCAAAGTATATGAACAGACACTTCTCAAAAGAAGACATTTATGCAGCCAACAGACACATGAAAAAATGCTCATCATCACTGGCCATCAGAGAAATGCAAATCAAAACCACAATGAGATACCATCTCATACCAGTTAGAATGGCAATCATTAAAAAGTCAGGAAACAACAGGTGCTGGAGAGGATGTGGAGAAATAGGAACACTTTTACACTGTTGGTGGGACTGTAAACTAGTTCAACCATTGTGGAAGTTAGTGTGGCGATTCCTCAGGGATCTAGAACTAGAAATACCATTTGACCCAGCCATCCCATTCCTGGGTATATACCCAGAGGATTATAAATCATGCTGCTATAAAGACACATGTACACGTATGTTTATTGTGGCACTATTCACAATAGGAAAGACTTGGAACCAAGCCAAATGTCCAACAATGATAGACCAGATTAAGAAAATGTGGCATATATACACCATGGAATACTATGCAGCCATAAAAAATGATGAGTTCATGTTCTTTTTAGGGACATGGATGAAGCTGGAAACCATCATTCTCAGCAAACTATCCCAAGGACAGAAAACCAAACACCGCACGTTCTCACTCATAGGTGGGAATTGAACAATGAAAACACATGGACACAGGAAAGGGAACATCACACATCGGGGCCTGTTGTGGGGAGGGGGAAGGAGGGAGGGATAGCATTAGGAGATATACCTAATGTTAAATGACGAGATAATGGGTGCAGCACACCAACATGGCACATATATACATATGTAACAAACCTGCATGTTGTGCACATGTACCCTAAAACTTAAAGCATATTTAAAAAAAGTTACAATTAGAGAAGAAAGTAGGAAAAACTTATTCTATCTACTCTATCCATTTTCCTTTGCTTTGAATTAACTTTGTAGACTTGTTTTAAGTATTAGATTCTCAATTGCACATTTAATAGTCCTTTAGTGGTACAATTCTAATTATATAAAATAAGAGAGAGAGAGAGAAGAATATTGATTTCTTCTTATAGAAGATTCAGAGCTGACTTAAATACATGAATCTCAGGAAGAGCTGAAAATTGCTTTCAACAGGGAAGTGATGGGTTTAGAAAAAGTTTGGTTAATTGGTGATTTTATCTTATTATCTGTTATTGGTTTTCAAAGTAACAAAATCCGTCTTGCAACAAATGTGTCTGGCTTGTCCTGAACATTACATGAAAAAGATGAGCTCACAAAATCAATGAAGCATATTACTTCTAAGTCAGTACTTAAAAGAGAAAAAAAACCCAATATATTCAGACTGAGTGTTAAGACATATTCAGATGAAACAATCTACCAGACAGAAGAGCCTTAGAGCAAAAAGAAAAAAGTTGACAGAATCTCCATTAATAAAAAAAACAACTTTTGCTCCAGTTCCAAAGAAACATGCTCACTGTGAAAACGTGGAAAATATAAAGAAGTATAAAGAAGAAAATTTGTGGGAGGCTGAGGCGGGAGAATCGCTCGAACCCAGGAGGCGGAGGTTGAGGTGAGCTGAGATTGCGCCATTGCACTCCAGCCTGGGCAACAAGAGCGAAACTCCGTCTCAAAAAAAAAAAAAAAAAAAGAAAAAGAAGAAGAAAATTTAAAATAATAATCTCATACCCAGAGGTAATCTCTGCTAATGTTTTTGTTGTTACATTTCATATTTTTCTATAAACACACACAATATTCACAAAATTAGGATCAGAGAACACATTTTTTTCTAACTTAAAAAAACTCTATAGTGCACTTTTCCCCCGACTCTGAAGCTATTCTTTGAATATTAGATTTTCGATGGCTCTTATATTTACAACTTTTTACCATTATAATAACACCGTGATAAACAATCTTGTAAATATAACTTTATCTGTGCTTATTATGTTAAATAACATTGAAAGAGAAAAATTCCCTACCCACATTGGGAAATTTCCAGGGAGCAGCATTTTCTCATCTGTTCTTTTTATGGCAAATTAATTAACTGTTTTATCAGTATCTGTCACTGATCACTCATCTATTTCTGATTACATTGGGTAAAAAGGAATACTTGAGTCAAAATTCACACAGTAAGTTATAATAGTGTGTTGTCTCATATAGGGGAAGATGGCATTACTGACTCAAAGTTTACAAGAGGGGAACTCTGGAGTGTTTTTGGTGACAATCTGATGCCCTCTTACCCAGCAGCATAGTCCTGAGGTATGGCTAACCTTCTAGATATGGAATGGTTTCAAAACTCAGCATAAGCAGGCAATCTGAGCTCCAAAGTCTGACCTGGGTGAGCTAACCTACACTAATTATTCTGAAAGGATTCTGTGTCTCTGTTTTATAACAATCAACAATCATCATCATAAATAAATTATAATATTATTTAACATATAATAATATAACATCTCAGTACTTACAATGTGCCAGGAATTGCATTAAAGCTCTCTTCCGAGATCTCACTCAATCCTCACAACCACTCTATGTAGACAGCACAGCACCCCACGCTGTTATTATTCCCATTAGCAGATGGGGACACAATTAAAGAACTTGCTGAACATCACACTGAGATAAATAATGGAACCAGTGCCACATCAGCCCAACACCAAAGTCCAGCATCTTGAAATCACCAGCCTACACTGACTCGAAGGTTTTCTTCCTTTTAGTCTCAATGTACAAATCAGAGGGTGAATGAGGCAGGACTTGGGCTGAATGCCTGAGTTGGAAGGAACTACAGGGATAGCTGGGATGAATTTTCCACACTTTACACATCAGAAAACCATGCCTCTGAACTTCTTGTCCAAGCCTCTTGCCCAAGGTCACAGAGCTGATTAGTGGCAAAGGTGGACCAGAACTCAGGGACCTTGACTCCCAGTCCAGGGCACTGCCTCCATACTCTACTGCCTCCCTTACTGGTGTGGTTAGGATCTCAGGTGCTGTAAGCTCCTGGGGGCAGCTCCCCCAGAGTAGAAGTAGAGTGGGATCTTGGGACTCACATGTATGTGTGATCGCAGCCCAGCTCAGTTGTTGACTTGCTTCATGACCTTGGGTATGTTCTAAACAACTATGGGTATGTCACAGTGATGATGGGGAAATTAAAACAAGAAAAAGCATGTAATGTTTACTACACATTCAGCCCTCAATAGTCAGCCATCTTATTATCATCATTAATTCAACATTTGCAAGAGGAAGAGGGAATTCTGGGGCCTTTCATCTTAGAAGCTCGACGAGGAGACTCAGTCATATTTCCAACCATTTCAGGCTATGGAAACTTTTGCTTTGTTTTTATAACCTGCAACTTGCACCCTTTGGTGTGGTGCCCACCATAATAAAAAGAAAATATTTTTTAAGATCCCAAGTGATACCTCACTTACTCATATAAAATGTCTGTATCATCCTGCCACACACTGTACTAATGAATCCCCCAATTTAAAAAAGACCTCGCCCCCCAAAAAACACCAAAAAAAGGCTGTTCTTAACTCGTCAGCTCTTCTCTCTATGAAAAGAATATGTGTGACATAATAAAAAATATATATATTTGGTCTCTGCTCCCAGTTCCTGACATAGGGCTCCTAAAACTCTAGGAGCATGTTTTTTTCTAATATATGGTCCTAAATCTCTTGGAGTTTCCTAGTGATAGGAGTGTCTTTTGTTCTAATGAGGTAACTTTTGGTGGGTTCCTGGATAGCTTCAAGACGAGGGCTGGGCACCAGAAAAACCAAGGCATGATTACAAGCTTGGAAGTTTAAGCCCCACCCACCATCCTCTAGGGAGGGGAAAGGAACTGAAGACTGACTAAATTAATCATGCTGAGGTGATGAAGCCTCAATAAAAATTCCTCAACTATGGCGTACACAGAGCTTCTGGGTGAATGAACACAAGGAGGTGCTGGGAAGGTGGTCACCCAGAGAGGGTATGGAACCTCCACACTTCCTTCCCCACACGTTGCTCTATGCACCTCTTCATCTGGCTGTTCATTTGCATCCTTTATCATAAACTGGTAAAGTAAGTAAAGTGTTTCCCTGAGTTCTGTGAGCCCATTAGTGCAAATGATCGAACCTCAGAAGACAGTCATGAAGACCCCCAGTTTGTAGCCAATTTGGTCAGAAATACCAAAGGCCCAGGACTTGTGATTGGTGTCTGAAGTGGGAGCAATCCTGTGGCACTGAGCCCCTACTTAACCCGTGGTGTCTGATGCTAGCTCCAGGTGGAAAATGTCAGAATTGTGTTATAAGACGCCCAGTTGGTGTCAGGAGAGACGGAGAATACATTCTTGGTATGGAAAACCCCACACATTTGGTGTCAGAAGTGTTGTGAGTGTAGAGGAAAACAGTTTTTTTTTCTGTTAATATTCACATCCCTTCCACTGTGGCATTATTATCACACCCCATCAAGATGTCAGAACATTCTCAGAGTTAAATTCTTTCATGCTAAAACATTGCTAAGCTATTTATGTCCATTCTTTTTTTAAACTGAGATATAATTCACATACCGTAACATTTATTTTCTAGGCTGGGCACAGTAGCTCACATCTATAATTCCAGCACTTTGAGAGGCTGAGGTGGGAGGGGCACCTGAGCCCAGGAGTTTGAGACTGCAGTGAGCTATGATTGCGCCACTGCACTCCAGCCTGGGCAACAGAGTGAGACCCTGTCTCTCTCTCTCTCTCTTTTTTTTTTAACTTTCTAAAGTGTACAGTTTAAAATATACAATTTGTGCTCACTTCAGCAGCATATATACTAAAATTGGAATGATACAAAGAAGATTAGCATGGCCCCTGCGCAAGGATGACATATACATTTGTGAAGCATTCTGTATTTTTTAAAAAACAAGAACAAAAAAAAAAGTGTACAATTCATGGTTTTTAGTATATTCACAGAGTTGTGTAACTATCACCATAATCAATTTCAGAACATGTACATCACCTCCTAAAACATGTAACCCTGTATATGTTGGCCATCACTCCACTCCCCCAGTCCCTCTCACCCAGGCCCTGACAACCACTAGTCTACCTTCTGTCCCTAAGGATTTGCCCATGCTGGACATTTCATATAATGGGATCATAGAATATGTGACCTTTTGTGTCTGGCTTCTTTCACTTAGCATAATGATTTCAAGGTTTATCAATGTTGTAATATGTATAAATATTTCATTTCTTTTTAATAACTGAATAATATTCCATTGTATGTATATACCACATTTTGTTTATTCATCAGTTGATGGACATTTGGTTTGTTTACATTTTTTGGCTGTTATGACTAATGTTGTTACGAGCATTTGGATAAAATTTTTGTGTGAATGTATGTTTTCACTTCTCTTGGGTATATAACTAGCAGTGGATTGTTGGATCATATGGTAACTCCTATGTTTAGCATCTGGAGGACATTCCAATTGTTTCCTACAGGGGTTGTACCAATTTAAGTTCCCAACAGCAATGCTTAGGGCTTCAATTTCCCCACATCCTTGTCAACACTAGTTTTCTTTCTTACTTTTTTTTCCCCCAATTATCTATCCTAGTGGGTGAAGTGGTACCTTATAGTTTTAAATAAATATATATATATATATGTATATATATATATTTAAAATAGAGACAGGGGTCTTGCCACGTTGACTAGGCTGGGCTTGAACTCCTGGCCTCAAGCAATCTTTCCACCTTGGCCTCCTAAAGTGTTGAGATTACAGGCGTGAGTCACCATGCCCGTCCTGTACTTTATGGTTTTGATGTTAATATTCCTAACGACTAATGATGTTGTGCATCTTTTCACATGCTTATTGGCCATTTGCACATTTTCTTTAGAGAAACATCGATTCAAGTCCTTTGCCCATTTTTGAATTGTGTTGTTGGGTTCTCTGTTGTTGAATTTTAGTTCTCTATATATTCTGGCTATTAATCTCTTATTATATATGTGATTTGCAAATATTTTCTCCCATTCTGTAGGTTGCCTTTTCACTCTGTTGATAGTGTCCTTTGATGCAGGAAAGTTTTTAATTCCAATTTATCTATTTTTTTGTTTGTTACCTGTACCTTTGGTATATATCCAAGAAATCATTGCCAGACCCAATGTCGTGAAGCTTTTCCTCTATATTTTCTATGAGTTTTATAGTTCTAGGTCTTCTGTGCAGGTCTTTGATTCATTTTGAGTTAACTTTTATACAGGGTGGAAGGTAAGGGTCCAACTTCATTGTTTGGCATATGGATATCCAGTTTCCCCAGCACCATTTACTGGAAGGCTTGTTCCTTCCCCATTGAATGGTTTTGGCATCTTTGTTGAAAATTATTTGACCATATATGTTAGGGTTTATTTTTGGGCTCTGTGTTCTATTCCATTGGTCTTTATGTCTGTCTTTATGCCTGTATCACAACATTTTGGTTACTATAGCTCTGTAGTAAGTTTTGAAATAAGAAATCTTTAAAAAAATTATTTTGGCTATTCTGGGTTCCCTATTCATTTCTGCAAAAAAGACAGGTTGAATTCTATAGAGATTGTACTTAATCTACAGATTGCTTTGCAAAGATATTGCCATTTGAACAATGCTAAATCTTCCATTTCATGAATACAGGATGTCTTTCCATTCGTTTAGGTCTTTAACAATTTCTTTCAACAGTATCTTGCAGTTTTCAATATATAAGTCTTGCACTTTTTTTGTTAAATTTATTCCTAAGTATTTGCTTCGTTTTCATACTACTATAAATGGATTTTTTTCTTGATTTCATTTTTGGATTGTTAATGGCTGGTTTGTAGAAATACAACAGATCTTGTACACTGCAACCTTGCTGAACTCATTTATTAATTCTAATAGTGTTTTAGTGGATTCCTTAGGATTGTCTATCTTTGAGTAGATCATCTGATAATAGAAATAGTCTTACTTCTTCTTTTCCTATCTGGATGCCTTTTATTTATTTTTGTTGCCTAACTGCCCTGGCTAGAACTGACAGTACATCTTTTTTGGTTCTTGATCTTAGGCGGAAAGTTTTTAGTCTTTCATCAGCATGTGTGATGTCAGCTGTGGGTTTTGCATAGATACACTTTATCAGGTTGGGGAAGTTCCTTTCTATTCCTATTTTGTTGAGTGTTTTTTTTCATAAAAAGATGTTGGATTTTGTGAAATCCTTTTTCTATGTCTGTTGAGATGCCCATGTGGTTTTCGTCTATTGTTCTATTCATATGATATATTGCATTGATTGATTTTCATGTTTAACTCTACATTCATTTTTATATGAATATATTACATGTTTAAGTATGGTCTAACTGAGAAGAGCTTTGTACGAGACCAACAGACATTTACTGTCGTTTTGCAATTCTGGCTCTAACTTGGACCTGTATTTTGGACAAGAACAGATGGTAAACTGCAATGTGACTGTAACCATGACTTCATATCATAAACAATCTGATATTTTTAAAAATTATGTTTGTTTTAAAGAAAGAAAATCTATATATATTTTGAAAGTAATGTTGAACATGCACCTTTTATTGTTGTTTGTTATTATCACATTTTCAACCTTTGATGATACGAGTATCAATTAAAATAGCTCTATGACTTAAAAACAGTACATGATATTTCTGATTTTGAACATACTATTGCAGAAATAACCTGTACCAGACTTTGGGTAGGCAAAGTCACTTAAGTTAATGAGAAAAACACATATGGACTTGGAATTTTTTCCCCTATAAAAGGAAGCAGTAATAATGATACTGATAAAATCACTTGCTAACATTTACAGAATGTGCTGCTTAGCTATCTAAGCATATTACTTGAAAAATTTTATTTAGGTATCTTATTCAGTTCTATCAGCAACTCCGTGGCTGACGTACAATTAGCATTCCATTTTATAGATGAGGAAACTCAGAGATGTTAAGTAACTTGTCCAAATATTCACAGGTAGTTAACTAATGAGGACAGAATTCTGAATCACATGCAGGTGACTCCAAAGCCCAGGCTTTTAACCATTTGTTGTAGTTTGGGTACCAGAGTTTAATTTATGAGGGAACTCATAATTGTTCATTTTCCCTTTTCAACTGAAATGGGACCAAAACCTAGAAGGTCATAGATTTGCAGCGTTCCACTTGTTGACCAAATGCTATTACACATTTAGTACTCATTGTATACTTACTATGTGGATTCCACCTATGCGATGTATCTAATCTAGCAATAAACAAGGTCGTATAGGAACTGTTTTATATTTAACTATGCAGTTAATAATTTTTTAAGCTACGTTTGACGATTTAAGTAGAAAATCTTTATTGACAAAGTCAAACCCACTTCTGCTGTCCAGGAGCTCTTTAGTTTAATTAAGTCCTATTTGTCTGTTTTTGTTTCTGTTGCATTTGGTTTGAGGACTTAGTCATAAATTTTTTGCCTAGGCCAACATCCAGAGAGTTTTTCCTAGGTTTTCTTCTAGGACTTTTATAGTTTGAGGTCTTACATTTAAGTCTTTAATCCATCTTGAGTTAATTTCTGTATATGGTGAGAGGTAGGGGGTCCAGTTCCATTCTTCTTTATATGGCTAGCCAGTCAAACCCACTTCTAATAGGAAAAAAATGACTATGCCAAAGTGTCTAGTGATTCATTTTGGGATATTATCACTGGGTGCATTAAAATCACCATAGAGTTGTTTTGTGGAGGGGGCTTGGGAAACTACAACTTTAAGCCCAACCCCAAGGACCTTCTTTGAGTCTTGGCTCAGGACACTACCTTACTGTGGCTTTCTTCTTAACTCTCCAGCCATGGTGCTCATTTCTGGCCCCCTTGCAGCCTTTCAGCCTGAACTTACAGTTCTCAGTCCTTTGCACACCCCTCTCTCATCCTAAGAAAGCTCACCTCAAGCTGTAACCATCGCAGTTAAGCAGATGGCTTATAAATGTGTGACTCTGGTTTTGACCTCTCACCCCGATAAAATCCTAATGCTTCTGTTGGCAGTCTATTTGAATGTCCCAGCATCTCAAAGTCAAGATATCCAAACTGGATCTAACTTTTCACGTTCTTTTTATAGCACAACCTTCATTTCCCCAGGACCAAAATCTTGGAGGTATTTGTTATTCTTTCATGTCTTGGGCTAAGTTTGCGTCCATTTGCCCACCAGTTGTCTTGAGAATTGTTCCCTTCATGTATATTCTCATTGCTTTCCCTTGACTTCCACCCAAGTGAATATTTGCAACAAGCTCCTGATTGTCCTATGCTGTGAAAGACCAAGGGGAGTCCTTATGGAACCCACTACAGGCCAAAGTCTAGAGGATTAGATGGGCTATTTGGCCTTGTGAGAGATGATTTCCATGATGGCAGTGGGAGGTGGGAGGATGGAGGCCAGCCCAATGAGACATGTAAAGAAAATGCACATGAGTTATACAGGTCTGGGGGAGACCTCAAATTTCCTTCCTGAGGTCAGTTTCTTTCTGATTTGGTATAAAACAGGACATGGAAGAACAGCTGCTGGCCTCTCTCTGGAGAGACTGAGCAGTACAGACGAAGGAGGTGTTGGCCCCCACAGCTGACCATGGACAGCTCAGACTGCCAGAACCTGGTATCTGTGAACCCCCATGCCCACTAGACTGCTGCCAGCTCTCACTGTGCAAATCAGGGCTGCAGGCCTGAGAGTCCTGGGCACCTTCACTCACTGCAGATGCTTCCTCCAACCAGAGGCCTCCCCAGGGCTTCATATCATATAAAGGAGAGTGCTCAGAGGCATGGGCTCTGAAGTGGGATGTACTCAAGTTCAAATCCTTGCTTAGATACTCCCTAGATGCTTAACCCTCTAATTAATCACTCAGAACAGCAGGCCATCTGGTCAACCTCCTGTGAACTCCCAGCTAGAAGGACTGCAAAACACCATGGAAGATAGGAGATGATACAGCAGAATATCAATTTCCCTAAACTCTTCACAGATAAGATAGCAGAAATGAATTTCCCTAAACTCCTCAAAGGTAAAGTATCCTATGTGGCTGGAACAAATACTTTGGTGTGCCTCTGAGTGGAAGTGGATTGGGATCACTACATCTTCTTCAAACAGCCTGCTAAAATAATTGAACCTACTAAGCCTAACCACAGGGCCTTGGGCTTATAGACTGAGGCAGGAAAGTTTGGGGTTCAGAACAACAAAGGGTCTGAAGTCACCAGCTATCTTCTCTCTCCTTAGTCTCCTTCTTAAATAATTGAAATTTGTAGGGGCATCAACTTAGCCTCTAAGTCACAGTTTTCCCATCTTTGAAATGAGGATTATAATTCTACCTTGCCAGGTTGTTTTGAGAAGTACAGAAGACATGCATACAACACTCAGCACAGCGGCGGGGCCGTAGTGGAAGGCCCGCATGTTTCCATATGACCTCCACGGAGGTTGTCATATACATCGGGAGTGTGTTAACATCTACTTGTTTATAAGCACATGAAAGTTAGCAACATGGGTAAATAGGTCATTTATACACATAAGACACATGGCTCATTCACTCCATTGGAGTCCTAATTACTTACTGGCCAGTTATTTCTTTCAGGGCAATTTCCTTTCTGTCTACAGTTACAGATATAAATATAAAAAATACAAGAAGATACTACTTTGAGACAGATGGTGAATCATATCTAATTACTCTGTAATCCCTTCACCTGAAGGGACCCGACTGCCCAGCCCCTGCTGTCTCTGAAGGAAGAATCATCAACCAGAACTTCCTTCTGGTCAATCTGAGTGGGTTTTATCATTGTTGAATATGGACTCTGGGCGCCAAAGAGAATCAAACACTTTCTCTATGGAAGGGAATTGGGAGATTTTAAAGTTGACCTTGAAACTGAATGAGACCAAGAGACTCAAAGACAGAAGGCAGAGGAGAAAAGATTAAGGTTGTATAGCCAGAACTAGAACCCAGGTTTTTATCTGGGAATTTTATTTTAAAAAATGCAGTTTCTGACCCAAAGTCTCAGGTGAGGCTTGAGATTCTGATGGTTCTGGGACCACACTTTTAGTTGCAAGAGGGTTGATGTTGGTAAAACACTTAGAACAGTTTATGACATGTAGTGCCTGATTCAATAAAAGGCAGTTATTATTGCTGTTGTTTTTATTACTTGCAGCAACTGAGCTGCACGTAGCTCTCAGAAATTGAGAAATGGCATTTGGGTTAGAAGTCAGTTTTCTGTGAACTTGATTGGCTCAGATCAGTCAAGGCTCAAAGACTGATTCAAGTAGCCTCTGTGAACTGACCACACCAAGCTTTTGAAGCCACCTTCTGGGCTGCTCTGGCTATGCCGACTGTGCCAAGAGCACTCAAATGCACTGACTGAGGAGTTTAGCAGCATGGAACCCCTTGGCACACGGGGGTAGATTTCTTACAATGGTGCTGTGTCATAGTAAAAATGCCTCCATTCTTAACTGACTCTAATTTTCATTACATTTCATTTTTCTCCCAGTGATGCTAAATCTTCAAGACTAGTCCCTTTACTGTAACCAGTGTCAAGGTAGAGTGGAATGAACAGGGCCAAGGGGATTAAAGATCCGGGGTGCTGTGTGAGAGGTGAGAAAGTTCTGGAATAGCCATGGCAGCCAACTCTTCTCAGACAACTAGTTTAATCTCTCCAAGTCCAGACATTCAAGGCAGAAGCAAGGAAGAGAATAAGCACTGGAGGTCCTACAAGTGGAATCCATTGGCAAGGCTGATCTGTGACCCACTTTTGATAAATGAGGTATGACGTCTACGCTTTGCTGAACATATCTGTTTCTGTGTTTCTGTGTGTCTGTATAGCCTTTCCTTCCTTTTCCCTTTCCTTCCACTTCCTATAGTCCCTTTTTCTACCCTCTCTTTCTTCCATCCTTTCTCTCTTTTTCTTGGAAAGGAAAATTTTGCATTAAAAAATTCCAACTTTCTCATGGTTGAGCTAGAGAAGGAGAAAAAGGATTTATTTGCCCGTGCATGATCCAACTGAACTAGGGAGGAAGACCAGAGAGACCTTCTAGGGCAGGTGAGAACTGATTGTGGCCGATACACCTTGGAAGAGTGATAAGGGCCAGGTGTGAATGGAAGAAATGAACCTTGAAAGCAAGAGCTGGCAGTAGCTGCTGTCCTGGATGCCTATCTTCCCAAGATTTGCCCTGACCTAGGGCCCAATGCACCTGCAAACCAGGACATCCATTCCAGCTCCATTTCTCAAGGCCCCCTGTATGTTCCCTGCTCCTGCCAAACATGAACCCTCCAGCCCCCATCCTGAGACATATCCTGCATCTAAGCCTTTGTTCTTGCCATTTCTGAGTGCCTTCTTCGCTCCATCTCCACTTTTTTTGGACAGTGTTCTAATCACTTTATATTCATTAATTTACTTTTTAACCCATTATAATGACCTGAGGCAAGTGTCTGCATTGTCCTATTTTACAGGTAAGATGATGAAACTTAGAAGAGAAGAGTTAAGTAACTTGCCCCAGATCATGCAGTTTCTATATGGTTGATCTGGGACTTAGGTCTATCTGTCATCAAACTCCACATTCTTAATCACCAATTTTTGCCTTTTGTGTATCATGCTGCAATGTAAACACTGGTTCATGTCTGTCTCTTTGTTAATCTAAATCATACTCCTAGAATTAAGAACAGTGCTTTATTTCATTGTTTTCATCCCTAGCTAGAACAGGGGTGGCAGGCATTCTGCAAATGTTTCCTATATTGTGCTACATTCTATTATATTTCCTACAGGTAGACTAGAGGCAGGGTAAGAGCTCCATGATAGTTCAGATCACACTTCTGTGAGCTATGGATTTGTGACCATCTAGGGCTTGGTTCTTAGCTGCTCTGTGCTTTGGTTTCCCATCTCTATGCCCATCTCCATCTTTAACAGATTGTGAATATCAGGGAACTAGGGTATTGTTTCATTCTTCTTCAATCCAGCCCCCTCCGCTGTCACAATATAGTGCCTAGCATAGCATCTAGTCCACGGCAGGCACTCAATTGACTATTTACTGGATGAATGAACATTCATAATTCTCTAATCTGCCTCCCCTTCTTTCTTTCTTCCTTTCTCTCCTCTCTCTTTCTCTCTTTCTCTCTCTCTCTCTTTCTCTCTCTTTCTTTCTTTCAAGGCAAGGTCTCCCTCTGTTGCCTAGGCTGGAGTGCAGTGGCGCCATCTTGGCTCACTGCAACCTCCATCTCCTGGGTTCAAGTGATTCTCCTGCCTCAGCCTCCCGAGTAGCTGGGATTACAGGTGCCTACCACCATACCTGGCTGATTTTTGTAGTTTTAGTAGAGACAGAGTTTCCCCATGTTGGCCAGGCTAGTCTCGCACTCCTGACCTCAGGTGATCTGCGTGCCTCGGCCTCCCAAAGTGCTGGTATTACAGGCATAAGCCACCATGCCCGGCCCTGCCTCCTCAACTTGAAAAAAAAACTGGGATTAAAAGAGTGAAAATGATGCCACTTAACTGTTGGGGGAGAGAGACACAGCGTTTCTCTACATTATGCGTGTAGAAAACTAGATCGTGAGGCTGGAAAGAGTGACAAAGGATATTGAAAATAGAAATAAGGTTGGGAACTTACCAAGACCCTGTCCATGGAAAATGTGAATGCTACCTGGAACCTTTCCAGCCCAGTTCCTGAATCTTTTGTAACAAAAGGTCTAACGGGCTTTACTATACCATTAGCAGGGAAAATATAGTATGGTACACATTACAGGTTCAAAACACAATCCATTTGTGGATTTGCCACTGAGGCATTAAGACATTTGAGAAAAGAACAAAGGAAAGCACAGATAAAGCCCCATCTTGAGCTAGGCAGCCGAAAGAAGACATTAACCCACTCGAAGACCCTTGAGGCCTCCAGCCTTTCCCCTTGGATAACTCTGAAAGGCGTCCAGTGAGTTCCAATTTGGGCAGGGGTTTGTTTATTCTGCTTGGTTCAAGTCAGGGCTACGGATCCCTAATGGTTTTCATGTCCCTAAAGGTTTTTCACATTTGGTCAAGACCTATGCTTTATGTAAGCCTGGAGAAGGCCTTGCTCCCAGCTGCTCTGGCTGTGCCGACTGCACTGAGAGCACTCAAATGCACTAACTCAGGGGAGGAGTTTAGCAGCACGGACCCCTTGGCACGAGGCGGGAGATTTTTTACAATGGTGCTGTGTCATAGTAAAAATTCCTCCATTCTTAACTGACTCTAATTTTTATTGCATTTCATTTTTCTCCCGGTGATGCTAAATTTTCAAGACTAGTCCTTTTACTGTAACCAGTGTCTCATGCCAATGAAAACTAAGTGGGCCCATGCTGGCTTCTGGCCCTCTATTTTCAGTGCACCCAATTCCTAATCCAGGGAAAAGCATTCAGGTTTGTAAGTGCCACTCTCCTTCCTATAGAGGGTGCCTCCAGGCTATTGGTCCTAATGTGCCACTATTCAAAATTCAACCTGCTTAAGGGTCTGCAATGGCTCTCTAATGCTTTAGGTTCAAATTTTCACCTCATTCTCCAAACTGTAACCACAGCTACCAAATGGACCTTACCTCTCACTATGTCCACTGCATCATTTCTTCATTGTCTCACAGTTGCTGCACACATTCTCACCCTGGCACTATCTCACTTGCTTTCCCTGCTTGGAACGCTTCCTGTATCTCCCAGGAAGAACCCAACCAGAAGGTTGTTCACAGATGACCTGTCTGTATTTACAGCCCTTCTCCTTTTTGTCCCAACTCCCAGTTCAGCCTCCTAAATCCTTGAACTGAAGTGCCCCAAAGCTTGTGTGAATCTCAGAATACAACTCCAGGGTCCAAAATGGAGATGCCTGCAGGACCAAGCAGGTAAAGGAAATGAGGCTAGAGCTGAACAGGACACCACCTGGAGGTGGGGCCAGGTGTGTGGTAAAGAGCTGGTGTGTCTCATCTTGTGGGGGTTAGTATGGATCACTGTCAGCCCACGGGCCAAGGGAGAATAGTGGCCCAGGGTTGCCAGAGAAGCCAGAACATTTTAATGCAAGATTCCCAATTTTTAAAGTACTGCAACGGTCAAAGAAAAACACACGTGGCTTGGATTTGGCCCATGAAGAAGGAATTTGTGTTCCTGCAGTATAAGTAAAACACTGCTACAACTCATAGTCATCAGTGAGTATGGCATGGGGTAGGGGGAGCATTAACAGTCCACCTGGGCCTGGAGGGAACAGGTTTTTAATTCCCCTTTGTAGTCTACACCACAAGCTTCCTTCTAAGTCCAACGTCTTGAAATACAGTTCCCAGGAAGTAGAGAGAGCTGGGTTAGTAGCCATTACTCCTTTTCCCAACTCCTCGAAACAATTAAAGAGCATTTCAACTAACACCATCTCAGTCTTTATTTCAGAATAGTCATTTATTTTCAAGTTCAATATCCATGACCATTTCAAATGTAAATATTTTAATTTGGGGTACAATGAGGGCTGGAAGGGGTGGTGCCCATGGGGGCATCCCTACTTTATTTTGATGAGAATCATCCTTTTGAAATGTAAGTCTTATTGTGTCACTACTTCTGCTTAAAACCCTCTGATGGCTTCCCATTGCTTCTACAGCCCTTAACAAGAGCCTATGTTATCTGGCAGTTTGTTTTGCCTCTCTCTGTTTTGCCTCTCTCTATTTTTCATAGGCAAAAATATGAGGCTTAAATTAGGTAACACTTTAAAAACACTTGTCACAGTGCCCAGCTCACAGTGAGTGCCCAATACCTGTTAGTGCTTGTTATTCCGACTTCTCCAGACTTTATTGGCATAAGAAACCCTCCAGCTCACCACTCTCCGCCCAGACTTCAAACTTGGCATACTCCCTGCTGCCACTGGGCCTTTGCACATATGATTGCTTCTGCCCAGACACTCTTTCAGCCCCTCTTCTCTAGTTACCATTGATTTGACCACTTCTCTGCCTGTGTCCAATCAATGGCTTCTTTTGCAGAGTGAAATGTGTTTTACTTGGCCCATCAGCTAACAGGAGCTGCTTCTTTTCCCATTTGATTGACTGTGTTATGAACATGTAACCATCAGTGGGAAGACTCCCACTACCCTCATAGGTGTCTATATCAAAGAATGGAAGGATATCATTTCCACAGACATCCTCAAAATCACTGGAGGTCTCTAGGGCAAGGGGGCAGCAGGTATGTGGGAAAATGATCAATTCTGTAGTCAAATGAACCTCCATTCAAATCTAAGATTTAGTGTTATACTCCATGTATGCACACACACACACAGAGACACACACACACACTGGTATAAGTCAGTACACGGGATCCCTGAGTGGGAGATAATACTGGAGTGTTTCCTAGTAGTTAAGAACATGGCTTTGGGAATCAGAGAGGCTTAGGATCAAATACTGGCTTTGCTCCTACAAGCTGGTCAACCCTAGTTAAGGATTTTGGGTCTAGACTTGGTAGTGTATCAGCCTAGATCTTGTGAGTTGCTAGGGTCTCTGAAACTTGTTATACTCTCTCTTACCCTCCATGTTCCCAGATCATCCACAACAACATCTATTTGAAATGGATTTTAGATGAGTCTGCTTATTGATGCCAAAATGTGTCTCTGAGTATAAACAGGGGCAAAATACCCGCTACTGTCACACAGGGTGTTTCTGGTGACTGTAAAATTCAAAGGTAGATCCTTAGTGGTGTTTGAGCATACATTTGTTCAAGGAATCACTTGTGACATTAACATTATAGAAAATATTTTTTTAAGTTTGTTGTCACAATGAAATATGAAGTTAAAAAGACAAAATACCAAATATATATTTCCAGTTGACAAAACTTGTTAGACTTTCCTGATGATAGTATAATATCTGTAATTAGAATTCAATTACCAAAATCTAAACACCGTTAAAAATATCTTTTTGTTACTTTAACTGTAATAATTTATTCACTATTTCTTGGTTTGAAGACTCAATTCCAGTAGAAGTTTAAATTATGACTCAGACTATGGTGAGATATTCTCTTTTTTATCCTCTTAAGTATTTGCTACTGACCCACATGTTATTATAAACAGATTATAAGCATTTTATTATGTTCTATAAATGTTCCCAAGAGCAAGAATTTTCATAGCTCATTAAAATGAGGCTTACTCTTTAAAAACAATAAACAATTTAGAAACACTCAAAAGTAGAAGTGTCATGTATTGAAAAAAATCCTTTAATTTTATTGTAATGAGTAAGTCATCTTCATTAAAATATACAAATTTTAACTGGAACACTAAATTTTGTCCCAGTCATAGATTTTTAGACAAGGCTCCCAATACCAGGAGTAAATGCTTAGCATCTTTCTACTCTGGAGGGAATAAAATAGAGATGATATCAGCAGAGAATTAAGTAAAAACAACAGAAGTTTCATAATATGGGTCAGGGCTTGTTTTCCCTGGTTAAATACCTGTTTAGATTTCTTCAGGTACTTAAATGGTTGTAGAAACCTCAGATGTCAATGAAGATGGTATAGGGACTTCCCTCTGGGGCCCTATATCCTGTGCTTATTTCAATTATAACATTTATACTATCTTAAAATTTGCACGTTTATTTGTCCATTTCCTCCATTTGTGGGTAAATCCCTCGAAAGTAAAGACTGTATTTTGTTTGCTGTTATATCCTTGGCACATAGTAGATGTTCAACAAATATTGGTCAAATGATTGAATTAATCAGTGGCCTAATGCATGGGAACTAAGGAAAATCTCGCTAAAGGAGTTACACAGGTGTGGCCTCCAGCCACTAGATACCTCCCCTTAGGTGTCCCAGGAGTTGCTAGTGCTCTAGGCCCACAGCTAGGGAAACCTGGAGGGTACTTGTCTTTTCTTGTACATCTACAACTGAGCTAACAGCAGAGTCTTTGAATTAAGAACAGTGGAATGCTGGCATTTCAAGATGGTGGTGGCAATCCTCATTACTACCATCATCATCACCATCATCAGCCCCAGCATGACCATCATCATCATAAGATTGGTTGAACATACATTAGGTACCAGATACTATGCCAAGCTGTTTTTATTTTTAATTTTTAAAGTTTTTGTAGAGAGAGAGTCTCGCTCCATCACCTAGGCGGACAGAGTGCAGTGGCAGGATCATAGCGCACTGCAGCTTCAAATTCCTGGGCTACAGTGATTCTACAGCCTCAGCCTTCTGAATAGGTGGGACCACAGGCACACACCACCACATCTGGCTGGCTTTTTTTTTTTTTTTTTTGAGACAGCATCACGCCATGTTGCCTACACTCGTCTTGAACTCCTGGCCTAACGTGATCTTCTTGGCTTTGCCTCCCAGAGTACAGAGATTACAGGCATGAGCCACCTGGCCTAAGTTCTTTATATACATTGTCACACTTATTCCTCAAAACAACTCTCCGAAGTTGTTGCTTTTATTCCCATTTTGTAGATGCAGAAAC
The DNA here is from genome assembly GCF_000001405.40 of Homo sapiens. Taxonomy (NCBI): domain Eukaryota; kingdom Metazoa; phylum Chordata; class Mammalia; order Primates; family Hominidae; genus Homo; species Homo sapiens. Next base: position 94,142,151 of record NC_000010.11, on the reverse strand, counting down.
TAAAGCCTAGAGGTACAATCACCTGAATAGGATGACCCAATGTTGAAGTCAAGGCTCAAATCCAAAACACAATGAGGCTCACATTTAAAGGCCTTTCTTGGAGGTAACCACTTCTGCAGAGTCTGCAGCTATTCTCTGGCATTTTTAAGAACTATTGTTTTACTTAAATATTCAGTAAGTTTTGGAGGGAAGTTTTGGAATCTAATGGTTGTTTTTTTGGATGCAGTGTTTCAAATAACTATTTTGCAAATAAATTTCTGCAATATGGTCCATTCTGAGTCTCTGTAATTAGGACTTGACATTTTTATAACCAGCTCAGATATGTAAACCCAAAGTGTCTGTCTGGTGTTGCTATCCTCACCAGTCATCTTTCTGACTGCATTGATTAGGATTTAACCAACTTTCAATTACCCGATCTTCCTTCTTTCCTTCCCCTCCCTCCCTCCCTTCCTTCTCTCCCTCCCTTCCTTCTTTCTTTCCTCCCTCCCTCCCTTTCTTCTTTCCTTCCTTCTTTCTTTCCTCCTTCTGCCTTCCTTTCTCCTTCCCTTTGCCTTCCCTTAGCCTTCCCTTCACCTTCCCTTAGCCTTCCCTTCACCTTCCCTTAGCCTTCCCTTCACCTTCCCTTAGCCTTCCCTTCACCTTCCCTTCGCCTTCCCTTCACCTTCCCTTCTCCTTCTCCTCCCTCTCCCTCTCCCTCTCTCTCTTTTTGGTGTCAAAACTTTATGGAGAATTAGGCCATAATTTGTTCCTTTCATAAGCTAGTTTCTTGGAGCAAAATTAGGGCACATAAGAGAATTAAATGGAATCAGTCTCCCAGCTCAAAATGGGTGTATTCACACCTAGGAATGGAGTGCTATGTTCAGGTCACACCTGGTGACGGAGTCACATTCCTTGGTCACAACTGGTATGGAGTCATATTCTTAGGTTACACCCAGGTGTAGTGTCACACTCCTGGATGATACTTGACCACCTGTGGTCCTAAAACAGGTTTTTGTCCTGTGCCTACCAAGCTTCCTGGCCCTATGACCTACTCATACCACCTTTAATGTAGCAGCCTAGCACTTTATGAATTCTCTTTAGGTGGTAAGGGCTCCTTCAGTAGACCTGAAACCTAATATTACATTTTCTCTGGAATGAGAAATATTATCTTACAAGTTGAAGACTTCCAGATGTGATCTTCTCCATTCTTAGGTGCCATAGCACTAGGCCACAGTGGGCAGCTAATGAATACTTTTTAGTTGATTAACTGGTAGAGAAACACACCCAATATTACATTAAAGCATACTTTTAAATACCAAGAAAATAATTTCAAGGTCACAATACTAACAAGTCAGGATATTTCTTTAAATAAACAAATCTTGGAATTAGAGCTATGCACATGCCTTCCTTGCCTAGTAGGCATGTAAAGGGTAATCGTTTTGATTTTGAGGAAGTCAACTAAGCCAGCCTTTACAAACTAAAGTATTTACGAGTTATAATCATGTAGTTCAAATGTGTATGTGTATTCCTACTATAACTTCTTGTTTTTTATTCAAAGCTATTAACTTTAGAGAAAGATACAAATAGAATATACAAGCTTATTGTAGTGAAAGAAAATAAGTTGAAAACTTGATGGGAGTCTCACTGTGTTGCCCAGGAGGGAGTACAGTGGTGTGTTCTCGGCTCACTGCAACCTCCTCCTCCTGGGTTCAAGCAGTTCTCATGCCTCAGCCTCCTAAGTAGCTGGGACTGCAGGTGTATGCCACCACGCCTGGTTAACTTTTTTTTTTTTTTTGTATTTTCAGTAGTAACAGGTTTCATCATGTTAGCCAGGCTGGTCTCAAACTTCTGACCTCAAGTGATGTGCTCGCCTCGACCTCTCAAAGTGCTGGTAGACTTTTCTATCTGAAATAAAATATTCCCTCTTTTCAAACAAAAATATTGTATCTGTAAGGTATTTTTGTTTTCATATCAATATTCTATTTATAGCTGACATGTGATAAATAACTTTAATATAGCTAAATATAGTCTACAGACACACATACCACACACTCAGACTGGTTAAAAATGAACAGTTTAGTTTTTTTTTCTAATACATAATGTATTATTATTTTTAAAAATAGAAATGTACCATTTTATTACAAAGTCTCACAAAAAGAAAATAGTATCCAAAAAAGGAAACTAGACTACCAATCTGCACCTGCAGAATTGGAGGAACACAGAGGGCAGGCAGTGTGAGCTTCCTGGCTTACTTGAGGACAATGGGGAGGTATGAGAACAGAACCAATCTAAAACATCTAATATTACCTTAGGAACCTGGAAAGAACAGAGGATCCTTGGAGATCCAGCCACCCCTTCTAGAATGCTAATAAGGACACCTTTCCAAAACTACTATATGGCTACCTACAAGTATCCCTCCCACCCAGCCCTGGCTCCCTTTATGGTTCAAAGTTAAGAACTGGGGAGGAAAGGGGGGCAAGGCAGCTCCTGGAAGAGCTCACCCAGCACAGCTGCCCTGGACTCAGGACCCTGGTTTCTGTCTTTCACTCTAGTCCCCAAGATATTTATGTTTAGTAAATAAAAATTTACTAATAGTCTAGAGAAATAGAAAATATAAAATCTAAGTTGTTAGGGGACCCAGCAAGAAGCCAGAGCTGGAAAGGCCTGCTCAGCCAACTTGACCTCCTTCTGGACCCCTTTGGCCTCTGGCTTCTCCTTGGTCTTCTCTGCTGTGACTTCTTCTCTTCTGGGTCTTTCTCTCTTTCATCCTGTTTAGACCCACTTGGCTTTTTTGAAGTTGGAAGAATTCTTGCAGCCACCCTTTCCCTCTTCATCAGAGTCGGAGAATTCATCCTCACAGGCAATTTGTTGTTTATTTTTTTGTTTTTTGAGATGGAGTCTCGCTCTGTCACCCAGGCTGGAGTGCAGTGGCCCAATCTCAGCTCACTGCAATCTCTGCCTCCTGGGTTCAAGTGATTCTCCTGCCTCAGCCTCCTGAGTAGCTGGGATTACAGGCACGTGCCACTATGCCCAGCTAACTTTTGTTATTTTTAGTAGAGATGTGGTTTCACCATGTTGGCCAGGTTGGCCTCGAACTCCTGACCTCAGGTGATCCACCTGCCTTGGCCTCCCAAAGTGCTGGGATTACATGCATGAGCCACGATGCCCGGCCTCACAGGCAGTTTGTTTGTCAGAGGAACAGATGGAGATGCACTTGTCAGGGTCTTCGTCCTTGTTGTCACTCTCCTCTAGGTTACATCCTCAGCAAGAGCCCACATTTGGGCCCTAGGTGTGTGGGGCAGCATTCTCAGGTTCCCAGACAGTTGCTGTTTGATCTTTTCCAGGCATCATTAGTGATCTGGTTAGTTATATTGGAAAGACTGATATGAAGCTTGAAATCTGGTCCAAAGTATTTGAAGTAGTCATTATATGGGAGCTCATTATGGATCTCTGTGTCCAGGGCCACAGCTGTTTCCTATGTCCAGCAGCAGGTGACATTGCGAATGATGTAACACCTCCTCCTAGCATCAGCATCAGCAAGATGAAGCTCATAACAAATTCCACACACTTGACATGCCCTTTGATGTTCAGATTGAAGCAACCTAACTGATCCCCAGATGGAGTCTGAGTCACACTGTATGACCACAGCACTAGGCTGGAACATCTCCATTACTACGGACATATCTGGCTTGAAAATGGCCTCACAGGATTCATTATCAATCCCATCTCAGAGTGGGTGGTTAATAGCATAATACTTGCCTTTTCCAGCCCCAATATCCCATAGGTCCCCAGTTCCTGGGAAGTACTCTCCTCATTTATGAAAGGACACAGTCATGACCCAGTCTGTGGCATAGAAGGCCTCTTCCATGCCATCACCGTGGCATGGAAGGTCAATACGCACAATATGCACTGTGGAATATCAAGGTCAATATGCAGCACCCCCTGGTGATTCTCTAGCAGGTCCAGGAGGGCCAAGACTGTATCATTGACTTAGCAGAAGCCAGATGCCTCAGACTTCTTTGCATGGTGCAGTCTGGTTCATGGTGATGTCTGTCTGCCACTCATTAAGTTTCACAGAACTTGCCACAGAGCCGCCCACAGACAACTGACGAAACTCAAAGAGGCCATGAAATACTGGACAGTCCTCACCAATGTTGAATCTCTGTGCCTGCTGGCTGTACTCAGACATGTTATCAGGATGAATGGAGTGCAAGGATTTAATGTAGTCATCACTGTGGTACTTGGTCATCTCCTCAGCACTGGCTTTGTGAGGGCAATAGATTTTCATTTTTCAGTGGAGACTGTAGTTGAGCAGCAAATTATGAATCATGCAGAATTGGTAAAGCTTCATTGGGTGGCTTTGTCCAACATTCTCATCATGGTAGTAACAGACTTTCCTCCTGGCACCCTGTGTCTGCACTATCTTGCTGGCCTCCATCTGTCAGAAAGATGGCAGATGTCTTGCTGGCCTCAGCAGGTCCATCTTCCCTCCACTCTATTACACAATTTAAATATGAATAACTATGTTTTGTCTCGGTTATATGTAACACTTAATCCTTTAATTTATGTGCTTTACTCAGCAACAATTTGAGAAGGAAAAATTGAGTTTAACACACTCAATTTATTATGTTGGCTGGTACAATATGCACATTTGAAAACACTTAGCTGCCTTATATGAAAAATCCTCTTGTCATCACTTTATTTTTCTAATTTTGCCATTTTTAGTACTTCACATTACCATCAGTTATCTCAATTTTTTCTCTCCCTTTTAACTTTATCTTGTTTTTATAATTTTCAGTAGGTAAAACATTAAAAGAAAAGAAAAAGCAGGTGATAGCTTTGAAAATTTCTTCCTAATTATCGAAGTCAATAATTCTTTTGACTGCCACTGCTATAAGGTGTTAGTCCTGAGATTCTAACAAGATTAATGGGGAGAGGGAAAAGGGCACAGGGACAGGAAGTGGAAGGATCTTTTTTTTTGAGATGGAGTCTTGCTCTGTCGCCCAGGCTGGAGTGCAGTGGCGTGATCTTGGCTCACTGCAAGCTCTGCCTCCCGGGTTCACGCCATTCTCCTGCCTCAGCCTCCCGAGTAGCTGGGACTACAGGCACCCACCACCATACCCGGCTAATTTTTTTGTATTTTTAGTAGACACGGGGTTTCACCATGTTAGCCAGGATGGTCTTGATCTCCTGACCTCATGATCTGCCCGCCTCGGCCTACCAAAGTGCTGGGATTACAGGCGTGAGCCACCACGCCCGGCCAGAAGGATCTTAATGTATCAAACTAGTGGAGGTTCCTGACTGAAAGGTAAAGGCGCTCTATTTTTCCACTTTGAGACAGCACACACTTATGATAAGGGCATATCCTTGTGGATCAATGCTTCACATAAGAAAGTGTCTCTGGTTATTTGGCAAACCTTCAGCTTTATAGGCAGATGACCTTTGGTGGCACTGAAGGCAGAAAAGCAGGCATGTTTGTGTTCTGATTATTGGCCTTCTGTATCAATCCATAAAGCCCCAAGGCTGCAGAATTCTGGACAATCAAGCCTCGAGTTACCAGTTCTTGACTTGTGAATAACGATCAACTTGTTGGACATTTCCTTCTATTTTCGCCTAGTACAGGTGACCACGACCCCCATCTCATAATCATAACCACTTCCAGAAGAGGAGCGTTTCGGTTCTTTCTTACATCCTAATAGACTAGGGAGGGGGATGAAAGACCTGCAAAACATGCCCTTTTTCCCAATTATTTCTTCTTATGATAAAATACATACAACATAAAATTTACTATCTCAACATTTTTAAGTGTACAATTCAGTGGTATTAAGTAAATTCATATTGCTGTGCAACTATCACCACCAGTAAGCTCCAGAACTCTTCATCTGGCAAAACAGAAACTCTATAGCCCGTAAACACTAACTCCCCATTCCCATTGCCCTTCCTCATCCCCGGTAACCACCTTTCTACTTAAGGTCTCTATGATTTTGACTACCCTAAGTACTTCATATAAGGGAAATCATACAGCATTTGTTTTTCCCTGTTCCTTTTTCTCTACCTTTACCAACTCCGTTTAATTCACTTCAAACATGTTTTCTCTTATGGAAGAGGTTATTCTTTTGAACTTATTCCTTTTTCTTTATCTCTGGGGAAAAATTTAAATCTTGTGCTACCTCCTTCCATCCTTCTTCATACCATTTATAAACATCTCGTTAAAAAACATTAGGAAAAAATTACTGGGGCAATTTTCTGACTCCTTCATATAGGTACAAGTTTTGAAGTGTAATTAGCCATAACAAAAAGCTACAGCTGCCAACATCTAAAATCTCAGAAATGGCTAAAACTCCTTTTCGAAATCTCTGAAAAGTTTAACTCTTTACTCATCTTTAATAAAATTATTGCCCCTCAACAAGAAATGTCTTCTAACTCACTTCTATTGCTTTTTCTTTGAGGCTAATGCTCAGTATTCCAACAATAGTGTTTTCCTCTTTATTTCGTGGGAAATGTGCAGATCACAACTGTGTTATGGGTTACAGAGGTTTTTGAGGACTAGAGTCTGTGAACCAAATCACAACATTTAATACTGCTTATCCAGGAAAGTGTTCTAAGTTCTATATCGCTCCTGGGAAATGAACTTGTAGAATATAACCCATTTATAAACTGAAGACTAAGAGTGTATTATATATTCCCCAATAGCTAAAAGCTGTTGGCCAAATCTATGCCACAGGACACATACTAAAGAAGAAAAAAAAGCTCACAACCACATCACAGCAGCTGCATGTACTCCTGATCCTCTGGCAGAGTACATGGCCATCAGAGTTCAAGACCCACTAACCAATATGCTGATCCTACAGATTCTGTAAACACTCTTTGACTTTGAAGACCCATCTTTTTTTTTAACTTAATTTTTTTAAGTTGACAAATACAAATTATATATATTTGTAATGTACAACATGATGTTTTGTAATATGTATACATTGTAGAATGGTTCAACTGAGCTAACTAACATATGCTTTACCTCACATACTTATCATTTTTGGTGGTGAGAAACCCATCTGGTTTTCTAATGCATTTTCTTCCACTGCATGTTAAAGGAATATGTTTAACTGAGGCACGTAAAGACTTTGAAAACCAAATGGGAGAGGATGCTGAAATTGAAAAATGTTTCCAAGATAGTAAGTCAGAACTACAGAAATAAGCTTGGAGCAGAAGGCAACCAGCTAATTGTATTATTCAGCAGGAGTTTCTAGAGGGTTCTCAGAAATCACCAAAGAGCTTCAAAGCAAAAAGTTAAAGAAACTTCCAACTCTTGCATAAAACGCCAATTTAAAGATAACACATTAGCTGACAGTCTGGTGAGTGTCAGAGCTAGAAATATTGATCTATGAGGTTCTATTTCGAACAGGGAAGTGCAAATACAATTGAAGTCAAATTATGATCAGGGCCATAGATGCACACACCAGCAGCTTCCTTATTTCTCTCCACAGACCTGTGGAAGACTAGAGGCGTGCCTGCCTTGGTTGGGCAGCCTAGAGATCCGTTTCTTCCTACACACTACTGAGCACAAAATGAGTTAATAAAAACTGTATACATTTGTCATGTAAAACATGATGTTTTGAAATATGTATACCTTGTGGAATGGTTCAGTTGAGCTAACTAACATATGCTTTACATACTTATCATTGTTTGTGGTGAGAAACCCATCTGGGTTTTTAATCCATTTTATTCCACTGATTGTTAAAGAAATATGTTTAACTGAGGCACATAAAAACTTTAAGGCCATGTGCAGTGGCTCACACCTGTAATTCCAGCATTTTGAGAGGCCAAGATGGGCGGATCACCTGAGGTCAGGAGTTCGAGACCAGCCTGGCCAACATGGCAAAACCCCGTCTCTACTAAAAATACAAAAATTAGCCAGACGAGGTGGCGTGTGCCTGTGGTCCCAGCTACTCGGGAGGCTGAGGCATGAGAAACTTGAACTTGGGAGGCAGAGGCTGCAGTGAGCCAAGATCATGCCACTGCACTCCGGCCTGGGTGACAGAGTAAGACTGCATCTCAAAAAGAAAAAAAAAAAAAAAGACTTTGAAAACCAAATGGGAGGGGTTTAGTCTACACATGTTGATTAACTCATGGGATAAGGCCCTGGCATACCATCACAAGCATTAAAACAATGCCAATTCCACATGCCAATCTCAGCCCAACTTCCTGGGAAGAGTATGATGAAGAATGCAGGCTTGGTACTCTCTAGGTGCCACATCAGAGGGGAGAAACCTTGAGTCTTGTGTGTAGGGAAAACAGCTTACCACCTAGAGACTATAAATTCCATGAGGGCAGGAATTATGTTTTGTTCCTTTTCCAGCACCTAACACCTAATAGGGGCTCAAAAAATGTGTTGAATGGCTGAAAAACATGAAGCCATTAGTGTTCCCACACCTTCTGTTATTCTTCATTCATTTATAACCAATCCCCTGAAGTTCGGGCAACTCCAGAAAACAAACCAACTTGGCACCCAACATAGTACACAAGGAGGTTACAGTATTCCTCTTAGGCCTGTCTAGGGGTGTGTGTGTGGGTAGGAATGGAGAAGGCTGAGGATCAAGGAGGAAGGTCATTGGCCTGCTGGCCTTGGGTCTCAGGACCTGCTATGGAGGGACAATAGCTGCTGTCAGATTGAGTTCTGGCAACCCCCAGGCAGTGGAATGCTGCTTTGCATGGTCCCTGTCTGGTTGGCAGCTTCCTGCCAGGGAAGGCTGCCAAGCAGCTTGTGACAGCTATGCAGTGTACAAGTTTCTGAGGTTGTTTGGTGCACTGCCATTTCTGACCTGCCTGTCTGCTGCTCATGGGAAGTAGCTGGGAAGTTCATATGCCAAGGGACCCCACACTCCATTGGCTTTCATCTTTCAGTGGGATGCCTGCCTATCTTGTCCTTTAAGATGGGAGTAGCTGGAAGATGGCCTTTGGCTTTTCTGGTCAATAGACACCTATTAATTCTATGTATGAAGGAGATCTATATTTCACTCTGCTCCCAACCACAGTGGGTTTTCAATATGACTGCTTGACTATATTTGTTTCCTAGCATCTTGTCATAGTAATTGACATTTGTCATAAACTACCACTAGGAGAAACTACCTGCCTGAATCATTTAAAAAAAAATTAAAGATAGCGTTTTAACCATTTACTTCATTTGAAAAAAAGTTTCAAAAATCTTTTTTTTTTTTTTTTTTTTGAGATGGAGTCTCACTCTGTTGCCTAGGCTAGAGTGCAGTGGCGTGAGCTCGGCTCACTGCAAGCTCCACCTCTCAGGTTCACACCATTCTCCTGCCTCAGCCTCCCGAGTAACTGGGACAACAGGCGCCCGCCACCACCCTCAGCTAACTTTTTGTATTTTTAGTAGAGATGGTGTTCCACCGTGTTGGCCAGGATGGTCTCGATCTCCTGACCTTGTGATCCGCCCGCCTTGGCCTCCCAAAGTGCTGGGATTACAGGTGTGAGCCACCGCACCCGGCCTCAAAATCTTAATGATTACTATTTGGAATGTTGACACCTTAGGGGATTTTAATAAGGGACCACCTTTTTATATTCTCTTAAAGAAGCGACTTTTACTTAAAGTTGCTGAAAAGTGAACTTAATTTTCCATCAGGAGATACATAAATCTTAACTTAGATCCTTCTCTGTAGTCAAAGATAGAAAGTTAAAAGTGAAATTTCAGGCATTACCTTTCAGCATCATTCGTCCAGTGGATCCTCCAAAAGTACTGAGAAGGCCACTTCTTGCTCCCAAAGACGTGGTTGCTTCTAGGAGAGAACCGGTGATGTACTGCGATATTGAAGTCCTTTGGAGGGTGGCGCGATACTCACATACAGTGTCTCGGACACATTGCTTTAAGCATGGACCAACGCTTATCCTTCCATGGGCTGTCTCGGAGGCTGGGAGCTTGGTGAGGAAATGGAGTAGAGATCCAACTGTATTTTCTGTTTCTTCTCTTCTCACTGCATTGTAGATCTGTGAATAGCACAAAGTACAGGAAGTATTAATCTAGTTTCTTAGGAAAGCAAATTAACTTGTTGACAAAATGCCAAGATGACTTATTAAGAAAGAAGGCTCAGATGCTCCAAGTGCAAACACTCTGAGCACTCGGCTCATGCATTAACCTGAACATTCTACAGACACCATCTATTTGGAAAAGCTCTGTGTAGTTATAAAATAGGTCATTCAAACAACTCTGCTATCAAACAGAGAACTTACAAGTCATACCAACCAGAAATACATTCAGCTCAAATTTCTCCTCCTCAGCAGAGCAAAGCTCTTCTGCAGAGAGATGAAGGCAAACCTTTCCTTCTGGTTTTCCTGGACATTACTGAATGACTGTCCCAGGTCTGTCTCCCTCCATGGAGTGTTTCAGCCTGACTTTTATGGGAAATCTTTTCTCCATGCTTAAACTGAAATGAGGATGAGAGGGTCATGGGGAAAGAGAACTTCCCTATTTCCCCTTTGGGCATAATCCTTCAAACTGTCAGCTGAGATCAAAGTATTTGAATCATTTTTTCTCTTCCTCCTCCCTCACCTCCCATATCCAATAAGTTGACAGATCCTGCTCACTCTTCTTGCCCCATCTATGTCACTGTCACTATCCTGATTTCTTCTCCTTTTATCACCCGAATTCACCAAGCATTGTCTCAAGAAGATTGCACTGTTAGGACAGGTTCCTAACCATGTCTCCAATCTATTTCAATGCAGTCATTCAATGTGCATGTATATAGACCCTGCTCTGTGCAAGGCAGTGTGTTGGAAGATGTGGGGAAAGTGTGAGGGGCAGCAGACACCTCTTGTGCTGCTGCAGGATTTCACAATCTTCGATGAGGCCTGAAAATTATAAGGTTTGACATTATTGAAGGGAGGACTTGGAATTTGTCAAGCATTCTGAGAAGCCAGAGACTTCTGGATAGTGTATAAACAAACGGAGGAGACACATAACATGCAGTGAGGTAATCCAGCTCTCTGATGGGGGAATAAAGGTGCTGTCTCTATCATGCTGTCTCTATCATGTCACCTTGAGCACCTTGCCTTGGCTGACTTGTCATTCATTCATCAAACCAACAAATAGTTACTGTTTATATACCAGAAACTATGACAGGGCTGGATAAATAAAATAGTTTCTCTCCTCAGAGTTCACAGTCTAGTAAAGGAGACAGAAAAGCCAAGAGCTTAGAGTAGGGTGGAAATGAAGGTCACCTCCTTCGGTGACACTGACGAATGGCCAGGGAGTAGAAGACTCTCACTGCCCTGCGGGCCAGGCATGTGCCCCCATGATGTTGCATCCTCCAAATCTCACTCAAGAGGGCCTCTCTTGAGCTGTGCTAGGTCCTTATGATACCCCAGAATGCACCGAGTCCTATGATATTCAAACTGTGTAGACCCTAACTAGATTTTATCTGTCTTCCTCTGTCTGGTGGTATATATTTGCCACTTGAAGGCACAGTGTGATTCTTACCTTTAATTCTCTGTCATTAAATTTCTAGTGGCCAGCATGGCCATGGAGATGGTGTGCTGGGACAGAAAGAGCCCAGGTTTGGGGTCAGGTACATGAGGTCAGGTACACCTGACTCGACCTTCACCAGATAGAGAGCTGGTCATTAAGTGTGAACAAGCTGACTTGAATGTTTCAAGACAGCTCCCTCCTCTGTAAAATGGGAATAATAACACTATTCTTAGGGAGATTCTGGGATTCACCATGATAAACATGTAACATACTCAGCCTAGTGTCTAGAAATGATGCTCTTTACTGTTGAGCAAGTCTATAAAAGAGAATACACTCCTTTACCCTCAATGAATAATAGGTGGTTGTATAACTATAGACCACAATCTATGAAATGCAATGTGATTGGAGTTATGCCCTTGCTCTTCTGTGTTTCTGGGCAATATTATCCTAACCCTATTTGGGTGTACTGTGAGGGCAAATGGGGGTAGAGAGCTGCAGATCTCAAGACATAGTTTTATTCTCTTGGCTCCAAATCATACAGGCCATCTCCAACACACTAAGTCCCATGCAAGTCCTTCAGAAGTAACTGATCCAGTTGTGTAAGGAAAAGAACTGACTGGTAGCTTGATGGCTAAGGAAGGCTTAATAGGCAAAGCAGGGTTTGACCTGTGCCTTGGAAAGCAGGCATTTCTCTAACTGGAGCAGCTGGGGAGACAACTCACCATGCAAGCAATAAGGACAGCCAGTGGAGTTTAGAGCAGGGAGTAAGCATAGGAAATAACTGGGGAATGAGAAAGGCCAGGGAACAACTGGGGAATAAGAAAGGTCAGCTGGCCTGATAAAGGAGACCTGGAATGTTAAAGCAAGGAGATTTCACCCATCAGAGGAGGGCACCCCTTGATGCTTTTTTTTGTTTTTTGTTTGTTTTGTTTTTGTTTTTGTTTTCGCTGGTTTGTTTTCAGCAAAGGAATAATGCTAAAATGGTTTTGTCTTAAAAAGATTACTAAGCTGGCAATTCCTAGTTCCTAATAGGTTGGCCTACTTTCTTTACTTGCCAAGCTGCTGCGCTGGCTCATTGTGCATTTGCTCACTACCATGTGCATTCCAGTCTCCACATCAGGCCTCCATAGACTCCCAGTGACTCATTCAGTCTCTTATCCAGCTTTTCCAAGGTGTTTTCCTCAAAACATTCTATCTACAAGGGATTGTATGACCTAAGGACTCCTTGATCATGAAAGTTTAAAAAATCTCAGTAAATCTCTTCTCCTTTTGGAGATTTACATTGCATAATAGAATATTAAAGACAATTACGAGAGTCAGAGTAAACAAAGTATTTTAATTTGCTTAACTATTTCCCATGTTATTTGATCATTTCTTTAAAGAACACAGCCTGTAGACGTAGTGCTGTGCCAAATAATTAATTTACTTTAATCTAATAGCCTTTTCTTATTCCCATTTCTTTGCCCTCTGCAGAATCTCTGAAATAGGCAATCATCCATCCTTCTTGAAGTCTTTCATCTCTTGTCATCTCATTGTTCCATCTCCGCCTTATTCTGCATCTCCCCTTCCACCTCGGGCCTTCAGGACAGTTATAATGCAATAGAAAGGTGCCAACAAGTGCCTAATGTAGGGAGGTCACAAATCAATTGACCATGGGCCAGATTCAGTCAACAGACCTGTTTCATCTGACATACCCTGTTTAAATTCAGGAAAGCTTTACATATACATCTGAAGTTCCAGCATCTCCTGAATAATGAAACAATCTGGTAACACTGAGCATTCCTACATGGTATCAAATGGCTAGATCTTCTACTGTTAGATGGGGCATGAGTTCTCCACTGGATGCCAGTGCCCACCATTCTTTAGTGACCACACCTGGCCAATATCTGGTCACCATTAGTATATGTGTTTTTGACCCTGTCTTAATAAAATACAGATACGGATGTAGATATTTACAACATGTACTGAGCTCCTCCAATGTGTCCTCTGTGTGCTCTTGCCTGTGCTAGTTGCTGAGGATAGAGAGAAAGCCATAGTCTCTGATATCAAAAGGTATTGCAAATCACCTCCAAGAAACTATTAATAAACATATATAAATGCTATGTATATATTAAGTAATATTTCAACATCGTTATCAGCCACATTTCCAAGCCCCCAAACTTGTCTGAAGAAATAAAAGATGAAGTGCTCTGTGAATGAAGCTCTGAACTTCCATCACGATTGCCAATACCCTCACCACAAAGAACCAGAAAGAGATCAAAAATTACTACCAAGATCTGGAATGATGCATCCCAGTCACACCAATCCAGGATGAGAGAAACTCAAGGTGCTTTGTTGGAAAAATGCTGAAGTGTGGACAAACTGGTGGTAGATATGGCAATGTTCAGGGAACCTGTCAAAATCAAGGTATTGATCAGGCACAGTGGCTCACACCTGTAATCCCAGCACTTTGGGAGGCAGAAGTGGGTGGATCACAAGGTCAGAAGATCAAGACCAGCCTGACCAACACGGTAAAACCCCGTCTCTACTAAAAATACAAAAATGAGTTGGGTGTGGTGGCACATGCCTGTAATCCCAGCTACTCGGGAGGCTGAGGCACGAGAATCACTTGAACCCAGGAGGCGAAGGTTGCAGTAAGCTGAGATTGCACCACTGCACTCCAGCCTGGTGACAGAGTGAGACTCAGTCTCAAAAAAAAAAAAAAAAAAAGTCAAGGTATTATCTCTTCCTAGATCACTCACTTATGAAAAAGAAGGAATCATGGAAAAGCCCACATGTAGAGTGTGAAGAAGAGACAGTAGAGAACGGTCATTACAAGTATGGCTCTGGAGCATTGGTTTGAATTCCAGCTCCCATGCTTCCCAGCTGTGTGACCTTGGATAAGTTGCTTTGCCATTCTGTGCCTCAGTTTCCTTTTCGCCAATATAGGATATAATAGTATCTGCCTCATAAGGTTGTGGCTAGAATTACAAGCTTTGATAAATGTAATATGATTAGAACAGCATCTGGCACTTAGTAAATGCTCAACAAATACTAGTTTTTATGATGACAGTGATGATGAGGATTGTGGCAGGCTACAAAAATGGCCGCGAATTATTTCCTTCACTGACACTGGGCTGGAACTGTGATTTCCTTAACTAATGGAAATTTAGCCAATATGATGCAAGCAGTCTTGAAAAATACCTGTACATTGGAGATTGCTCTCTCTTGTTGCTTTTGGCAACTCTGCAACAACTGCCATGTGAAGAAGCCTGAACTAGATTGCGGGAGGATGAAAGACCATGGCCCAGTCACCCCTGTCACCTTGGCTGATAACTTGCCAACAGCCAGACACATAATGAAACCATCCTGGATCCTAGATCATCCACTTGCCAGTCCAACTGCTGCCACAGATGCATGAGAGGGCCCAGCAGAGATCAGTTGATCCAGACTAGAACTACCCAACTAATTCACAGAATCATGGGCTAAATAAATGATTGTTGTGAAAAGTCGGTACGTTTTGGGAGTCCTTTGCTACACAGCAGATGTTAACTAACACAATGATGATGTGTTTGGAACCATAATAAGTATTTTAATTACATAACAATTGAATCCACACACTAATCTATAAAGTTGATTCATTTTGTAGATGGGAAAGTAAGCCTAGAGAAGTAGAGAAATACAGTCAGCCTTACACACCTAGTAAGAGGCTATGCCAGGATAGAAACCCAGATTTCTCTAACTCTGTGGTCCAGCTTTATCCATTGCACTATCCATTGTCACACTCAAAGCCCAACAGTGGGATAAAGATCACACTGTTAGGGGTGATCTTGGTAAGAGGTTTAGGTGATGTTTACAATGCTGTTGTTATTGTTTTTATTCATGATAATTCCTTTCATGGCCATTCTCAATTCCTTTTGAAAATAGTCAAGTTAAGTCTAATGAATGACCAAATATGCTTCCTTTATGTGAAGATTTATAGTTTTAAATTATACAGTCACAAATGAGAGAAACTCAAGGTTAATATGGTGATGGAAAGTTCTGAAAACTAGACAGACTACTGCCCTACATAGGCCAATATCTTTTTTGAAACAAAATCCAACACATCACAACATGGCATCCACACTTGCTAGACAGCTATGTGAGCATTCATTTACTCAACAAGTGATTTATATTTACTGAGCACATACACTGTGCTAAGCTCAACTGCTGGTGTTCTACCAGTGAGCAAGACGAGCTTCATTTTCATGGGGAAGGCAGACAATAAACAAGTAGACCAAATAAATTAGTAAAAAATTGTAGGCTATTATATATTATCAAAATATATTTCTACAGGACTTGCTGAAGTCATTGGGAGGAAAGGAAAGGAGTCAAAGTTGTTATATTTGGTCACTGCTAAGTTTTTAGAGATGTAGGCTTTATATAGAGAACTATAGATCAATGTTGCAAACTGTGAATGGATCCTTCCATGGGATTACACTCCTCCCATTATGGTAGGTGCTGTGAAATGACATGGCCTGGAGTGGTTTGGGCAAAATGATTTGACACAGTAAAATGACTTAGAGAAAAGCAAGCAATGCTTAGATAACACTTGCATAAACACTTTAAAAGGCATTTGCAGTTCCTTGTGACTCATGAAAGAGGGATGCCTTATAGAAGCCAGTACTAGGATGTGGAGTTTAGGCCCAAAACAAAAGAAAACAAGCATACTGAGGCTGAAAAGAGCTGGGGTAATTCAGATGGAGACAAAGGCAAAGACTTGCATGCACTAAAAGGCATGAAGCAACCAGACACACCACATCCACAGCACTCACCCAGAAGGAAAGCTCCTTGGAATAGCCAGAGCTTTTTCTTGACTTGACTTCTACTAAAGTCAAAAAGGGTATTGTCAAGTGGGGTCAATTTTGTACTTGCTCTGTTTCAGAAGCTATCTTTTTGAGATCACTTATGAAAAATTATGAGGTTCTAAGATCTGATGGCATATCTTCTGAAATCTTTCAACAGGAAGAAAGTGTGTTACTTAGAGGTCCATTGACTCAATAATAATAATAATTGCATCATTTGTTGAATGCTTAAAATGAACCAGGCCCTGAGTAGTGAGATGTGATTTCAATTAAACCGCAGAACAGCTCTATGAAGAGGTTCTACTATTATCAGCATTTAAAAATAAGGCGCTAGGTGTCTGTAGTCCCAGCTACTCCGGAGGCTGAGGCAGGAGAATGGCATGAACCCAGGAGGCGGAGCTTGCAGCAAGCCAAGATCGCGCCACTGCACTCCAGCCTGGGGAACAAAGCGAGACTCTGTCTCAAAAAAAAAAAATAAGGCGCTAATGTGCACACAGCTAGGACTTAACATCAAGACTCTCCATGTCTAAGCTAGTGCTGTTAACTACCAAACCAAACAGAAAATCCTATTACAGATGTCAGAGGAAGCACTTTCAACAGAGGGGTAATTGTAGTCACAATCCCTCCATCACTTTTTGTTTGTTTGTTGTTTGTTGTCTGTTCCTTCCATTAGAATGTCAGCTTCATGAGATTTTCTTTTTTTCACTGCTGTATCTGCAGTGTCTAGAACAGTGTTTGGCATTATAAGTTCTCAATGAACAGTTCTTGATTGAATAAGTGAATTTCTCAATTCTATGTCTTCACCAAAAACTTGGCTAGAATCCTCTGGTTTTTTGGCCCTGACTACATTGGATTCATCTGAACCACAGGCGACATTCTACTGTCACCTGTATTTGCTGAAAACTAGATATATAAATCATATGAAATGGCATAAAATCTTTACAAAGTATTCAGAATAGCTGTAGCCAAATGTGGATTTAATTGCTAGTAACCAAACTTGGCCATTTCTGATAAATCCACCAACAGTTTAACAACATTTCATTATCATTTGCTGATGGGCTTAGAGTCAAAGGACTTAATCTGATCTATTCTCTCTACTAATTTTTCATGAAATTGATCATTTGAAAGGATCATGGGGTTTAAAAGAAACCAAGATACGGATTAATGTATTGACTCTGCTAAATCAATTTAAATAAACAAATATTGAGTTGCAGTTACATCGACTATGGTAGATGCTGGAGAACAATGATTTTAAAAAGAAAAAAGACTCTGCCCTGGAGAGACCCACAGTCTGTACTGTGTAATTGTGTGATACTGGGCAAATAACTGAAACCCTCTTCCTCATAACCTACTCTTTGCCCCAGTTTTCTTATCTTTATCACGAAGAGGCTGGCCAGTTATTATCTCCAAGGTCCCTTTTAGTGTTACTGTTCTATAATCCATACTTCCTTGCTTTCTTTTTCTTTCTTTCTTTCTTTTTTTTTTTTTTTTTCTCTGAGACAAGGTCTCACTCTGTTGCCCAGGCTGGAGTGCAGTGGCACAATCATAGCTCACTGCAGCCTTGACCTCTTGGGCTCAAGTGATCTTCCCACCTCAGCCTCCTGAGTGGCTGGGACTACAGGCACCACCACTATGCTGGGCTAATTTTATATTATTTGTAGAGATGTGGTCTTGCTATGTTGCCCACACTGGTCTCAAACTCCTGAGCTCAAGCAAGCCTCCCGCCTCAGCGTCCCAGCGTGCTGGGATTTTACCCTATATCATACCCAGCCCCTTCTTCAGTGGCAGATGGAGGGTATAATTAAACTTAATTTTGATGATTATTTTGATGATCATTATTCTCTAATACATTAGCTTCTCCTGTTCCCTCTCTCTTATTACTATTCTCCTTCAGTATCAGCTGCCATTTCGCATTAGTGACTATATATGTGCTTCTAATAGCACCCTTATCCTCCCCATAATGTGGTTCTTAAAGTGCCCTGAGCTAGAAAAACAATGACATTTATTTTAACGGTGTCACCTGTGAGTTAATAGGTGGTAACAACGCAGGGGCCTCTCACAGCATGAAGTGTAAGAGCTCTGCGCTATGGTTTGGAAACCCCTTTACTAGTCTCATGAGCCTCTTTTCTAACTTTGGAATCTACAAGCAGTGTTCTAAAAGGTTGAAGATACTAGAAGTTTCATGTCTGATGGGTGTCTGTGTGTAAACAAAATGCAATGATATAAGAACTGTCGAATTTCCTGAAGAGTCAACAAAAACAGTGAGGCTGTTGGAGGGGGTAGTTGCAGCAGCTTGGAGACTTAAATGGCAGGGATGGGGAGGAGAATTTTGGTAGCAGGCTGCTGTTTGCTCTGCTCATGATTCCACATTCCATTCAAATGCCTGTGCAGAGAATTCCATTCTACTGAGAGTATTCAGACCATGCACGAGCAAGACACTGACCAAACAGAACTCCGGAAAGACAAACATAAAGACTTTGCTAAAACCAGGCGAATTAACCAGAACTGTGCCAGAGGCTTCTATGGGAAGTAAGCTGAACCTTTATCACTTCAGGGGAACATCTCAGAAGAAGTTAGAGGATGCCCCAGGACATTTGAAAACTTGGGAATTTCGCAGCTGCAAATGCCCTTCCATACAACTTCTTCCAATCCACATCCCTTTTATTAAAATTTTACCTCCTCCATGTGGCCTTCCCTGGGTTCCGGCAAGAAATAATCATGTTCTTTTTGGTGATCCAATGACACCTTAAGCAAAGCTCTAGTAGCACTTTCTGTGAAGTACAGAAATCACTGTTTACTCTCCTACTATTTCCCCACTGGAACAGGGACCAAGCTTTAATAAACATTTTGTCCCCAGCACAGGGCACTGCTTAGCATGCTGCAAGCAATGGAGAAAGGGCACAGTGGAGAAATAATTGAAGACTTAGAGCTATGGTCCTCAAAGTGTGGTCCCCAGACCAGCATCATCCTCCTCACCCAGGAGTTTGTTGGAACTGCAAATTCTTGGGCTCCATCGCAGGCCTACTGAATCAAAAACTCTGGGCTGGGACCCAATAATCTGTGTTTTAGCAAGCCCTTCAGGTGATTTTGATTCCTGCTAGAGTTTGAAAACCTGTATCCTAGACTTTAAGGAGAACATGTTACCTTTCATCTCTGACTGTACCATCCATCTGACAAGCACTTACGTCCCTATCATCTCCCTTCTAGAATGGAAGCTACTGAGGGCACAGTCTAGGGCCTATTCATCTCTATACGCCTCAAGGCCCCTAGTTCAGAATCCAGTACAGGGCAAAACTCAACAAATGCTAGCTGGATGAAGGAGCATCTCTGCAGACATTCCCCATGGCTGTAAATGGAACAGGCCTTTCTGTAAGTGATGCTTCCAGCTTAATATTTCCAAAGATGAATCACGTCTGAGATACTAATTCTAATGGTAATTACCATATGGATGAATCATATCATAATGAGAAAACCTGGCTGCCAAGGGAGCCTCTCGAAAAGAAAAAATCAAATCAGGACAAATGGATTATGTTTTTAGGATTGTGATGTCAGGCCATGAATTAGGCCTACAGAAGGGACTTAATGGCCTGAACTACCAGGCTCCTTGCAGCTCTAAGGAGCAATGGGTCAATTAATGAATTACATGGGGACAAATTCCCTGCAAGACAAAACCAAATTTTCACAAATCCCGTAGACTGTGATCCCTGGCTCAGAGGATCAAGGGTAATGTTCTCGCTAAGCTGTGCATGTGTGAAGCTGAAAGGGACAGAAAGTTCCTGACATCCTGTGGCTCCAGGCTTCTGTGTGTCCCCAACAGGTGGAGGGGACCAATGCCAACCTATAAGACCAGGCTTTTTGCTTCCTGTGCCCCAAACCTTCATTGGCTGAACTCCTGCTCATCTTTTCCTGGTTTCTAACCTTCCTCTCTCTGCCCAGCTGGAAATGTCCAGTGTGGCCTCTATCTTCATGGCTCCCAGGGCCTTGGTCATTGCTTCTGGACCAGCACTGCATTTCCCTTCTCTTAACCTCCTGTCTGCCTAAAGATGGCCTGAGGCTGAGGCTGACCTCCTAGAATATATTGCTCTGACAACCAGAAATGGGATAGCAGAGATGGGACAGCAGAGATGCCATCTCTAATGAGATGCCTTAGGGTAGAGTGGAAAGAGTATGGTCTTTGCGTCACACTGATCATGTCGTACTTAGTGCCACCATCCAGTAGCATGGGGGAAGTAACTAGTGTTTCTTTAATGGAGATATAACAGAGTTGTTATAAATAAGCATTCAAAGGGATAAGACATCTGTGAGTTCTGTTTCTAGTTTCACCAGCCCTGAATACCCAAATGGTCATAATAGCATAAATACCTGAATCTTTAGAGCTCCAAGACCATGCCTGCTGGCCTGAGGACCTCAGGTAACTTCCTACCCCCAAAAGCCATCACCATCTGCCTTCATCCCTCCTAGCTATTTGGTAGCATTCTGAAGGTGATGGAGCCCCTCCTATGCTCAGGGATAGTTTGCTTCTGTTCTTCCACTCAGCTCCCCTTGTTGAAGTACCTGGACTGGGCTCTGTGGCTGGCCAACCTCTGCCCTCCTGGGCTGAGACTGGAGGTGGAGAGAACAACCCTCTCCTAGTCTCCTGCATGTGAACTTATGTGTAGACATCTAAGTGTTTTCTGGTGCACAGCTCCATAAACAGCTCAACTCTGGATTCCATTCTGGGCTAGTGCCCACTATGCTATAATAAATGCAAAGCCTCAGCACAGCACTTGGCATGTATGTGGCATTTAATAAAAGGGAGGTTATCAATCCTCTTGGTCAATATCAGAGTTACAGTGCAGATCCTCTCTCTCATCCCAGGTTTATTCCTTTCACTCACTTCTCTGCTCTCTTCTGTCTCTCTAGGTTGCTCCAGCAGCTTTCTTCAACTTCCTCTTAGTCCCCATGGTTTCTTCATTATTAAGATTTCTTAGCCCTCACCACTTGCATGTTCCCCATGTTGCTTTCTTTTGAATCTCATCCTGTTGTTCCTTGCTCTGTCCTGATCTTCCTACCTTCCCCATCACCCCTCTCTCTCTTCCCTTTATTCACAATGTCCATCTTTCTCCTGCATCCTTCATTTCTTTCCACTGCCTTTTGATCTTGATCCTTTGAGCATCACTTCCAGGGGCAAAGGGAGGGGATGAGAATGAGGACAGAGTGTGAATTAGTAGGGTCTGCAAGCAGAGATCCTCCTCTAATTATTAGCAGACAGTTATTTATCCTTATTAAATGCACTGTATTTCTTCTACTGGAAAACTGCAGTGATTTAATTCTTAAAGGTTTCTCTTCCAATGGGACCCAAGTGAATGACCACCAGAGAGGAGCTAGGGACATTCCTCTCCAAATCCCCCAAGGATCACGAACTCAGTAGTTGAGCTAACATGGACTTACTCTCAGAGACAGGACCCAACATAAGTTGGCTTCTGGTCCTGATTAATTGAGCAGCTGCAGAGCCTCATGCCTGCCAATAAGACTGAAAGCTGTTTAAGACAACCAGTACAGACCTTCAAGTTTCATCCAAGGGTAGAGCCATATTCAACAACCTGTTAGTGAACACACCTCAGGCAGAGCAAATGAAATAGGTAGTGGTGGGTGAATAGAGATCACCAGATTCCCAGGAGCTAGAGCTGTCACCAAGTTTAGGCAGGGCAGGAGGACATGGAGCCTGGAAGAGGAATTGTTGAGTCTCCCAGACAGGATGGAGGAGTTGAGTAAGGGTAGAGAATAGTAGGAAAGCCCAGCCTAGTGGGGAAAATCCTGGGCCCTACACCCAGAGAAAGGCAGGCCCTGGGAGGTCCTAAGCAATAGCTAGGACCCACGCTGGGGTGCCTATCCAGAGGAATCCTCTGAGAAGCTTGGACTGACATTCAATGCAGACACAAAGTAGCCGCACTTTAATTTCTGAAAGATAAGCCGTCTATGCCTAAGAATATATTCCTTGTTTGGACTTTGTTCATTCATTCATTCAGACAACAAATATTTACTGAATGTCTATTTTGTGCAAAATAGTTTGCCAGTAGCTAGAGATAAAATAATGAGTAAAAGAGCTTCTTGTCCTTAAGAAAGTTACTGAGCATCAGGGAAGGTAAGCAAGATAATGGGCAATTGTATTACAGCATAAAATTCTACATTGGTGTGGGCATACAGTGTTTCAGATACACAGAGGAGGGTCTTAGGAGGCCATGGAAGGTTCTTCTAGGAGGTAACATCTAAGACACAACCTAAAGACAGTAAGAGTTAGCTAGGGCAAGGTTGAGGAAGGGTAAGAAAGGGGGAAATGTTCTAAGCAAAGGGAACAGTGTATGCAAAATAGTTTTCCTATGGGTGAAGCTAAGAGATTGAGCAGTGAGTTTGGGGAGATAAACAGGAACCTTTTGAGTCCTTATAAGTGGATGCAATTCTAGGCCAGAACCATTTCTGTTCATAAACATTTCCTAAGCAAACTACCTATGCAAGCTATATGGACATGCATACAGCTGGAGGGTTATATCTCATATGCCTGAGGACATCCATTGCCTTCCAGAGGTATTTTTTTAAGTATTGAAGATATAACCTCAAACAAGACACAGCCTCTTCTCTTAAGGCACCAATGGAATAGAGATGATGACTTCTAAGATTTCCTATAGCTTGGTGGTTTCCTTTTATTAATAAAAACCAATGAGAAAGGACAAAGTACACATTACCTACCAGCCTGGAACAGGAGAGAGACGATATACTTCATTTGTACTCACAAGGTAAGTAACAACTTTCAGAAGCATCCCACAGGGTGGGCGAGGACTTAGGACTTTTCCTGTCTAGTTGGAGGTATAGATCTTAAAAGAGATGGAACATCTTATAGGAAATGTCACCTTTCTCTCCACTTTTGTAAGATAGCAGTGGAAAGGTAAGCCTTCAAGGAGGTTCCAAAATATTGGGGAACTACAAAAAAATGGACGGGTCGTGGCATTAAAACTGCACTCAAGTTCATGAGGATGAGTCAGGGACTTTCAATCTATCCCCAGATAGACTACCTCTGTCCTGTTACAGAGACTCTCAGCTATGTGTGTGTAGAAGAGCATACGTATTAGTCCGTTTTCACGGTGCTGATAAAGACATACCCAAGATTGGGCAATTTGCGAAAGAAAGAGGTTTATTGGACTTATAGTTCCACATGACTGGGGAGGCCTCACAATCATGGTGGAAGGCAAGGAGGAGCAAGTCACATCTTATATGGATGGCAGCGGCAAAGAGAGAGCTTGTGCAGAGAAACTCCCATTTTTAAAACCATCAGATCTTATGAGACCCATTCACTATCATGAGAACAGCACAAGAAAAAGACCTGCCCCCATGATTCAATCATCCCCCACTGGGTCCCTCCCACAACACATGGGAATTATGGGAGCTATAAGGTGAGATTTGGGTGGGGACACAGAGCCAAACTGTATCAGCCTATGTTCAGGGCTAGGATTATCCTGAGAGGTTGAGTGTTGAACACAATATATTTGACCTTCAGAGGGCTCAGGAGTATGGGAAAGTTATCACCTTTCAGCTTACCTGGGCCTACCCTATAGTCAGATAAGAAAGATATGGTCACCCTGAGCTGCATGTCAAAGAACTCCATGGAAATCATTAAAAAAGAAAAGAGAAAAAAAATGCTAAAGTTAATGAAAATTTTAAAACTTATAAAAACTTAGGTTAAAAACTTAAGTTTAAAAAAATTGTAACTTCTTTTAAAGTTAACAAAACTTTTTTTAAAAAACCTTCCAATTTACATTCCAAAAATATGGTTTTAGCACTTACATTTTGTAATTTAAAAAGCTTGCTCTCATGTCTCTACTGAGCTTAAGGTTTTTCTTGGCTATCAAAACAAAGAGGTCTTTTGTTGAAACAATCAGGCGACAGTGTTTTGGTGAAAAGATTATATACAGAATAATGGTATGAAGCTCTATTGTATAAAAAGTAGACTTAAGAGCTTTCCCTGTCTCCAGATACCCTGGGCTTCTTGCAATAATTTGAAATAATGTTGTCCTTCACTTTGTGGGAGCTCTAAACAATTGGGTGCATTCATTATTTTCTAAGAGCTCATAAAGGACACAATGCAGGTGTGACTACACATAATTAAAGGCAGTGTCAACAGCAGTGTATATACTAACTACAGCCTAACCAACCCACTGGGATCAACTGCTTATGGGTGTTCCAAGGATTTTCTCTCTTTTATACCCACCATGATCTAGTGATTCATGGTATATTGTATTGTATACAGGTGGAACTCCTGAAATATTCCTTGAACTGATGTTAGCTGGTCTTTGGCATCTGCATATAATGGACATTACCAGTAATGTCAAAGACGGCACAAATGAAGTCAGTGCAACGAGTGTTTGGCATGAATCTGTGGGCTGGGTAGGCTATAGGGAAGGGAAGGGTCACTGAGTCTCACTCCCAGCAGAGCTGGTAGGAGTCAAAGAAGACAGTCAATGTGATGCTGAGCTGGAAGAAAAGGACTTGCTGGGGCCACATCTCTGTTTAAATCACTTCTGTAGCTACTTTGGATGGGGTTCCTTTTCAGGAGCAAATGCACATTCAGCTGGAGGGTTCTGTCACTCATGGCCCAAAAGTCGGGTCACCTTTTATTCACTGGGAAGCTCATTCCTCACACTCTTCTCAAGATCTTCTGGTCTCACCACAAGAGTCCCAACCTTGCTGAGCCATTCACTTGATGAGAGTGAAGGAGAGAGGATGGGAGCTCTATATGTTGTGCTCATGATTGGAGGAGAAAGTCCACATCCAGGGATGACCATATCAGATGACTCAACCTTGCTTATCTGTTATCCAGTAGAGACCATGATACACTATAAGACAGGAGGCAGAGGTCCTGGGAGTGGACAGGGAACAGCTGAAAAACAGACTGTGGGAAGTCAGAGATGCAGGGATAATAGCAGAAACTCTTTGTCTTTTCTTTTATTGCACTCTCTCCAAATTGCTCCTTTCCAATTCTTCAACATGAGGCCAGGGAGAAGCAAATGCACTTCTTTTAGAAGGTGAAGGGCATGGCCATTACTGGCTGGGTAAATTTGGGGTTTCATCAGTTCATCCAACAGGTTTCATCATCAGCTTTTTTATGTTTTACCCTGCAAATATTCTTAAAAAAAATTTTTTTTTTTGAGACAGAGTCTCACTCTTTCGCCCAGACTGGAGTGCAGTGGTGCGATTTTAGCTTATTGCAACTTCTGCCTCCCAGGTTCAAGCAATTCTCCTGCCTCAGCCTCCTGAGTAGCTGGGACTACAGGCACCTGCCACCACGCCCAGCTAGTTTTTGTATTTTTAGTAGAGATGGGGTTTCACCATGTTGGCCAAGCTGGTCTTGAACTCCTAATCTCAGGTGATCTGCCTGCCTCAGCCTCCCAAAGTGTTGGGATTACAGGCATGAGCCACCATGCCCTGCCATTCCTAAAAATTCTTAAGGCAGACTTGGCAACCTTTTCCTACCAATGCCATGGATCCTTTTCCCATTTCCAAAATCAGTCAGAGGTCACACACAGAATGTTAAACATCATTATTATATTCAGACACAAGACACAGAAAACAAGAAAAGCCAAGTTCTATAGATATAGCAAATAAAAGGATAAATGAGATCTAAATTGTGAGTAGTTAAGAAACTCAGGGGTATTTGTGGCAGGGGAGGAAGGTGATGACGACAGAATCACCGAAAGACAGAAAGATAGAATTTTGAAGAAAAGGATGGAGAGAGGAAGGAGCAGGAGGAAGGATCAGGGACAGCATGTCAGAGATGAGCAAGCCCTGGAGATGCCCGCTGTTCTCCCCAGTGTCTGTCATCAGAACAGTTATCGCCTGCATCATGGCCCTATAAAGTGCTTGCTGATTAATCAGTGACTCATCCCTGTTGCATTGAGTGTCTCTTGCATGACCAAGGATGGCTGGAAGGCAGGCAGGTAAGAGGGAAAGTTAACACGAGGCAGGAAACAATAAGTGAGAAGAGAGAGGTTCAGGCAGCTGGTGCTCCAGGAGTCAAGAGGAAGCCACAGTCACTGGGAACAGGCTGACTTCAATGGGGAATGAATGGCTACTGGCGCCTAGAATTGTGCAAGAACCAGCAAAAGAAACTACCATCAGAGTGAACAGGCAACCTGTAGAATGGGAGAAAATTTTTACAATCTACTCATCTGACAAAGGGCTAATATCCAGAACTTACAATGAACACAAACAAATTTACAAGAAAAAAACAACCTCATCAACAAGTGGGCGAAGGATATGAACAGACACTTCTCAGAAGAAGACATTTATGCAGCCAACAGACACATGAAAAAATGCTGATCATCACTGGCCATCAGAGAAATGCAAATCAAAACCACAATGAGATACAATCTCACACCAGTTAGAATGGCCATCATTAAAAAGTCAGGAAACAACAGGTGCTGGAGAGGATGTGGAGAAATAGGAACACTTTTAACTGTTGGTGGGACTGTAAACTGGTTCAACCATTGTGGAAGACAGTGTGGCAATTCCTCAGGGATCTAGAACTAGAAATACCATTTGACCCAGCCATCCCATTACTGGGTATATACCCAAAGGATTATAAATCATGCTGCTATAAAGACACATGCACACGTATGTTTATTGCCGCACTATTCACAATAGCAAAGACCTGGAACCAACCCAAATGTCCAACAATGATAGACTGGATTAAGAAAATGTGGCATATATACACCATGGAATACTATGCAGCCATAAAAAATGATGAGTTCATGTCCTTTGTAGGGACATGGATGAAGCTGGAAACCATCATTCTGAACAAACTATCTCAAGGACAAAAAACCAAACATCGCATGTTCTCACTTATAGGTGGGAATTGAACAATGAGAACACTTGGACACAGGAAGGGGGACATCACACACCGGGGCCTGTTGTGGGATGGGGGAAGGGGGGAGGGATAGCATTAGGAGATACACCTAATGTAAATGATGAGTTAATGGGTGCAGCACACCAACATGGCACATGTATACATATGTAACAAATCTGCACGTTGTGCACATGTGTGCACATGTACCCTAGAACTTAAAGTATTAAAAAAAAAAAAGAACTGTGCAAGAACAACAACAAAAAAAAACATAGGGCATAAGAGGATTAACCTATCATGAGGTCTAGGGCACAACAAAATAAGAAAAGAACAGCTATACTGTGAACTCTCGATTATTTGGGGGTAATGTGGAGATTATAATAGTAGGAAATGCTACCTACATGGGAGGTGCTATGAGGCTTGGTATAAAAATCCAAGCATAAAAGGAAGTTAGAACAGAGCAGATCTTGGAAAAATCTTCATGAATGAACTGAGCCCTGAGAGCACAAAGCAAACGTGGAAAGGTCAAGGGGAATGTATTCGTGTGGATGAAAAGTTGCTGGCTCTGAAGTGCAGCATTTGGCTTAGAGATCAGACTGTTAGCCTGAGATCCTGGGTGGACACAGTCTCCAATGTCCCTCCCTCCTCCTCTGCCCCTGCACAATTACTGTCTATACTCATCTGTCTCACTGAGAAGGAAAAGAAAAGCTGGGGAGCCCAATTTGCTCCACTTTGGGGGAAGTGAGGAGGTCAGGGGACAATAGACTTTTCCTTCCCCTCTAGAGGTTTACCTTCTAGTCCAGGTTTGATGCCAAATGTTCTGAGCATTCTGGGCTAGTCACCTTCGGCTGCGACTTTGCAACCATTCAAAGAATGTAAGGTTCTAAGGCAGGTCCTATGGAGGCTTTTCAATTTCCCTAGGTCATTGTGACTTCTCTTTTAGTAATTTCTCCCCAGAGCCCAGGTCATAGTAAGACCCAGGGAACAGACCCAGAGAGACACTCATTGAGACATGCATGTATCTGTGCATTTAGAAAACTGAACTTGGCCTTCTTAAGCCTTGTTTTGATTCAATTATCTTCAACGATGCCCATCTGCTGCATTTTGTTTCCTTAGCATGGTCAAGGGAGTTCCTCAGTAACCCCTCACTGTCCACCCTTCTACCCCCTCCTCCATTATTACCCTAGTTGAACACATTGTGACAGCTATCCATCCCCTCAACAAGCCCAAGCTTCCCTGCCCACTGCCACTCCCATTCCCGCATCGTCACATTGCTATTAGAATACTTCCACTCTTTAAGGCAGTCTTAATGTCACTGCTTAACTAGCTATATGACCTTAGGGCAGTTACTTCTCTGTGCTTCCATTTCAAAATAGTAAAATGGAGATAACTGTGTGATAATTGAATGAATGAATACATACAAAGAGCACTTAGCATAGTGCCTGGCATACAGTACATTCTATGAAGGTTCTTGTCTTTTTCTCACCTACGGCTCCCAGCCCATCCACCCTCTGAACACTCAGGTGCTATTTGGAATACAGGTGGTAACTAAACATCTCCAACCAGGATTTACTTTATTTTGCCCTCAGTTATTGTCCCCATTTTATTGTCTATTAGTTTTGAAAGGAATGGGTGTATAGTACTGAGTTTCTTCTCTGCTGTTCCTAATTTACTTATTCAGTGTGAAGTCCTCATGCCAAAAGGAACCCTTGGCTTTTTTTTTTTTTTTAACAGCAGCTTTATTGAGATATAATTCACATTCCATACAATTCATTCATTTAAAGTACACAAGTCAATAGTTTTTAATATAGTTACACCACAATCAATTTTAGGTCCTTTTTTCACCTCCAAGTTAAGTCTCATACCCATTTAAAGTCACTCCCTACTTTCCCATCCTCACTAGCCCTAAGCAACCACCACTAATCTACCTTCCATCGCTACAGATTTGCCTGTTTGGGACATTTCATATAATCCCTGGCTTCTTTAAGAGGCATAATTCTTCTTTAACTCAGCATTCATCTGTTTCATCAAAGTCCCCAGCCCTAGGACCAGGCACATAGTAGGTACCCAATAAATGTTCTGTTGAATGAAAACCAAAGCAGGGGGTTGATCGAGTTAAATATATTTTTTTCACATTTCATCTTTAGACCTTATTGGTCCAAAGCAAGATAGAGAAGTAGGTGAGGAACAAAGGCATTGTGTTTTTCTAAGGTATACAAAAGCTCCATTGAGACTCCTTAAAATGAAATTCTAGTGCAGTGGTTCTCAAACTGGCTGCACCTTAGAGTCACGTGGGGAACAAAAAAATACTGAGGCCTGAGCCCTGCCCCACTGCATACCATATCCAATGTACTGATTTATCTGTGTGGAGCCATGGATTATATCTTTTAAAGTTTCCCCAGTGATTCTATGAGCAGCCAGGGTTCGTTGGGAACTCTTGTTCCAATGGAAACAATCATTCAAAGCAAGAATAATTTGTTGAATTCCAGCCATGCCCAGCATGATACACAGCCAAAGTTTTCAACTCTGTCTTCAGGGAAATGAACCTCAAAATTTTTAAGAAAGCAATAAAAAACAGAATATTCATTTCACAAAAATTTTCTTTATAGCCAACATTACTATTACACTGAGCCATATAAAATTGCTGATATTTGACTGTTTTTGACCTAGAAAAATCAAAATTTCATATCATTCAACCTAATTGAATGCATTTGTTTCATGAAATGAGATACATTTAATATTCAATCTGAATCACTATCTTGTTAATCACCCATTCACCTTCCTTGTGCTTCATGCATTTTTAAAAAAGAATATTTTAAATTTTATTAAATATGTATCTCTAATACAGGATGGAAAATAAATTAGCCATCAAAGGGGGACAAAAATCATGGAAATTCACAACAGATAAAACAAACAGAAACTTTATAGATGACCTCTACATTTTGCCACACATTATTTCTGGAAAGCACGTCATAAAGTAGATTGTCATAAAGCAAGATGTATTTTCCCATAGGAAAAATTTCATGATTAGGGATTCTGTTCCTGTCTAGGCCTCACATAAATCAAAGATACGATCAACAACAGGTCATGAAAGCAAAACTGCGACAGCCATAAACCTTTATAAACCTTCGGCGGCACTACAAACATTTAAAATAATAAACTTATTATTCAAGCACTATAAAATGCCAAAATAATATCCAATCCATTGATCATTATACTGGCATTTAGAAAGGCAACTGAGTACTACCCATCGAAATTCAAAAAGTGTACATTCTTTGATCCACTTCTAGAGATCTTTCCTATAGGAAAACTGGTTTGGCTTCTTTCCTTCTTCCAGAACCAAGTGTAAATGCCTCAGTCTAGACCCACGGCCCTTCACAGTAAGTATCACTACTGAGTGGGCAGTGCCTTGCAGGGGCTCTCTAGCCACCCACTCTTCCAACTCCTTATCCAAGTCCCCATTCCTTCCACCAGCAAGCTGAGGGCTGCCCTAGGCTCTGAGGACAATCCTGTTCCCTGTCAGGAGGAATTTAAGGAGCTTTAGTTCTCTGGTGCAGGCTCCACAATGTCTAGTCAACTGCATTTCTGCTTTCATTCCCATCTCAGGCTGGGAATTTGGCTTCCACCTCCTTTTGTGACCAAAACTGCTGGTGTCTCAGTCCTAGTGAGCCTCGTTGCTTGCCAGGCCCTTTCTTCACTCCACCTCTGCCCGCAAGGGGCTGAATTCCTCCCACTGAATCCCACCCTGCAGCTGGAAGGAACCCTGCTTCCTATTGCCACATTTTTCTGATGCCAAACACCTTTCTGGAAAATAAATGTCTCATGAGTGAGTGAACGAATTTCTAGATTTCTACATACTCCATTGCTGTGTACAACTGAATACCCACTGCCACCTCTTGCTGAGTCTCCCAGGGAGTGGGTATTTGGGATGTATCAGTGCATGATTCTAGAACAGCAGTTCTCAACCAGACGTTATTTTATCACGACCACCCACACCAGGGACATTTGGCAATGTGTGGAGACATTTTTGTTTGTCACAACTGAGGGCATGCTACAGGCATCTTGTGCGTTGAGGCCAATGATGCTGCTAAACATTGTCCAGTGCACAGGGCTGCTCCCACAACTAGCTGAGGTTGAGAAACACTGTTCTAGAGAAATCAAAAGCACTTTCTGCAGCACTACAAACCAAATCAAGCTGAAAATTACCAACAGAGAAGGATGATGCTTCTGTTTTCAGTAAAACACCCTTTTCCCATTCCAATTTTCAAAATTCTTGCTTATTACAGAAAAACTGGAAAATAAAGAAAAGCAAAAGATCACCTGTGATACCACTACCACTGTGTAGTTTTCCATAGTTGTGATGTCATATTACACAACATTTATAATCTGCTTTTCTACATAATGTATTAACCAAGTTTTTCTCCATATTACTATAAAGTTCTTTAGACCTCACTTTCAATTCTATGTGAGATTCCTCCTCATGATTTCACAACAGTGTAAGTAACCATTCTCTTATTACTATTAATTTGTTTCTGGGTTTTCACTATTGTAAAGCTGTTGTGATACACATATTTGTGCATAAAACTTTTTCTGCACATGAGGTTATTTCCTTGACAACCCTTAGAAAAGGTCTATCCTTG
Source organism: Homo sapiens (assembly GCF_000001405.40). Classification (NCBI taxonomy): domain Eukaryota; kingdom Metazoa; phylum Chordata; class Mammalia; order Primates; family Hominidae; genus Homo; species Homo sapiens. The sequence continues at coordinate 94,110,360 of NC_000010.11, read as the reverse complement.
GCCAGGCACGGTGGCTCACAGCTGTAATCCCAGCACTTTGGGAGGCCGAGGCAGGCGGATCACGAGGTCAGGAGATCGAGACCATCCTGGCTAACACGGTGAAACCTCGTCTCTACTAAAAATACAAAAAATTAGCTGGGCGTGGTGGCAGGTGCCTGTAGTCCCAGCTAGTCGGGAGGCTGAGGCAGGAGAATGGCATGAACCCAGGAGGTGGACCTTGCAGTGAGCAGAGATCGCACCACTGCACTCCAGCCTGGGTGACAGAGCGAGACTCCATCTCAAAAAAAAAAAAAAAAAAAAAAGAAAAAAGAAAAAAAGGAAAGGGTCTATCCTCCTGATATCAATTTGAAAGGCAAACGTGATTTGCCAAAGGATTCTAACATCAAAGCCCATGTGAAATGTTCCTCTGAACCCCATCTCTGCACTGGTCTAAAAACATACAACAAATCTGCAACTTCAAGAGTCTTTGTCTGAGGAACATCAAAGGAGCCAGGAAAAAAAAAAAAAACATCCCAGAGCTTTCTGAATAGAGAACATTGCAGTGGATCATGAGAACAAGAATAAAAGTTCTTGTGATTTTTGGCACAGAGAGACAAAACTGCTATGTCTTTAATATGGTAGAATTTGCTGGTTGCAGAGGCAAAATATTTTATGTAGAATACCTTTCTTATAAGCCTAATGCCATTTTCCATTTATTAAGGAAGTTTAGCTTTATTGTATTTAATTTTATTTTTTGGCCATATTTTCTCCTTTGAGACAGAGTCTCGCTCTGTCACCCAGGCTGGAGTACAGTGGCACAATCTTGGCTCACTGCAACCTCTGCCTCCCAGGTTCAAGCGATTCTCCTGCCTCAGCCTCCCAAGTAGCTGGAACTATAGGAACGTGCCACCATGCATGGCGAATTTTTGTATTTTTAGTAAAGATGAAGTTTCACTATGTTGGCCAGGCTGGTCTCGAACTCCTAACCTCAAGTGGGTCACATTTTCTTTTTATCTCAGGTATTTATTTAGATTTTGGGGAATGCAATAAATTTGATAAACATCTTAACAGCTATTTATTGAGATAAGTCCAGAACATTTTGAAACAAAAATAGGTCAAAAATAATATTTTTTTCATTAACATCTAGATAGTATTCTTATGTTTTAGCAGCTGACTACAGTATAACTGCAAAGCAGAAGTTAAACTCTTACCTTCATCCTGCTCCCAGATTCACAGGGAAACCTACAAGTCTGTATAAATCAAAGCAAAGGCCAATATATCTAGATACAAAAACTCAAAAGATGGCAGGAAATGGTAAAAAGAAGTTGGGAATCAGAGGACCTGGGTTTCTGCTTGTCTATATCAACTAGCAAGCCTGCACCTTAGGACAAGTCATTGATATTTCTACATTTCAATTGCAGAAAAGGAAGTCTATCAAATATGAAACGACATATGTGAAGTGCTCTTAAGAGACAAAGTTCTTTTTTAAATGCAGTAACATACAAAGAGGGCTGTTACTGGGTATCACTGTGTATGATGTATTGTGCTTTGTGATGTCACTGCAGGTATAATCAAGGACAGAAAATCAGTATTGATGGGGCAAGCCATGGGACTGGAAGGCAGCAGGCAGATGTCAGGGTTGGGGATTACTGGCTCAGAAGCAGGTATCATAGCAGAAGCCCAAGTCTCTTCCAAGTCACAGGGCTAGGAACCAAGATATCAGCAGGGGAAGCAGGGGGTGGAGGGGGTATAAAAATGACCCAACTACAACCACCAATACTACCATTTACTGAGGCTTCGCCATGCAGCAGGCACCCTGAAAAGTGTTTTGTTTGCATTATCTTAGTCAGTCCTCCTAGCAGCCTGATTAGTAGAAGTTGTTACAGAAACACAGATGAAACCATGGGTTAGAAAGAGGTTGAGTGCTAGAGAATCTTATGGCTGCAAAATGAGTAAGCAGAGACTTCAACCACTGTCTTCTGACTCACAGCCCAAGGGAAAGACCAGGCAAGAGTAGGGGTGAAGTAAGTAGCTCGGTGACAGCACAGAACCTGTGAGCCAGGGCTCAGGCTGAGGCTCCTGGCCTCCCTGACTCTTCCTTCAAAGGCACACAGTAGGCAAGGCACTTGGGGCACTGGCTGCAGGGGAGCTCCCACCTTGCTTGTGATAGGGTGGAATGGGGTTGGGAGGCCTTACCAATGGACTGGGATGTTCTTTCAGAAACAGGAGCAGTTCTTGCTGCTGCACTTGCCTTCTCTCACCTCACCAAGTCCTCACCTCACTGAGGTCAGGGCTGAGCTACAAGGCTGTCAGACTCTAGCTTGTGCTATGGAATTGAGAGAAGCAATGGTGGAGCCTTGGTCCATGAGTAAAATTTCCTCCCGTTGGTTAGATCCACAGTCCATCCAGCCCACGGCTTGTCTGGAATAGTGGAGTCAAACAACTAATGCAATCGTTTGTAGACTTTAAAAAAAATAAATAAATAACAACTTTTTTTTGTCCCTCACAAAGGAAATCTCATGTAGAAGCCCAGAACTTTCAAGAGATAAGAAGTAGAGAGATTCTGGTTTAAAGAGAGATGACAGAAGCCCTGAATGTCCTCTCTTCTGCTCCCCCAGATACCTTCATGGACTACAGGGCTGTACATACGGTTAGACTCCTTGACCTCAATGTGAATGTCTAAAGACTCCAAGCATCCTAACTCCAATTAGAAATCCAGCAGCAATGTATTACCATGCAGTTGTCTAAAACCTTAAAAAAAAAAGCTATTTAAATTGTCCATCTTTTCACACTTTTGGTTACAGAGTCCACTGTTTACTAGCCCCATTTGGAAGTACTACTTACTACCTTTCTCTTGTCCTAAACTCACTCTGCTGTAACTTCATGGGGTATCTTTGTAGTTTTACACTAGAACTATTTATGACTTCAGAAACTTTGCTCACATCCTCCTCCTGTCTTCCAGACAGACCATTCCTAATCTGTTTAGTCTGTTCTCACTGGGGGATTAAATGCAATAATGTATGTAAAGCACCAAGCAAGGGGGGTGGCATGAAGGAGGAGTTCAGCAACGTCTTGCCTTTATCTTCCTTTTTCTCATCTCCGTCATCATTTAAAAGGCTCTTCTCCAGTTTTGCTTTCCTTTGTAACTCTTTGTTCCTTTCTTAATCACACTCACTGCTGTGCCCTAAATAACGGATACCAAATGGGGTCATCTTTAACAACACAGCCAAATACTGAGGCTACAAACATCAACCCAATTGGCACCACATAAAGCGTCGCCACTGCCAGCAACAGTCAGAACTCACTCTTCTCTAGGTAGCCTCCGAGACTCCTTGATGTGAATATTGTATCAAAGAAACTACTATGGTTTTATATAACCAAGGAAGCAGAGGGGAGAGGGGAAGGAGAAAAGGGTGTTGGGGGGGGGAGGGGAGGGGGAGAGAGAGAGAGAGAGAGAGAGAGAGAGAGAAACAAGAGACAACACGAGCACCAGTCAGTTAACAAGGAGGATTTGATATTATGGGGCAGCAGGGGAAGAAAAAATACATTCACTGTGCAAAAAGAGAGGCATAGAGGCATGACAAGCAGAGAATATGAGCTCCCAGAGAGGAGAGGACTGGAACGGTTAAGAAGGAAGCATTCAATTCCCAAATTTGTGTGCAGAGGAAAAGGGAATCATGGCAAACTGCAAGACACTATTTGTGGGAGGATAAATTGGCAAACTGCAAGACACTATTTGTGGGAGGACAGCATTTTGGGGGCCATTTATCAGTATCTATCACAGTTTTAAGTGTGTATACCCCAAGACTCAGCAATCACATTTTTTAGGAATCTGAATTACAGAAATATTTAGCATTACACACATAGATATATAAAGATGCTCACTCCAGCATTGTTCCTAAGGGAAAAATCTTGGGAATAACTGAAGTGTTCATCAACAGGGACTGAAAAAATAAATTATGGTGTGTATCCATACAAGAGTATACTAGGCAACAATGAAAAATAATGTGGCTGTGATATATGTAAGAGATATGTGTAGGAATATTTATGGAAATATCTCAAAAATATAGTAAATTTAAAAGGCATGTTGTAGTATGTATAATTTTGGTTTTAAAATTATGTAAATATACTAGTTAACATAAGAAAAGCATCTGGAAGAATACATATTATCTAAATTCTTTTTGAAGTGGGTGAAAAATTGTTACTTTTTATGTACTTCCAGACTGTTGAAGTTTATAACTAAAAATAAACCAATAGGAAAGCTAGCCATGCCATAGTGGCTACATGCATGGGATGTGAAGCCACACTTCCTGAGTTTGAATCCCAGCTCTGCCTCATCTTAAAAGTGTGATCATAGAGAGGTAACTTAACTTGTGGCTCAATTGCCTTATTTGTAAAATGGTAATAATGATAGTACCAACCTTATAGGTTTGTTGTGTGAATTAAACGAGTTAACACTCATAAAAAGGTGAAAAAAGGCTTGGCATAAACACTCAATAAGTTGAGTATTTATTGGTAAACAATAAATTTTTACCTTAAAAAAGAGCTATTTGGTTGTTTAATTAGCAGAGGACAGAAGGGAGGAAGCGAGCAAAATGGGAAAAGATTAATGCCAGATGATAAAGGGCCTTGACTACCAAGCTAAGAAATGGAGATTAATTTCTTTAGTAGGAAATGAGGAGCCTTTCATTCATTCAACACATATTTATTGAGTGCTTTCAGTGTGCCAACATCATTCTAAATGATTGGGATACATGAGTGGGAGTGAGTGAAGTGGACAATGGCAGCATTTTAGAAAAGGATTAAGGTAATCAACACTACTTTTTGAGAACAATGGGTCTGTGCCTTAAAAGTGTTTTGTGTGTGTGTGTGTGTTTAGGGGAGATGATCAGGACGATGGGGAGGCGCTATCAGTCAATGTATTGTTTGGGTGAGTGGTGATAAGTGCCTAATACACAAAGCGAGTACAGGCCTGAAGCCTGAAGAGATATCTCTGGTCTGAGATAACTGACAGGTGATCCCTGGTGTCTGGGTGTTGACTGAGACTGGAGGGGTCAGGTGGGGAGCTGTGGTGGGCAGGAACACCAGCTTTTCAGAGTTTACCTCAACACTGTCCAACTCAGTTGGCCTAGAGTCAGGCAACCTGGTTTTAAGCCCATGTTCACCACCTTTGATTGGAGGAACCCAGGCAAACTGCACTTCTCTGGGCCTCAGAATCCTTCTATAAAATGAAAGGGTCTCCTCTGATTATTTCCAAGGCCCTCCATCAGCTCAAACATGCTATCATTTTCATGGCATCACAAAGAGGCGAATGAATGGGGCTTCCTTCCTCATTTCCAACTGATTATATTCCAGACTCAAAAGAGAAACGAATAAATAAAACATAGGATTCAGATGTGCAGGATAATATATGAGAAGACTGTTTACATTTGCTTCCTTTTTGAGAAAGCGCATGTTGAATTTTAAGCCAAATGTATGTGTCAAGGTTTGAAAATAGGTTACTCAGATAATTTCATTCCATATGTGCAGCTGCTGTTCTAAAGTATAAACCACACTCGTCTAGTAAAACCATCATCTGTTCTATAAGGAATATGAACATTCATCTGGCCCTTATTTTTAGAGTGAGAGGTCAAATGCACAAGAGGTGAACTGTACTTGAGTCCACCGTGCCAGATGCAGATGGGGGACTGAAGGCCAAATATAAATCGTAATATCTGAATTTGTGGGTATTTCAATTAGATGGCTTAGAAGATCAAAAGAAATAAATCCTGGAATATCAAAGTGGCAAACAGAAGCCGCAAAAGGCCATCATTCATTTGGTTCATTCATTCAACAAATCACTCTCACAAAATCAATCATCAAAATAAACAGGCTCTGACTCATTTCCCATTGCTTATTGTAGTTAGGTTTCTTTTTCTCCCCAGGGTCATGGGATACATGAACTTCAGGCTTAATCTCTGTGTGAGAAAAACAGCATGAAGATAATCAACTCTATGTCAGAAGAAATTGGCAACACTACTAACCACGAGTAATGCACACCGAAGGCAAGCTACCTGAGCCCTGATCCCCCACCTGCCACTCTAGCGATGTGATTTTGGGCCAGTTAATTAGCTCCTTTCTGCCTCACTTTCCCCTTCATAGGGTTGTGAAGAGGACGTTACTATTTGTACACTGTTTTGAGCAGTGCCTGCTGTACAGTAAGGACCATATATGTGTTTATAAAATAAATCTTAGTTGCTATAGGCAACACCACGCAGCTGAGAGTGGCCGCACATTGACTCTCTTAAAGAACACTTCCTCTCTTGCTCATCCTACTCAGCTCATAAAAGTTCCAGGGAAAATCATACATTGGACAAGACAAGGATCAGCTGTTCTTCATTTTTACTTAGGAAGGCTAAGAGGAATTTACACTGAAAAACCTCCTGCAAGGATGGCTGAAATCAAAATGACATTTCTCTTTAAAAAGGAGATAGTTTGTTGGTAGACCCGAAATGAGAATGTCCTGGCCTGGTGCCTACTAGCCTTGAAGTCTGTAATTTCAAATGACTTTGCTTGAGTTATTCGAACCCATTTTATTCTTAGCTGTTTTGGTGTGTGAGTTGCACTGTGTGTGCATGTGCATGCACACACACCGTGTGGGTAAGGATAGAAGGAGGCAAGATGCTTGAGTTTGCTTCATTTTAGCTCAACACTTAGAATTGCCTACAGCAAATTTCTTTCTTCCTTTTTTTTATTATACTTTAAGTTCTGGGGTACATGTGCAGAACATGCAGTTTTCTTACATAGGTACACACGTGCCATGGTGGTTTGTACAGCAAATTTCTTGAGCCTCAATTACTGAAACTGAAACATAGCACTGATGTTAATCTAAAAGAAGAGAAGGATCTTGACAAATGGTCTTTTGCGTGCTTTTTTTCTGGATCAAGAACTATTATTCAAAGTGGCTGGGATAATCTGTTTTTACAATGATTGCTCTCTTGAAGGCCAGAGGGCTGCTGCCACTCCCCTGGCTTAGATGCTTTCTCAGGGTGTCTGGTAGCATCAGTAATTAACAGCACAAACACTGGAGTCAGGCCCAAGGTTCAAGCCCTAGCTTTGCCATTTATCTTGTAAAAATAAGCCTCAGTTTGCCTATCTGTAAAATGGTGATAATGACAGTAACAGTATCTGTCTTATCAGGTGGTTGTGAGGAATAAGTGGAAGACTCAGAAACTCAGCATGACACCTGACAGTCAGCGCCTAATAAACAGTAGATTCATAGTAACAGCTGTTCTTGTCCCCAGGTGCCCCAGTGAAATTTTTGGTATATCTATCTTTAGATTGTGATGGGCAGTTTATTAGTTAGTTTTTATATTGGCTTTTAAAATCTCCAGCAAGAACTCTTTTAAAACATGCCATCTGCCTCCTCCACTGTTTTTCTTCTTTGTATTTTTAAAAAATTTCAAAACAAACCAAACTATTTTAAACTATGCCTGAGTGGTTACCTATTATTCATCAGAAGAGATTCCAGGGCTTTTTGTAGACGGATTTCACATTGGGATGCTTTGGTCAAAGAGCCGCCTGTCCCATTCTGTCTTCCTGCTGGATAGCCCCTGGGAATGGGTGGGCTTCTCATAAGACCCGTCGTGGCACCAGGATGAGGAGATGGGAGTGCAGCCCAGGGCTGGGGTGTGGAGGATGCAGACAGGATAGCCATGGGAGAGGCGCTGGCATGAGTTCTGGCCTAGGCCTCTCTGATAACCAGCTGTGTGACCTTGGTCAGGTCACTCAAACACACTGGAATGTATTGTCTTCACGTGTGACATGAGTTGCCTAGCAATGGGCAAAGCCAAGAAGACAATCCACCCAGGAGGCAGATGGCAGACACATTGTTCACCTTCACTAGTTATCAACAAAATGCAAAAGGGGACAAAGGTATCATTTTAATATTTATTAAAGTAAAAACTGAAAAACAATAATACTCAATGTTGCTTATGTTTTACATTACCATGAGCACAGCATTGGTGCAACTGCTTGGGATTGGAAAACACAACTTAGACTATGTCTCTCTCGTGAAAGAGAAATTGGTACACTTGGGTGTGGTTCCTCATCTCTGCAATTCACTAGTTTGAAGGCTCAATGTTTCTGAAGCTCACTGGAATATGGGGCAAAATGGGGATTAAAAACAATGCCCCCTAGACAGGTTGTTGTGAGGTCTGTGAATAATGTAGATAATGGGCATAGCCTAATGCTTGGCATAGAACAGATGCTTATTGTTGCTACTGATGTGACAATGCTGATGCCTGATTCAATGCATCTGGCTCATGTTATAATGCCAAGGAGAAAAAACCCATTTGCCCCCCTTTCTCAGATTCCCTGTCAGAATCTCACTTCTCAATAGGCTGAGCAGAGACCTGCCCATCTGCAGCCCCACTCATCCGAGTGGTTCTGACCCATAGCCCCTGTGGTCCCCAGGCAACTCTGGGTACATGTCCTGGGTACATGTCTCCTATCACATGCCCACCACCGCACAAGAGATGCCAGTTCTGCCCAGCCCAGGTGGCATTCACTCAGCTCTACAAATGGCCTTCCGGGCCAGACCCCTTCAGCGCCTCCACACAGAGCAGGGGGCAACATCCTTCCCGTGCCCACAACCTCTGCCTCCAAAGGCAAGCCAGCCCCTCCAAAGAGCTCAGGCTCTCTGACTCACTCCTGCTGCCACCATCACTCCGGCACATCTTCCTGTGCCAGCCACTGGCCCTGTATTTACCGAGTAGCTCACCCCATGGACAGGAGGTCACCTGTGTCACTTGTTTTCAAATGCCCACTTGCTTCTCAGGGGGGTTTTCTCCTCTTCCTCACGTCTCTCCTTTGATTCATTTCTTGTTTGTTGGTAACTCAAGCCCAGTGTAGACTAGAATTGCCATAAATTCTTTATCTACTCAATATCAAAGATGTCTCTTCTTAAATGCTTCTTTGAATTATTTCTCAATACCAGGTTCTGTCTCTGTTTCCATTTTGCAACCTAATAAGGACTGAAATCTGTTTTCAGTATTACTTTATTTTTTTTTCCTCAGCTTTAAAAATATTTTCAGAGAGCCAAAGAGCTGAGGAACTGAAAGGACTTCATTAAGTCCTCATTTCATTCATGAGAACACCGAAGCCCCGAGGGGTGAGCCATGTGCTGTGCACACAGGGGTGAGGTGCGCAGGTGAGGCTAGGAAGTACCCTTCTAGCGCCTTGCTGTCTCATGCCCCATTTCCTCATAAGCCTCACGCTGCCTCGGCAGGGCTTCTGACAAACAATGACCATATTTCCTCTGTGGAGAGCTCTGAGGGGCCTGTGGATCTGCAGAAATAGCTCCCCACAGGGGTCCCAAATCCATCATGGACTCACTCCTCTCTCTCACTTCTAGGCTTCTGTAAATGCTGTTCCCTCTTTGTGGTAACTACAGCTAAGTCACACTCCATCTCTAAATGCTTCCTGGAGGAAGCCCCATCTGAGCCTCCAATTCCAGACAGGGAACCCTCCCCTGTGGCCCCTGCAGAAACTTGTATGCCCTCCGGAGCTGGTATTGCTCACCAGTCTTCCAACAGGCCATTCCTGTTGCATCCATCTTCCATAGTGGTCTGCATACAGTATGAGGAAGAGCAGACACAATTAACTCACACCAAAGTGTTAGTGACTTGAAAATCTCTCTTATCTGCAGGAGGACCCGGGGAAGAACCAAGAGAAGACAAGAACTGAAGTTCTTCCATTCCCACCTCTGCATCACCTTCCCTGCTTTCTCTTTCCCCAGAAGAGACTCAGTCAACATCCCAAAGACCAATGATTTCATTGTTTTACACCAAATATCCCTCCTCTAAATTTTTCAAGAAATTGGGAATAAACTTCTTACGCAAGAAAATTTGGGGAGCAAAAGCAAGTAACCAGCCTAGATGAGCACATCCAACCTCTCTCCTCTTGATTCTCACATGTATTACCCAGGGTCCTGTTTCTGCAGAAAGGAGGGAACCCTTGAGAACATTTTCACTATGTCACTTTAGCAGCCTAACTCTGTGGTACCCCTGATTTAGGGAGGGTGAGGGGGTGGTGAAGACTGCAACCCCAATAGAAGCAGGGAAGGTGACATAGAGGTGAGAATGGAAGGACTTCAGTTCTTGGCTTCTCTTGGTTTCTGCCCTGGGTCTTTCTGGCACTATCTTTCCCTAAAGTATTTCATCTAATTCCTCAAACATCCCTGGATAGCCTATATCATAAAGTCCTTTATGATCTCTGTTTTACCTGGAAAGAAAGTGAGATGCAAAGAAGTTTAGTAACTTGCTGAGACCACAGAACCAGACAGAGGTTGTGCTGAGACCCACCCAGAGCACCAGGCTCTTCATCACAACCTCTTTTTGTAATTTCCCACACAGTCTTCTTAATGGCATCAGGGGTGCACATGTGTGTTCTCCCTGACCATTAAACCCTCACTGGCATTAACTGGACAAATAGGAAGTTTAAAGAGGGTATTTAACACCCCATTCATCTAGTCTCCCTGCCTGAGCTGCTCCCCCATCCTAGAATGTGCTTTTATCTCCTGTGATAACCAAAGACCCACTGGATCCTCCCTGCCCCCTCTCTCACCATAAGGGCCTCAATGCAAGTTAATGTCTCCATTTTCCACATTCCTATTATGTTTATAGATGGTTCTGTACAATTTCATGTTTTACAGACTTGTTCAACCATTGATATAATAACAACCATGAAAACAAATACTTTTGAGCATTTGTTATCTGTTGAGTAGGTTTTGTCTTAATTTCCATGATAATTCCATAAAGTTGATATGATAGCTCCCTCCTTATAAACAAGAATACTGAACCTTGACATATGTGTTCGAGAGAAATAATATATCTTGGCAGTTTAAAGTTTGAGCTTTGACTTTGTCTGGGTTTAAATCCTAATTCACTAAGTAGGTAAATGTATGCAAACTGCTTCTCTAAGCCTCAGTTTTGTGATCTGTAAAACAGGGTTGCTGAGAGGCCTAAAATGAGGTAATGTGTATGAAGTACTGAGCACAGGACTGGCATGGAGTAAAGTGCCCATTGACTGCAGGCACTTAATATCAGAAGGAAGCAGGGTTTAAAGTCTAACTCCAGGGCCCATGATGCCTGCTTTTCATATAATCCTGAAGTAGGCAGAGTTTTTCCTCGCTATTTTAAAGAAGAGGAATTAGGTTCAGAAATATAAAGTGACTTGTTCACCAACACCCAGCTGTTAAGAGTCAAGGTTGGGGTTTGAGCCAAGTGTAGCTTTACTTGACTTCCCAACACTGAGCTGCCTATGTTAATCTGTTAGTTTCATGCAATCTTCTTTCTTCCAAATTCGTGATAAGCTCCTTGGAGCCAAGCAAAGGCACTTCCACTTTGCCTGCATTTCCCAGATGGCCTGGCACAGCCTCACACGTGCTGTGCTCTCAATATACCTCTAGTAAAGAAAATCCTTGCTGCCCTTGCACAGCCTGGCACTCAGCTCCCTAGAACCACGAGGAGTATCAGCTATGGAGGACTGAGAATCCTAAAACAGAAGGAATACAAGATAGGTCATTGCAGAATTACCTAACAATTTTATGCCTGTTGTATTCGTAAGAAGTAAGCCTCAAACAGTAACTCAAGGTGTTCCAAAGAAAGCTGAATGTCGTACAGGTCCATAGCCACAGATTCTTCAGTAAGTAAAGAGTGTATATAAAGAGAGAATAAAAAGAGATAATCTATTAGAGATGAAAAGATTCACAAGACATATCAGTCAAATGTAATATTTGGACCTCATCTGATTCCTGTTCCAAAAACCAAATATTAAAAGCCATTTTAAAGACAATCAGGGAAGTCTGAATATAGGCTTGTCATTAAATCATAATTCGGAAATATTTATTTAGGTATGATAATATTGCAGTTCTCTTTTTTATGAAGTCTCTATTTATTAAAAATATACTAAGAAGTATTTATGCATGAAGTGATATAAAATCTAGGATTTAAATACTCCAGCAAGGTAGAGGGGAAATACTCCTGAGGGGAGATTGATAAAACAATATTGGCAATGTTTATAAATGTTGAAGCTAGGTGATGGGTAAAGAGGGGGTCATTATACTATTCTCTGTATTTCTGTGTTTGTTTAAAATTTTACACAGTAAGTTTTTGTTAAAAAAGGAAGGAATGGTGAATCCCCAGCAATCTTCCATTTTGTTCTGCAACTACTTGTCTTCCACGAGAGTTCAGTCTCCTTGACGACATGAAAAGTCATTCTCTTCCTAAGGGTCCTAAATGTACTTATCCAAGTGAGGGCTAAGCAGCTGTTGTGAGGACAGCTCACCTGGACCATTCTCCAGTCCCTTCCAAATCAGGCTACTTCAGACTGACCTTGTCACTTTCCCCAAATATCCACACTGTCTCCATAATCTCATCTCTGTCGCCTGTCCACTGCTGTAGGTCAGAAACCTCAGCACCACCTTTGTCTCTTTCCTCTCCTTCAACCCCTAGGCCAGGCAGCCAATGCTACTTTGGAGCATGACTCAGATGACACATTTCCTCTCCATTCTGACTGCCCCAGCTCTGGCTAAAGGCTCAGCACCACATACTTGGACGATGGCAGCAGGCTCCTGCTGGGTTCCCTTATTTTGACATTTTTCCTTTCTGTGCAAATAGCTGAACTTTCCAAAATACTAGACCACCAAGCTTAATGCTTTTACTTGGAATCACCCATTTTGAAACCCATTTGTTACATCCCTGTCTCAAATAGGCCTCTCAGGAGTTCTCATGGTTAAGCTCCGCCTTACTACCTTTCATAGCTCACTGGATACCTTCCTTAATCATTTCAGAATAAGTCTGGTCACAGCTAGACTGGAAGCTCAAAGGGAAGGAGGCTTGTCTGTCTACTCTACATCCTGGCACTTAGCATCATGCTTGGCACACTGTTGTGGGTGCACAGTAAATATTGGTTGGATAAAGGAATAGATTTATTAATGAATAAATTCTGTGAAAAAAATCATTTTTTCCCCCTTGATGTGTGCCTGTGTGGTGCTTTCTTCAGCACAGGTCCTAATCTTTTCAACACAGCATACCTCCAGTGCATGATGACCAAATCTTTAAGAGCCTCTGGAGGGAGACATAATCTCCCTACAAAGATAATTTTCAAGTAAAATCTAAATAAAAGATATTCTAGGGTTTCCCTTCTCCCATACACACAGTGTAAACAAACCTCTATTTATAGGTCAAGTAGCCTTAGCTTTAGCTCTGACTACACATGAACTTGGTCTACCCATCCATGTCTCTGGTCCTCAGTTTCATCATCAGTTAAAGGAGAGGGGTAGTTGGGTAATCAGTGTGATCCTTTCAGTTATAAACTTCTTGGTACTTTCTTTCATAGAAGCCACAATACCTTGTGCCCAAAATGTCATTATTACCTAAGTATAGAAAGTTTCCCTTTATTACAATTCCAATTGCTAGCCTCATGAGGAAGTCAGACTCGCTGATATGAATGTTTCTCTCTAGAACTCACCTTCTTATGGAGTCACCTTCATCCCTCTGCTCAGCAAACATGTCTCTCCTATAAGCAAATTCAATAAGGAATTTTTCCCCTTTATTGTTGACACAGTATCTCTTTACGATGGTAAGTTGTGCATCTTTTCAGCCTGTCTTCATAACCATCATGTGATTTCGTGCCCAGGGCAATCAGTTGAGACAATCAGGTAGGGTTTATGGTTGGTGATATGGTTTGGTTGTGTCCCCACTCAAATCTGGGGATTTAATTTCTATAATCCCCACATGTCTTGGGAGGGACCTGGTGGGAGGTAATTGAATCACGGGGGCAGTCACCTTCATGCTGTTCTCATGATAGTGAGTGATTTCTCACGAGATCTGATGGTTTTATAAAGGGCTTTTCCCCCTTTTTCTTGGTACTTCTCCTTGCTGCGACCAGGTGAAGGACATGTTTGCTTCCTCTTCTGCTATGATTAAGTTTCATGAGGCCTCCCCAGCCCTTCAGAACCGTGAGTCAATTAAATCTCTTTCCTTTATAAATTACCCAGTCTTCAGTATGTCTTTATTAGCAGGGTGAGAATGGACTAATACAGCTGGTTTATCATTTTGCAAAACAATCTGTTAGATAAGCAACAGATTTATTTGTTGCTTCGTCTTGAGTGTGTTAGCAAGTGGAAGGTAGAGGTACCTAGTCTCCATATTTTCTAAATCCTGGTTCTGGAATCTTTAACATCATTCCATACTGCCCTAGGAACAGGCAGTGGGACAGCTGTGAGGGTAAGGAGAACTGGGGTCCTTGCTTTTGAAGCCATCTCAGCAATCTGGGAATGGGCAATGAAGTCACGGCCCAAATAAGGATGTATGTAGATCACAAGAAGCCCCCAATAACAGCTGAAGATGACAGCCTCCCTCAACTCCAGATCTGCCTTGTAGCCTGAAGACCCCTGATGATATTGTCCTAATGGCCTGGGAGCTGGGCCACAAAAAGGCCCACTGGCCTGGATAGTTCCTCCAAACACAGAAGTAGAAGGAACATGGGCTTCAGGGTCTGACAAAGGGCTCAAATCCCACCTGTACCCCTTAATAGCTGTATAAAATCAGGCCTGGTCCTCATCTGTAAAGTGAGGAAGACACCACCCATTAAGGGTTTTCTGGGAGTATTAAGGGAAATAGCTTACTTGAAGTGGCTAGTATGGTGCTAGGCTTTAATTTTCTTTTCCCCTACCTTTTAGTGCCTCTCTCTCCTCTCCCATGCGGCCCTGTGGCTGGTGACACACAGCAAGTGCTGAATGTCAATCATTGTTATTAAGAAATTTCCAGCCTGGGAAACATAATGAAACCTCATTTCTACAAAAATTACAAAAATTAGCCAGGTGCAGTGGTGCATGCCTGTAGTCCCTGCTACTCAGGAGGCTGAGGTGAGAGGATCGCTTGAACCTGGGAGGTGGAGGTTACAGTGAGCCAAGATTGTGCCACTGCACTCCAGCCTGGGTGACAGAGAGAGATCCTGTCTCAAAACCGAAACCAAAGCAAAACAATTGAAAGAAAGAAAGAAAGAAAGAAAGAAATTGAAAGGCCCCTGAGGGACAAGGGGATCAAGGAGCCAATAGGAAAAGGCATGCTGCAGAGGGGATCCTACGATGTGAAGACACAAAGTGCATCTTTCTTGAATGTGCCTGTCATTGCATGAGTCCCGAGGCTGACCCAGTATGTGGCCAACGGGTCTTTGCTGGCAGAAATACAGACCAGTCTCTCTCTAGAAAGGAGCCAGCTATAAAGAAAATAGAGGGAAAAGGGAGGTATTTTAAGGATGATTACAATGTATTCTTTGCTAAACAGTTGCCAAAATGGTCTGCAGTTACCAGCAGTTGGAAACAGTTTGTGGAGTAGCCATGTAAGAAAAGAAGTTTTTTTGCTAATAAGTTTTTAATCTTGGTCAAATGAACTTAGATTTAGCTAATCAAAAATAGGCATTGGAGTTGAAAGGGGCAGTTAATTTAGTGAGAATTCTACTTCTATGGAATTAGATATCGATTTCCTCCCCTTTTGCACCCGAGACCACTAAGCCTAAGGATCTCTAAACCAGCATCACTCCTCATCTAGTGGCAGCTACGTGCATGAGCACAGCCTCTGAAAGCATGCTGTCAGATGCCGGGTGTGAAACTCTGGCACTTGGGATTGATAAGGCTGGCACCAAAAGGAGCGTCCACCACTGGTAAGAGTAGTTACCCATGACTGACCCAGGGTTTCCTCCCTCTGGTCTCCATGTCTAATCATTCCCTTCCTTGACTGTCCTCTTCCAACTTTCATGTGAGGGCTACTCACCCTGCAGATGTCTTGCAGGATATGACTTCCTCTAGGCAGTCTTCCTTCACCTCCAGGTCTGCATTAGGAAGCCCTGCTATGAACTCCCATAATGGCCTATTCTTTCTCCATTCATGCACCTGTCATACTCTCCCACAGTGGTTCTCAAACAGAGGCAATTTTGCCTCTAGGAAATAATTGGATGTCAACCTAGTGTCTAGGTTGAGGAACTCTGCTCTACTGTAATTGTTTACTGTTTCTCTCTAACACGGTGGCTGTCTTGTTCATATTTGTATACCTCGTACAATGCCTGGTACATTCTAGGAGCTCAAAAGAAATACCGAGGCCGGGCGCGGTGGCTCACGCCTGTAATCCCAGCACTTTGGGAGGCCGAGGCGGGCGGATCACGAGGTCAGGAGATCGAGACCATCCCGGCTAAAACGGTGAAACCCCGTCTCTACTAAAAATACAAAAAATTAGCCGGGCGTAGTGGCGGGCGCCTGTAGTCCCAGCTACTTGGGAGGCTGAGGCAGGAGAATGGCGTGAACCCGGGAGGCGGAGCTTGCAGTGAGCCGAGATCCCGCCACTGCACTCCAGCCTGGGCGACAGAGCGAGACTCCGTCTCAAAAAAAAAAAAAAAAAAAAAAAAAGAAATACCGATTAAATGACTGAATGACCTTCATCTCCACTCCACATCTCTGGTTTACTGCTAGCTTTTGACCCTGACAAACCCTGTACTTGGCTCTCTGTCTTACCCAGCACAAATCCTGTCTTCCCAGACCACCATCACTATTCTACTCTGCGACACAGAGTGCAGGTCATGAGTGATAGAAAACTAGGGCCACCTGCAGTAAAGCAGAGAACAGAGCACCTGGGCTGCAGACCTAGGCAGAGTCAAGACCATAAGAAATGGAAGAAGGCCTGAGATAAATGGGAGCAGGGCCAGACCACCAGGCAAATTGGGCAGTGGGACTGTGCAGCTAGGAACTCAAAAGCTGATTAGTTTTCAAATCCTTCACATGGCATTTATTTAATTAATGGACACTGACTGTCTGTTTCTGAGGCTGCAGGATTCTTTTCCCCCTTTAGTGAAGTAACATTGTATGATGAATACTTTCTTGCAACTGAGTCACTGCCTATTTGTTTCTTTGTGCTTTTGCTACTGAGTTCACATGAATTATGATAAGCTTATTTTACATGATTGTAAGGGGCTGGTAATTCTCAGCAATTTCAAGAATGAAACGTTCACAAAGACTTTCAAAACAGTGACATGACATGGTTTGGGAATTCAAAATCACAGTTATTGAAAACATTATTTGATTTATTATATTTTACATTTTACATACAGATTATAATTTATGTTTAAATAATGTACTGCAGGGAGATGGAGCTGGGCAATTTTACCAGGCAACCAAGGTTTAGGGGGCTGCTAGACTTTCAAAAGTAAAAATGAGTTGCTTTTAACAACAGCTCCATGATTTCACCCTTGAATTCCTTTAGAACTCTTGGATGAAGGCCAACCTGTCCCTGTGATTTATCCATATCCAGTTTGTCAACTCAGTCTAGAACATTCTGTTCATTTACTACTTTTTGATCTAGTACCTCTGCTTCTAAAGATGATTTTGATATATTTTTCTGAAAAGACCAAGGCAAATAATTTATTGTGTCTGCTGGCTCCCTTTTCTATCGCCCAAGGAGTATTCTGAGCATCTGCAAAGGTTCTGCTGGATCTTTGCCTGGTTCCTTCACTTTGATTCCTATAAAAGTCTCTCTTATTTTTGCTTTAATGTCAGTTTCTTATAGAATGCTCCTTAAATTATGTGTGAACCTTTTTACTGGGCTTTCTAGGTGGGTTTCTCTGGTTTTCCAACTGAACTTCCTATTTTTTTCAAAGATGTCTCTTCCTTATTGAAGTCTCTTCCTTATCTTTGCCTTGCTCCTTCACTTCGATTCCTATAAAAGTCTCTCTTATTTTTGCTTTAATGTCAGTTTCTTATAGAATGCTCCTTAAATTATGTGAACTTTTTTACTGGGCTTTCTAGGTGGGTTTCTCTGGTTTTCCAACTGAACTTCCTATTTTTTCAAAGATGTCCCTTCCTTATGAAGGAATATGCTCTTCCTTGAGCAATTCTCTTTGCACTGTATCTGTAAATAATAATTATGATCCCAACCTCCAGAGCTATAAGGGCAAAATAAATTAAGGAACATAAAGGATTTCACACAATACCTGCCACAAAGAAAGTGTTTAGCGTCGGTTGTTTCTTCTTACTTTATTGGACAAAGAAGGTGGGGTAGGGAAAAAAACCTAGTTCTTCTCACCCGTGCCTCTCAAAATGATTTTTTGAATCCTGTCATATTTTGTGTTTCTGAAAAGGTGTTTGGCAGTTAACCTTTTTTAAAAAAAATTCATTGACAAGATTCTTGAGGTTTATTGACTATTTTTCATAATTACTATTCATGCTTTTAAAATTCTCGTCAGGTATACATTATCTTGGTTTTCCGTTCCTTGCATCAGACCGTTAATCTTACATTTCTTAGGGTTATTAAATTACAGTGGCTCACACACAGACACCTCCCTGTACCTTCTATGGTATTTCTTTTTCTTTTCTGCTATAAAATCATTAGCACAGGAAATGATCATTTGTCCTAGTTCATTCCAGGGAGGTATTTTGCCAATCTACAAGTGAATAAACACTCTCATTATTGCTAATTGGCCTGATTTTTTTTTAGCTTGGCCAGTCCTATTCCAGTTTCCAGCTCAATCTCATTATCCTTGTCAGGTGGCCCATAACCCCCTTCTATTGCTATATTTTCCATTAACTATTGACTATTTCCCTATTTCCACCCACTGGGCCTCTCCTGATGGCATTTTTATGCTGAAGCTCCTTGGATTTCTTCACTACTCTAATACTCTGTTTCATGACCCTGGCTTCTTACTCTTCATTGCCAACTATCTCAAGAGCATTTTCAATTCCTAAGAAACTCAACAGTCTTTTTTTCTTTATACCCCTGTCTCCTGCTGTCACTAGAATCCTCAAATTCCACCTGTCTCTTAGGTACTGTAGACTATAGTTATATAATGAACTATAGTTATCTTTCTCTCCCCTCTCAATCTACTCCTCACACCCCAAAGAGCCTCAGAAGCTGTGTTGTAACCAACTCTGCAGGTGTTGCTTAGGCATACGAAAGTTTGAAAAGCACAGATCTAAAGCATTGTTTACTGCTGAGGGAAGAACTGAGTGTTAAGATGCCATGGAGGAGGCTTTTCATTGTTTACCCTTTTTGTACTGTTTGAATTTTTTTCAACCATGCACATGTCTTACCATTTTAATAGAAATAAAAAGACCAAACAAGTAAAACCTTCATCAAGATCACATTAAGAAGGAAAAGATAATCCATGGCGACTGTTCCCAGATGTTTCTGGCAATTGTTCCTCAATTGTTTACCTGAACAATTTTCCCTCTCTCCAAAATGACAGATAAGGAGAAAAAAGACAGAATGAGGATAATGTAATACACTGACAAAAAATTATATATATATTTTTTGGTCTTCTGAAAACATTTGAGGAAAAGCATTTGTAACAATAGCTTGTCTAGATTCCTCTAAAATAGAATGGACACAGCACAATTAAGAGTCTGCATGTTTTAACTCTTGGAATGATTTTCTTTTCCTAAAGATTACAGCTATTCTCACACCTTCTCAAATTGAGGCTCAAGCCAACCTTACTATTAGCCATCCCACTAAAAGAAAATACAATGGTTAAAATGCTAGATTAAAGTAACACAAAACGCAAGAGACTGCTGCCAGTCTGTTTCCAAAAAGAAAAACAGGACGACATAGGCTGAAAGGGCTCACCGAACAAAAACAAGAAGAACCACTGAGTGCATAGACCTCGTCCCACTCAACCAAAGCTGGAGAGTCACAGTCCCCTACATCTAATGAAAACATTTGATTTCCAATAAATTAAAGTGATCAGGAGTCCCTGCATCTATCCATCTACCACAAAGACCACAGACATTCACTTCTACCAAGACACCCCGCACCTTCCATAAGGAAGGAGAGATGCCAAATGCCCCCTTTCCACACAACTTTGGACAGGAAAAATGAGCCTGCGTCAGGACACGGACACAATTTCTCATGTTATTTTTCTGAGGGTTGTTATCCATCTCTCAGGGTTGTAGAAGGAATGAACACTTAATTGAAATTTTTAACCCTAACACTCATAAAACATCATATGCTCTTGAAAAGGATTATGGAAATTCGCAGATAGAATTATGTGAGCCATTTCAAGAGTAGTCTTCATAGCTTGAATTCCTTAAACACAGTACTTTGGGATGAAGTTAGCCAAATACAGAGAAACAAAACAGTTTTCAAGTTTTATTCTGGGTTATTTTTAACTCCTTTTTTTTTTTAAGAAAAGCAACAGAATTTGGAAATGAGTTGGTGGTGAGCAGAAAACTACTCCTTTCAATGACCTCTTCTTCAGCTAATCTTATCAAAGGTCTAATATCCTTTTAATGTTTATAAGTAAATGACCACTCAGATAAACTGCATTACCTTTCCCAAAACTATGGACATTTACACTGAAAATTTTTTAAAAAGCATATTTGAAACACCAAAAAACATGTAGCTCATTTTAATCAGGGATGCTATCAAATGTTTGCATTTAACTCCTGAGTATAGTTTTTTCCTCTTAGAAAAAAAACTATAACTACTTCAGGATATTCCTTACTAGTATTATAATCACAAAAGCCAAAAGGTAAAAAAGAAAGCAACAAACCAAATCTGCAAAAAGAAGAGCAATTTATTCAAAAGCGAGTATCCTGAAGAATATAAGTGAGACGTTTTCATCACATTAAATGTTGATACATAATATACCATAGGCCATTGCAAAAGGAATGAAAACAAACATCTAATAAACTCTCAGGATACCTATCGAGATCTTGTAGATTAACATGCAAAAAAAATCTCAAAGCTGAATTGCACAGCAAGAAAAATAATTTGTATCTCTATAGTTAAACATTTTAGGTTAAAACATTTTAGAAACTTTCTTAACAAGGAAAGAAACTTCTCTGATCTTCTTTGTAAAATGTCTCAGAGGAATTGTATTTTGGCTAACACTGCACAATGGTGCTAGTAAAGAAACAGTCCCCAGGATTCCATGCATTAAGAACACTGGGGGATTTCTTAGACAACAAGAACCCTTACCTGGTCTTCTTTAAGCCTCCAGCATCCACATCCATCCTTTAACAAGGTAAAATTGGGTACCTCAGAGAGCGGGAAGAGCCAACCAACCTTCAAGACAGCTGAGAGCGTGCAAAGCCACAGCTGACAGCCTGCTTCCCTCTCCTGGGGCTCTCTGCCTAAGAGGCTGCACAGAAACCAAGCCTGGTGCCAAATCTTAATCCCTTTGCAGAATCTCACGTGGAGCTGCCTCACCTCTTCCATTCCTGCAAAGTCTCTTCCTGCTGCACTTCCTTCTGAAACCATTAATCACCACGACCCACTGAATGAAGCCCAATCTCAAATCACAGTGAAAAATCCTGCAACGTGCAGGGTGATGAGTGTTTACATTAGCTGAAATGAAATGATGTAATACCCAGAATCGAGGGAGGGCTGCGATCCAGAGTCAGGGCATTGCAAAAACCTCTGTGAAACATAACTTTTCTACATTACAAAAAAATGTCCTTGCGTTTTAGTAATCTGGCTTCTGTAAATTTAGGATTACTTGGATTTTTCTGATCTCATCAATTTGTTTTCCAAATAGAAATTCAGAACTTCCCAATTACTCACTGTTTTAGTCAAGTTTAAAAAAAAGGGTAGCAAATAGAACCCAAAGTGTATACATGTGCAAAGAACCCAGTATCAAGGGAATAATAATAGAAGGCAGCCATCCAGGTATGTGGGCACCTGCCATGCTGCAGAATAGCAGAGCCTCCCAAGGGTCTAAGTGCCTTCAAAGTAAAGACAACTCCTAAGAAAGACAGTATTTGTTTAAGCCAGTGGCCAATTTTTCTTCCTATAACTGATGATGAACAAGAAAACCCAGGAGTTCCTAGCCCTATTATTGATGGGCAACTGCTATTGATTACTTTAGGATCTTGTGGTCCATGGTTGGGGTGAAACAGGAGATGTGAGAGGTCATGTTTGTGAAGGGAGGGGTAAAAGTCTGTCAACAGCACCTGCTTGGAAGAGAGACCTGGTAAGGCTTCATTGCAGATTAGAGGTTAGCTTGAGACTAGTGGAGATGCCAGAGGCAGAATATTTGGTTTGGATGTATTACTGATCATAATAGTAAATTTTAAGAAGTGTTTATCCTGTGCCAGGCAATGTGTAAGCACTTTCATGCATT
This sequence comes from Homo sapiens, assembly GCF_000001405.40. Lineage (NCBI taxonomy): Eukaryota > Metazoa > Chordata > Mammalia > Primates > Hominidae > Homo > Homo sapiens. Next base: position 94,088,232 of record NC_000010.11, on the reverse strand, counting down.
ATCTCATTTAACCTTCACAACAACCCTATAGGGTGGATTCCATTATTGTTCCTATGCTACAGGTGAAGAAGGTGAAGCTCAGAGAGATCAAGTAGTGGTAAGCTATTAGGTAATGGTACCAGGTTTGTCAGCATGCTTCCTAACCACCAGTTTGTATTGCTTATGCCAGCTTTGTGAGCTACACAACCACAGCAGCATGCTCAACACCCTGCAGAGGGACAAAGTGTTGCTGCAAAAGGGTGTGCAAAGCATGTGCTGTGGCTCCCCAAGTGCATATCCTAAATTCTTGGCTACCATTGTCCAGAAGTGCCAGTATCCGAGCTCCTGGCCTAAATGCAAGGCCCTTGCAAGGAAGGTGGCACCTCCAAATGTAGGGGTAAGTATCAAACGTCACATGAAAAGAGCTCTGGCCTGGCCCAGTTCTGTCATGAACCAATGACTTTAGTCAGTCCACTTCCCTTTTTGAATCTCATTAATATTAGGAGGTTGGGGACAGGCATGGTGGCTCATGCCTGTAATCCCAACACTTTGGGAGGACGAAGTGGGAGGATGGCTTGAGGTCAGGAGTTCAAGGCCTTCCTGGGCAACATGGTAAGACCCCTCCCCCACCACCTCTACAAACATTAAAATTAGCTGGGCATGGTGGTGTGCGCCTGTAGTCTCCGCTACTTGACAGGCTGAGGTAGGAGGATAACTTGAGCCCAGGAGTTTGAGGTTACAGCTGTGATCACACCACTGCACTCCAGCCTGGATGTCAGAGCAAGACCCTCTCTCTACAAAAGAAAAAGAAAATTAGGAGGTTGGACTTAGATGGGCTCTAGGGTTCCTTGCAGAATACATTTTCTATGATAAATGATTTTTCTTTTTTTTTTTTTTTTTTTTTGAGACAGGGTCTCGCTCTGTCATCCAAGCTGGAGTGCAGTGGCGTGATCACAGCTCACTGCAGCCTCGATCTCCCAGGCTCAAGTGATTTTCCCACCTCAGCCTCCTGAGTAGCTAGGACCACAGGTGCAAGCCACCACACCTGGCTAATTTTTTAAAAAACTTTATAGCAACAGGGTCTCACTATGTTTCCCAGGCTGGTCTCGAACTCCTGGGCTCAAGTAATCCTCATGCCTTGGCCTCCCAAAGGGCTGGGATTACAGGCATGAGCCACTGTGTTTGGCCAGCAAATGATTTTAAATAATGTGACTTCTGGGTGAGTTATTTTTTTTTAATCAGAATTTATGCATCCAAACAAGAATTCGCTCCAATATTACAAGAATACTAATCACCTCCATTTAGGCACTGTGCTTAGGGCACTATGTGAATATTCCACTTGTCCTTATAATAGCCCCAGTAAGGCAAGTATTATTATCTCTATTCCACAGATGAGGAAATGAAGGATCTGAGGGAATGAATGATTTGCATAGGGCCACACAGCTGGTCAAGGGGACAAATAGGGACTGGAGGCAGACCTGTGAGATTCCAGAGCCCACTGGGCTGCCCATCATTCCAACAGTGCTCCTGTTACTCAGAGCAATCCTGAGACACCTCTTGGATTCCTTTCAATTCAACCCATACATTCAATTATAATAAATACACATTTTGAACATGTGCTCCGTGCTGGGCACTGCAGAGAGTGTAGACATATGGGCCTATCCTCCAAGACCCCCACCCTAGTGGGGAAAACACAGGCAGAAGGAGGTAATTCAGCTGCAAGAGAGATTGGACAGTGTTACAACAGAGATATAAAGGACAATGGGAGCTTAGGCAAGTGAGAAATTGCTTCAAAATTATCCAAATTACTGCTAATATGCTCAGTGGTCATAAATATCCATCTTTAAAGGGTGGATGTAATTTTGGCTTACAAGCAAATCAGAGCCAAGACTAGAAAATAAAATGGGTCGTCAAGCTGGGCAATACCATTTTTGGTCACAAGCTGGGTGTGGCCGTAAAATAAAAGTGAGATAGATTTTACTGTGTGACCCAAATCAGTTCTAAAGGCAATTCCTAAAGGGCAGCTCCAAAAATGTTTTGAGCAATGATACCATCTCCAGATTAAAGAGCTACCCAAAGAGATTCCAAAAGACAAAGCTTCCCCAGCACAGCACTTAACCACACCAGAAGTCACTGCCTGCAGAATAATCACATGCCTGCCTGCTCACTGTGAGCTCCCAATCAGCAGGTCCCCAACGAGCTTGCTTGCTGCCATGCCCCCAGGATCTGGCATTGTACTGGGCACAGGGGATGGCTCAACAAATATTTGTTGACTGAGAGATATTTTGAACATGCAAATTCTCGATTATTTGTTTTTTAAAATTGTATTATTATTTGGCCACATCTAGACATCTGCATATTGACTGTGGGCACATTGCCAGTTGAGCACAATGGCCAAATGAAGACTATACTTACCCAGTCTGTCTTCCAGGCCAGGCCCTGGATGATCAGCCTGCTCGTGACAGGCTACTACAGTTTCCCATCCTGCCCCTGCTAGTGGCCGTTCTGGCATTCAGTGCTAAGAGAAGTAAGTGCAGAGCACTGAATATTCCATGGGAACTATTTAGGACTCATGGTCAGATGGGCTGACTAGTTCCCCCTTTAGTGCCAGCCCTGGAAGTCAGGCAACCGCTGGGGAATGTTTCTACAAACTCATCAGGTGTAGGCAGGGTGCCTCAATGGACATGTGGAACACCCTGCAGCCCAGCTGGCCTCCTAACAGTCCTGTCTGCAGGAACTCGGGATGACTCCTCCAAGCACAGCTCTACCCCCAAACACATTCCAAAATATGGACTGCCTCTGAGACGCCACAGATTCCTCAAGTCAGTACCGGAGTTCAGAGTAGATCTCAGGATAGTCAGAAGCCAGAGAGGGTTTTCCTGCCTTCTGTGGTCATCAATTCTCCCCTCCTCCTCCTTGTCTTTTTCTTGGTTGTTTGACTTTGGTTAGCTTACTAATTAGCCACATAAACAAGCCAGTACCAGATGGGGCAAAGCCTCTCTACCACTAGGACCCCCAAAGCCAAAGAATTTTGCAGGGTCTAATGTCCCCCCAAATCCTGCCTGTCCTCATGTTTAAATAAATACAATAATAGTACCCCCAAACACAAGATTGTTGAATGAGAAAATATACATAAACTACTTAGAACAGTGACTGGTCCAGAGTAGGTCCTTTATACATTTTATTTGTTATTGTTGTTGTAATTTCATACTCACTAGGGGCAGAGAAGGAGCCAGCTGACAGTGAGGAGGGGTATTCATTCATTTCTGCATTTATTTACTATGTCATTCTGCATGGGTGATTTTTCCTGTTTAATGCCACAAATGGATTTGATGTGGCTTCTCCATTAAAGTACATAAAATTAAACAGCAACATACAGTTTTAAGATAGATTTTGAGACCTGACTTGTTTGAAGGAAGCCGCAATTGCTGGTCACTGCATTTAGCTCTGAGATTCTTGGCAAATGAAACAATAACAGAAATACCCTGAGGTGTATCATTGGCATTGTCCAATCAGAAACAGTGTGAAGATTTAAGCAGCAAGAGAAATTTTTCCCTGGCTCCAAATTTTAAGAGGAATTTAAAGCTGGGATGTATGGACACCAGACAAGATAAAAGACAAAGCCACCTCTTGACTCACATGAAAGATGCGGAGACATCTTTCCAATGGCCCAGACTTACAAGGGCCCTGAGGGCTCACATTAAACTGTAGCTCAAGACAAGCGTTTATGGTTTCACAGAATGTCGGCACAGGAAGGGCCTCTTAGTCCAGCGCCCTGGTTTTACAGAAGAGGAATAGGTGGCCGGGGATGGGGGCCTGAAGAGGCAGACTAAAGAGGACCAGACTCAGCTTCCAGTCCAGTTCTTCCCTACCCCAAACTCTTGCCCTCTCCCCTCATTTCTTCCACCAACAAAAAGAAGCTTCCCTCAGGCCCTTCCTTAGGGGAAACGGCAAAGCTATGGCAGCCCCTTTCACACTGTGGGAATCCCTTTTCTTTAAACTTGGTCAAAAATAAATTTGAAAAATATTTAAATTTTCAAAGTCCAGACTGGAGAGCTTCCAGGTGGCTTTAGGAGGCTTGGCTGCACAGAGCCATTCTCAGTCTAAACTGCTGGCAGCTACTGCTGGTTGTCGAAGCGCACTCCTTACTCCAAAGTCCAACTTTAAAGGATTGTATGTTTTAGCAGCTACCATTCTTAAAAGCTTTCTAAGCACCCCATGGTGCTAAGTGCCCTATGTGATAGCCTCCTTTAATCCTCCCAATAATACTATGTGGAAGGTTCTATTATTAAGCCAGGACTTGAACCGTGTCCACTGAGTCTGGAGTCCAAGATCTTAACTACAAACTCTCAGTTACCTTTACAGAATGAAAGTCTTTGCTAGGCAAGAAAAAAGTCGGCCAATCATTACTGGCAACAGGCCCCTGTTGAAGCAATAAATTTTCCGAGGCCAACACTTGGCAAATGTCATTCAGACTGTACTTGGTTATCCTGAAGTTCTGAGGGACTCTCTGGAAAGATGATCTTAAAATTAGGATAATTCTTTAATTGTGGCATACTGAGCACAACATCAAAATGAAGCCTCCAAAGTCCAAGCACACACTATACCTAACAGGAAAAATACTTCTAGCAAATCAGAGGAAACTGCTGTTGGCTATCTTTAGGCCAGAAATGAGAGGGGCTGCACAGCAGGGCAAATGGATGTCTGGGTGCAGGTTCTGGTCTATCACATGCTAGTGTGGAACCCTGGGCAAATGGCTTATCTTCCCTAGCCCTCAGTTTCCTCTTCTGTAAAAGGAGATGGTAACAGTGCCTCCTTTATAGAGTTGTTTAGGGAACTGTTAAGCATATGTTGTGGGCCCCAAAAAAATGGGCTGATGAAAACGACCGACACCTTTATACATCAGAATACAGATTAATTATTGGAATCAGTAATCTTAAGGGTCTTTAATTAGGTACTGCTAAACATTTGAGGCAGTGTATTTTTCACATACACCCTGATGTTATTTTATCCAATACACACCTTTCCAATTCACAAAGCAATTACGGAACATATGTTATGGGCTCACCTTAATTCCTAACAGCACCCTTTATTGGCAACATTCAGATTCTTGACCAAGAATCTGATGCAATGCAAACAGAGAATGCAAACTCCAATTCTCTGTGATTCCTTCTTATCAGGAGCTTGGTTGCAAAAAGAAATAATCATAGAGAATTGCCAAAACTATGTTCACCTTAAATATTCCTCTTAAAATTTTAAATTACACCTTTTGATCAAGTCAGATCATCAGAAAGCCATATACCTAAAAATCTCTGTATTTTTGCTTCACATAGAATTGCTTTTAATGAATTTGTTCAAATGTTTGCCATTGGTTTTTCTACAATGTCCTGTAGTTTTCAGTGGATAAGTCTTGCATCTTTTTTGATAAATTTACTCCTAATTATTTTATTGCTTGGATGATATTATAAGTGGAACTTTTAGAAATTTTATTTCCAGATGGTTCATTGCTAATGTATGGAAAAAATTATTAATTTTTGTGTATTGATCTTGTATCCACCCATTGGCTTTCATTGACAGAAATTACAAATAACATTCATTCATTCAAAAATACATTATGAGCACCTACTATGTCTCAGGCACTGTGCTGGGCTCTGATATATGATGAAGAACACACCCCTCAAGGAGCTTGAGGTAAAGTAGAGGGGAATGTAGTCACATGAGGTGCACTCCCACCACTGAGAAGATGCTGTAAGCGCTGTCCCTGTGATTGCACAGGGCCCCTCCCTGGGGACCAAAGCACAAGCTTCTCTCCAGTCCCGGGAGCAGGAAAAGCTGAGTATCCCCCTAGCAACCATTCTATTTTCATCTCGTGCCCACTGTGAATTGTAGAGCTGGATAGGTTTTCTTTGCTTCAGTTGCTAGGAAGCTTAGGATTATGTGGTGGCCAAACTCTAGCCAATGACACTAAGGCAATAATTATTTTCTGTTTTACCATATTATTTCTCTTTGTCCTAATTTTCTCATCTTCTTATTTCACCTTGTTTTAGGTCGATCTTTGTAAGGTGCCTCAGCTTTTTCATGGAGAGAGGCTGGGAAGGAAGGCATTGCAGTTACTTGTTAATTCCTCAGAATGTTAATTTACTATGAAGATCTACTCCCTATAGCTGAAGTTCCACTGAGATGTGATTATATTACCTGAGTGAATGCTTATATTATCTGGAATAAGAACTGTTTCATACTTATAAGGTTCTTTAATCTACTCTTGGCAGGTCTAAATTAAACAAAGTCTATTAGTTTTCTTCAGACACACTGGAAGTGCTTCTCTGGCATCACTTCAATAAAATTTCATGCCTGCACAAGCAGGCAAGGTGGAAAGGGATACCTTTCCCCCAAGTCATCTGAGACCAAGAGGCAGTATAGGCAGTTGGACTCTGAAGTTACTGGGACTGGGGTTTGACCCCAGACTCTGTTAATTACCTCCTAGCTGTATGATTCTGGAAAGGTTACTTAACTACTCTAAGCTTCAGTCACTTCATCTATAAAGCTGATACAGACCTACATTATTGATTATTAGTGTAATCAAGTTAAGTAAGGTTTAGCAAATGCCTGAGGACATGTCTATTTAATATCATACTAGAGGTACTAGGCAGTGTAATAAGACATGAAAAACAAGCCAGTGGTATAAAGATAGCAAAGGAAGAAATATACTCAACTGCATACTGCAGCTTGGTTAAAATAGATTTCTACCTAATTACAAAAATAAATTCCAAATGAATGAAAGGTTAAAATGTAACAAACAAAACATTTAAAACATTTTGATGAGAATACCTTCACAATCTCAGCATAAGGATTTCCTAAAATATAAAAAGCAGAAATCATGAAGAAAAATGTTCATTAGATCACAAAGAAATTTAAAATTTCTACACAACACATGATAATATAAACAAAACTAAATGAAAAGTTATGGATTAGAAGTTGGTATTTGTAACACATATTACAGGCAACAGAATAATCCAAATATACAGAGATCTTTACAAACCAAGAAGAAAAATAAATAGAAAAATGGCAAATAGGTAAAATGGAAAAAGATATAAACATGTAATTCATAGAAGCAGCCCAGGTAGCCAATAAACATTAAAAATGCTCAACTTTACTAGAAATCAGTTAAATATTTAAAAAAACAAGATTGAGATAACATTTTCCTCCCATAATCTAGCCAAAATGTCAAGTTTCCTATTTACTTTCATTTGAGGTGTTCCAACAATTCATGTGGCAATTGTCCACACAGTGGTTAGCTCTGAGGGGAGAGGAGAGAGTAGGAGCTTCAACTGTTTCTGTAACATTTTATTTCTTTGAAGCAAATACTGCAAATGTTTCCACCTGCAAGTCTGGGCAGTGGTACATGGCTATTTGTCATAAGCTCCTTGTGCTTTCCCAGTATTCTTGAAATATCCATAATAAATAAACACAAGCAAACAAACTATCTCTAAAACAACCTGTTGATATTAAGAAACAACAGAATACAGAAGTGCCTGGATAACTCTGTTTTTGAGAGTGCAGGCTGGGCCTACAATGGAAACAGTGTAAAGGCTGGTGAAGGGGGCCAGTGAAAAGGACAGGTGAATGATGTGAGGAAACACACATATTTCAGTAAGAATGTAGGTCTGGAAAATAAAGTCTAAAAGCAGAGAAGCTGACTCGGAATCCAGAGAAGTACAGGCCTCATTTGTTCATTCACTGCACAAATAGTCATTGCACTGAAATGAAACATTTTACTTGGTCCCTGGGCTAATAGCATGTCCAATCTCATGGTAGAGACTGACTCATGAAAGAATCACAACTAATAGCTGATCTTAGCTAGGAGAAGGGGTGTGGTGGTCTAGGAAGGCTTCCCTGAGAACATAAACTGAAGTTAACAACCAGGTAAAAAGAGGCTGGTAGCTAGGAGAGTGTGTCCCAGACAGAGGGACTAGCACATACAAAGGGCCTGAGGCAGAGAGGAGTTTGGACCTGTGAGGTGTTCATGCAGAATCTAAAGACATCTCAAGGTTCAGGGGTGCTGTGAGAATGGGCATTTAAATGAGGGACTAAGGGGAGTGTACTTAGGTCTTTCTCAAAGACCAAAGTACCAGAGAGAACTCATCAAAGGTGAAGGACGATGGGTAAAAGGCTGAAAGACAGCTGAAAGTAACAATAAAAACCTAGCAAGCCAAGAAATAACAGGAGTAGTTAACTGTCCTGCACACAGTTCATACCCTGGGATTCCCCATCACAATAGTAAAATCAGCTATAAACTTGAAATGTTAAAACAAATCGGTAGATTGAGTTGCAGAGGACACAGTGGAGAAGGAACATTGGAAACTCCTCCAAGGAAGGAATAGGAAAGTTCCTTGCATATGCTTTTTGGAGAAACCTCGAGAGCTAGGAGGCAGCAAAGGGAATCATGTCAGCAACAGCTAAAAAACCAACCTAGAAGCATCCTTCCTGGACTCTACCCCAGGCTAAGCCTGTCACATAAAAAAATTCAGAAGTCAGAAATTCCAGTTGGCTTAGGGCAAGAATTTTTCCTGAGGGTTCTTGAACTGGCTCTGCTATAAAGAATAGAAGATAATATGTTTTTAAATTTTTTATGTTAAATTAAATTTCTTTTTTTAAATTATACTTTAAGTTCTGGGATACATGTGCAGAACGTACAGTTTTGTTACATAGGTATACACGTGCCATGGTGGTTTGCTGCACCCAACAACACGTCATCTACATTAGGTATTTCTCCTAATGCTATCCCTCCCCTCGCTCCCCACCCCACGACAGGCCCTGGTGTGTGATGTTCCCCTCCCCTTTCATAATGAAAACCGACATCTTGGGATTAAACCAAAAGAAATAAATATAACTCAATGCTTTTCCCTAATTTCATGTCAATTCCAGGCTCCAGAGAGGACATTAATGTTTTCTCATTTCAAATAATGCTTAGTTCTTTGGTGGGAGAGCTTCGTGACCTCAGATTTGCTCCAATGCTTTCTCTTAATGTTGTGATGAAAATATCCACTTGACTCAAGTGACATTTTCCTATTTGCCATCAAGTCCAAGTGTAGCCCCTTGAGAGAAAAAGCAACTTGGGGCTATTTTTTTTCTCAAAAATTTTGTAACGGCTACCAATTACAATTTAATTAATTTAATTACAGTTTAATAGAAATATTAAAACTCTGTCCACATTGGGGAAAGTGAATTCTAATTACACCGTGGAGGGATGTAGCACCTACAGCTGCAGATTTGGGTTCTGCCTCTTCCCAGATGTTACTTTGCACACATCCTCAACTTCCAGAAGCCCATTCCCTGCAGATAAACTAAGACAAAAAGACTACCTCCTAGAGGTATTGTTGTGGAGGTCAGATTTGGTAATGTTTGCTAAGCATGAAACAGAGCAAGCATGCAAAATGTTGTAGCTATTGCCAATCTTTTAAAGAATGAGCAGGCCACACATGGTGGCTCACGCCTGTAATCCCAGCACTTTGGGAGGCCAAGGTGGGTGGTTCATGAGGTCAGGAGTTCAAGACCAGCCTGGCCAAGATGGTGAAACTCGTCTCTGCTAAAAATACAAAAATTATCCGGGCATGGTGGTGGGTGCCTGTCATCCCAGCTACTTGGGAGGCTGAGGCAGAGAATTGCTTGAACCTGGGAGGGGAGGTTGCAGTGAGTTGAGATCGCACCACTGCATTCCAGCCTAGGTGACAGAGCGAGACTCTGTCTCAAAAAAAAAAAATGAGCAAAAAGTGATTTTCAAGACCATGCTTCATGTTTTCTGAGGGGCTAATTTGTACGGAAAAGCACAAGGCAAGAATTGCGACCTGAAAACATGCAATTTTTCTTCATAGGACTAAAATCACCTTTAAAAGGGGGTTATAGATGCTGAAAACAAAATCACTGAAGTCACCACAACCTGCTCATTTCAACATATAAGAATTATTAAGGACTAAATGCTGCACATCACTATAATATTAAATTCCCGAGGCTGCCATTCTAATGCAAACAAATCTATCAGATGGCAATGTTTGCCAAAAAGCTGAAAGAGCTTTAGAATTCAATTCAGATATTTTTAAAAAGTCAATAAGGTGCCATATTATGTAACTACATCATCAGAGACTGAGACAGTAACCCATAATCAAATAAAGATTTCTGCAACAGATGTCTAAATATTCACATTAAATGTAATAAATAAAGACTAGCCTCACACAAGTTCAACTAAGGTTTTGCCACCAAATCCTGTGTTTGCTGTGAATTTTTAAACTTTGTTTTTAGGTCTTTTGCTTTTTGGAACAGCAAATTAGGGATTCTGGGTGTAAAAGAGTACTTTTTACTTTTAAAATAAAGTCCCTATCCTCAGATATTTTAATTTTGTATCTTTATCTCGCAGAAACAAAATCTCAAAGTGCACAAAGATGTAAACCAATATTTATTCCAACACTGTTTTTTTGTTTGTTTGTTTTTTTGAAACAGTGTCTTGCTCTGTCACCCAGGCTGGAGTGCAGTGGCACAATCATAGTTCACTGTAGCCTTGACTCCTGGGCTCAAGTGATCCTCCCGCCTCAGCCTCCGGAGTAGCTAGTACTACAGATGCATGCCATCATGCCCGGCTAATTTATTTATTTATATTTTTTTGGCAGACTTGGGGTCTCACTATGTTGCCTGGACTGGTCTCAAACTGCTAGCCTTAAGCGATTCTCTCACCTTGGCCTCCCAAAGGTCTGGGATTACAGGTGAGATGAGTTGGAAACAACCTTAAGTGACTGCCAGTAGGAAAACATTAACATAGGATGAGAAATTCACACTATAGAATTCAGTGCACCATTGCAAAGAATGAGGTTACCTAGCAAAGGGTTTCTCAACCTCAGTACTAAATATTAGGGGCTGGATAATGCTTTGTGAGGTGCTGTCCTGTGCCTTGTAGAATATTTAGCAACATCTCTGGCCACTACCCATTAGATGCCAGTAGCATCCCGTCACCCCAGTTGTTGACAACTGAAAATGTCTCCAGACATTGCCAAGTGTCACCTCGGGGGCCAAACTGCCCCCAACTGGGAAACACCAGAGCGAATCACATTCATAGGCAGCCCTGATACACTCATAAGTGCACAAAGCAAAGAACAACACTTGTTACATAATGCCTGTTTTATTTCGATGAGATATATAATTGTTTATGTTATAGAAAAAGTCTGGATAGGTATGCAAAAAACAGTTAATACAATGAGAAAGTGAGGGAACTGTGGGTGGGAGGCTTTCCTCTTGTACTTTATCCACTTATGTGCTGTTTCAGCTTGGTAGATTTTAATTTCAGAAATGCAGTTTCTGAAAATAAACATGATACACAACTTCACAGTAAAGACAAAGGTTTAAACGGGTGGGACGGGAGGAGTCTTGTAAAAGGATGTGTGGTCAGGATAGGAAAAGCCCCCCTCAAGGTGGGTGTCCAGCAGAGCTCATGGGACACCCACGGCTGCCAGCAGCTGCTTCCAGCACCCTGGCCTTCTAGGAGGCTGAAATCATTATCTGACCATCAGACTGGAAGTATTCCAGTCTGCAGAATAACAGTCCTCCAACTGTACACTCCAAAATTCTCCTGAGGTTTTTTATTTTTTTCCTTCATGGCAGAAATTAAAGGAATCCTGCCAGGATTCAGCTGAAAGAGCAAGTGCTGAAAGATTCAGTTCTATTTCCACCTACTGGTAGGAAAAAAGACAACCATGCACAGCTCAGAAAAGGCGGCACAACCTCCAATGCTCCATTCACACTGACCCCTCCAACCCTGGAAGACCTTTGTCCTCTGAACTTGTACTGCAACAAAGCAACATCTCAGAAATCACCTGACAGTAATGTAAGTGTAACTAGATTCAAAACATCTTGAGGTGTCAATCAAATCAACCAGGGTACAGTTTTTATAACATCTGTCTTTACTCTAAGCCAGGAATTCTCTCAAGAAAACAGATAATAACCTCCTACTAAACACTCTTCTCTCTAATAAGGATATCCCGTACCCCTTTTATTTATTTAGCTCTTTTATGAGGCTCTCTAGAGCTACCGCAGAAGCAGCTTAGCATGGAGGTAACACACACACACACACACACACGCACGCACACACACACAAACACACACACAGGGCCAATGGTCAAAAAGACTTGAATTTGGGTCTCAGACTTTTCCATTGACTAGGATTTGGCCTTGAGCACATCACTTAACCTCTCCAAGGTGCCATTTCCTCTCCTGTAAAGTAGGCATCCTAATGGTAACACCTCACAGGGCTGTTGTCAGGATTAAATGAACTCATGTATTCAGCATGGTACTTGATGCATAGGAAATAAGCATTAGCTGTTTTTATTACACAATAATTCCACTGACTTCCACCCATTTTCCATCTGAAAAACTGAGGCAAAGGGTGATACTCAAGAGCAAGGAAACTCTGAACAGCAGAACGCATTCTGAATGTGACCCAGGTCATGCTGCAGGTCTCCCCAAACTCCCTGCCTTTCCCAGTTCACTCAGGAAGAGGATATCATCTGTTGTCATAACAGAAGTGCCAGCATACTTGTCTCATGACATACATATTTCCAGTCAGATGATCCAAATATTCCCTTCATTCAAACAAAGGTAGCCTCAGCTCAAAACAGCTAGACACCGATACCAATGCTTTCACCCAATGTCACTTTTACTGTAAAGAACAGAATGCCAGCAGTTTAGTCAGTAGAAGTCAGCAGTAGAATTCAATCTTTCAATGTGAATGACTCCCTAAATCCACATTTACAAATTTGTCACCTAATTTTACACCAATTATGTGTTCTCAAGTAAACCAACATGGACATTAACATGTTCAAACAAAATTAAAATTCTACTAGCCCAATATTTTTTCAATGTCTTATTGATGTCAATCATTTGGAAAGGATGCATCTGCCACCTACTTCGTATTAGATGGAGGGGAGAAGAAGGTGACAAGGCACGTGCTGCCCTCAAGGAGCTCCCAGTCTAGCTGGGGACATGGGCACATCCCTGACTAACTAGCCATTCTGCTAAAGGTGCAAAAACAAAGCACTACAGAACCGAGAGGAGAGAGAAACTAATTGTGATGGTGAATGTGGGGATTCCAGAAAGATCTCACAGAAAGATAATTCCTGTGTTAGTTCTTGAAAGATAATAATTAGGCCAAGAAGAGAAGGGGAAGAAGGCAGGCAGAGAAAGGAATCCACAAAGACAAGAACAGAACCCCAGGCACTTGAAATCCTACTGACATTGTAGAAAACATTATGTGTAGACCCACATTTACAAGGCATAAATTGTCCAGTTGAGGAGAGGACTATAATTGATTGATATGGCTGTCTCACTTAATATTATACAAGTTATTCTTTAAAAAATCAATACTAAGCCCTGGAAAATGGATCAATGCAAAATTGGGATCTGAGGAAATAAAGCAATTAATATCATTAGTAACTAGACCAATGACACCTTTTAAAAGGAAATATATTTAAGCATTAGTTAAGTGGGTTTTGGTTTATCACTATGAAATCTATGTTCTGGCAAGATAGTATCGTAAAGCATTTGAGTAATTATATTAATGTTGTTCTAAATGGCTGTTTACATTTTGGACTTAATAAAGATACTCATAAAGCAGTTCCATTTAGAGATAAAAATCACCAGATTTACTAAACTCAGGACATGAATAGAAAATGGATTTCACATTGCATGCCAACTCTGATCAACTGGTAGAACTGTTTGGGATGGGCCCTGTGTTATGGCTCACACCTATGGTCCAACCACTTTGGAGGATAGCTTGAGCTCAGGAGTTTGAGACCAGCCTGGGCAACATAGGGAGACCCTGTCTCTACAAAAAATAAAAATGAAAAATAGAAATTAGCCAGGTGTGGTGGTGTACATCTGTGGTCCCAGCTACTCAGGAGGCTGATGTTGGGAGTATCACTTGAGCTCAGGAGTTCGAAGCTGCAGTGATCCATGTTTGAGCCACTGCACTCCAGCCTGGCTACAGAGGGAGACTCTGTCTACAAGAAAAAAAAAAAAAAAAAAAAGAACTGCTTGGTATGATACATTATGAAAAAAATTTTAGGCCCTGTCTGAACTTGAAACTGACCCAGTTTTCCCATAGAAATGATATTTATGGGTCACTGAATAAACATAAAAATTGGCCCTCCATCTTAACACTTGAAACTTGTATTTGTCTTAACTGAGTGCCTTCCTCAGGAACTGACCCTCAGACAAGGGACTGAAACTCAATAGATCACCACAACCAGACAGTGAGATATCAAATCCCTCATTGATCATGATTAATTCCCTAATTCCTGTTTTCCCGCCTTCTGTGCTATATAAACACCCTAATTTTTGTCAGTCCAGGAGCTGGATTTGAAACCTCATCTCCCATCTCCTTGGTTGCAGCACCGATTAAAGCCTTCTTCCCTGGCAATGCTTGCTGACTTGGTGATTGGCATTCTGTGTGGGGAGCAGTAGGACCTAAACCAAACCTCTGGTGTTTTGGTAACAAATTCATGAAAAACAAGTGTCATGATTAGTAGCATCTGCCATGGGTGCAGTGGGCTGGAGGTAGCACATGTGCCCAGTATTGCCATTCCTGACTTAAAACCCTAAAGTGGAAGGGAAGAGGAAATGAACTAAATTGATCGATTGGCTTCTATTTATTGAATCATAAAATGCTGTCTTCTCCATACTGGTTTTAACTGTCTTCTCTCAATTCTGCTTCCGTATCTTCACCCTTCCACCTGGAATATTTCCCTGTCTGACCTCCTTCTACAGACCCCTCTAGGTCTAACTCAAGCCCCACTTTCCATGAAGCCATTCCTGACAATTTCCAGTCCTCACTGAGCACCATATAACTTTAGACATAACATTTAGAAGTTTATAAAGTAAGTTGGTTACTTGGAATTCAAAACATGTTTGCTCATGGAAAAGGTAATATAAATGCTGATTAGTATACTATGCTAGTCTATAAAAATCTAAGTAATGACATGGGGAAAAACAATGTATGTGCCAGAATGTTCATTTAAAAAGAAACGATCATGAACTGCCTGGGGTTGGTGGGTGGGGTGGTGGGGGGAGCAGTTACACTCCTAGAAAATGCTGGAAGTTTGGGGTGGGAAACTGGATATGGAAGGATGAAGACAGGAGCCAGGATAACTGGTGTGCCCTGGGGTAGGAAGTGGGGGGCAGAGAGGGAAAGAAAACACCCTGTGCTCCCTGACAAAAGAGGCTCTGCAGCTGGAAATGCTAGAGGAGGGGCCCAAGCTGCTACTGAGAGGGAAGGTGTACACCCTCTCCCCCATCAGCACCATGGGCTCTTCAGCGATCTCCACATTGCTCACCAGTGCATCTGTGTGGGTGAGTAGACACTTCTGGTGAGAGCTCAAAGAGGAAGGCCACCTGGTGACATTGGGTCAGACTCATCTAACCCTCTTCATTACATAAGAAATGAAGACAGAAAACTCTTATTGAAATTCTAGGGATGAAACATAACAAAAAATAAGTAAGTATCACTATTGATGCTTGAAAATAAACTGGTCTATTTGTAGGAGAATAAAGAAATAAATGACAATTTGAAAGAGACATTCTGAAGAGTTCCTATGCTTTCGTCTGTATAGGTCACAAAGTCAAATATCTATAGGAGCCAAGCAAATAAAAGAAATGGGTAGCCTGTAATCCCAGCACTTTGGGAGGCCAAGGCAGGCAGATCACAAGGTCAGGAGATTGAGACCATCCTGGCTAACATGGTGAAATCCCGTCTCTATTAAAAATACAAAAAACTTAGCCAGGCATGGTGGCGGGTGCCTGTAGTCCCAGTTGCTCAGGAGGCTGATGCAGGAGAATGGCGTGAACCTGGGAGGCAGAGCTTGCAGTGAGCTGAGATCGCCCCACTGCACTCCGGCCTGGGTGACAGAGCGAGACTCCATCTAAAAAAACAAAAAAAACAAAAAAGAAAGAAAGAAAGAAAGAAATGGGTAATTCAGGCAAAGTGGTGGAAATAGGAAAGGTAAAGAGTAGAGACTATGGGCCCTGTCCAAGAACATTCAAATTCAAATGCAAACAATAACAACAGACAAACATTAAAGGAGTATCATTTCAGCCTCAGTAACTTCTCTCATGCACATTTTATAGATGAGGAAAATCAGAAAGAGTTTTAGCCATTTGCCTAAGGTAAGAAACTGGCAGAACTGGGAGCCAAATGCAGGCAGAATGATGCTGGACCTCCTGAACAGTGCCCTGGAGCACAGCTCTTACTCAAACACCATCCAGGGTTTTTCAGCTCCTCAATGCAATGAAATGAAAGAGAAACGTTAAAAGAGACAAAAATGGGAAGATAAGAGTTAATACTAAGAGAGAGGACAGGGCCAAATAAGAGTGATAACAAATAGAGGGGGAGGGGAGCACTGAGGGGGAAAGAAATAGGAAGGCTAGGCACAGTGGTTCACCCCTGTATTCCTAGCACTTTTGGAGGCTGAGGTGGGAGAATCACTTGAGGCCAGGAGTTTGAAACCAGCGTGGGCAACACAGAAAGAGCTCATCTCTACAAATTAAAAAAATATTAGCTGGGCATGGTGGCATGCACCTGTAGTCCCAGATACTGGGGAGGATGAGTAGCGGGAGGATCACTTGAGCCCAGGAGTTCAAGGCTGCAGTGAACTATGATTGCACCACTGCACTCCAGCCTGGGCCACAGAGTGAGAGTGACTCAAAAAAAAAAAAAAAAAAAAACGAAAACCAAACACACACACACAGACAAAACCCGAGGAAGACTTTCTATGTAACTAGACAAAGGCAGAAAGAGAGTAAAGGAGGCTTAAGATGTGTGCATATATTTCAGGAAAGTCAGCCTGAGGTGGAATGTGCGGGGAGTAAGAAGTGAGGTAATGAACTCCTCTTCCCAGAGGAGAAAAAAAGATGAAGAGCTTCAGTGATGCCTCTGGTTTGGAGGAAACTATTCCTAGCCAGGATGGTGTGAGAGGGACACGGAAGCAGGATGTGAGCAGGACACTCCTTCCAGCCCTTCTGGTCCGTGCATGGGTCAGGCCCAAGCTGGATGACTACGTCTTGGTGGAATAGGGGTTAATTTCACAGTAACTCCAGGATCAGGGCTCAGCCGCAGCACTTACTATCTATCAGGTCTTGAGCAAGCTGCTTAGCCTTCCTGAACTTCACTTTGTTCTTCTGTGAAAGGGGAAGCTCTCCTCCCAGATTTGTTGGCAAGATTAAGCATGCGGTTGGGTATGAAGTGTCTAGCACGGTGCCTGGCATGTACAAGGTCGCCATCAGGAGAAGCGGATTAATGTTGGCCAGTACAGCCAAGGAAAGCTTCATAGCAAAAGAGGGTCCTAAGATGGGGAGGATTTGAAGAAAAAAGAGATATGGGAATTGAGCCTGTATGTAGGGAAAAGATAGAAGCTGGGGAGACATGGCTTGAAGGTATAGAATAAACAATGAACCCAGATCTTCTGTCTGTAAGAACCATGGTGGAAACTTCCCCCAATTAAAGTGAATAGCAGGAATAGTCAAGAAAAGTGTTCAATGTATAGAGGCATCAAATTGTGGACAGGCTTGGAAGTTTTGCTCAAAAAGCGTATCTCCATGCTGAAAATGCCTTGAAGGCAATTGACCCAGTAACTGAACAATTAGAGTCTAGACTGAGAAAGTAATAAAGGAAAGAGAGAAGGGGCCAGCTGAGAGGCACTAGGAAGAACAAACTAGCCTGTGCTGGGGGATCAGCATTCCTGGGAAAGAGAGGGAAGCCCATCTCTTCCTCCTTAGGATGGAGCCATTAGCAGAGAGGGGTGGGTTCAGTGAGTGGAATAGCAGATATTTGGGGACCCCTTACACTAATGTTCTTAACATATATGCTGAACATTTACTTGTTGGGGGGCAAGGATAAAAACTGATCCTCTATTAATAAGAAAATGTATGCCTCCTTCTTTATGTTTAAAAATAAGGGATTATTGATTGATTGCATACATTACTATTCCAAGCCAGGCATCTTAACTGTTTAAAATTTAGATAAGAAGATAAGTCATTATCATGGCATGCATTTTTCCATTTTAAAATTGGCTGACAGTACCTCATAGTGACAGCTGACCATTGGCTGGTATATGCCTGTGGCTGTAGGGTACAGCACATTACCTCACTCCTTGGAGACTAGCCAACCTTGATAAGCACGCTTTAAAACAGTTTTTAATTGAAGGAAGGAGGCTTATATAAGAAAGGAGAAATTCCTCTTTCCCTATTCATTTTAGGAGTTGCCAGTTGAGCTCTGAGTTAACTGGTACTTTATTTCCAATAACGGAACTGGAGCCCCCAGAGAGCTGTCCTATAGACCTGGCTTTGGTTAGACTCCACCCCGCTCCTCAGAAGACGCACTCCTTAAATCCTGACCACCCTCTGTTTGCTCAAGTGATAGCTTCAAAAAGAGGGGATTGTCTCAGATGCTGTCAAAATAATCCGCTATTCAAATGTCTGTCCTCTGCTTCCAGAACTGTGGTTCTTAAATCCCAACTCTTTGGATATTAACCTGAATTCTGACCTAGAACTTTCTTTCTGTTCCATATCTCTAGTCTGTTTATTTGTTTGTTTGTTTGTTTGTTTGTTTTTAGACAGAGTCTCACTCTGTTGCCCAGGCTGGAGTGCAGTGGTGTGTTCTCGGCTCACTGCAACTTCTGCCTCCCAAGTTCAAGTGATTCTCCTGCCTCAGGCTCCGGAGTAGCTCGGACTACAGGCATGTGCCACCACTCCTGGTTATTTTTGTGTGTGTGTGCATGTATTTTTAATAGAGATGGGTTTTCACTATGTTGGCCAGGCTGGTCTTGAACTCCTGACCTCAAGTGATCTGCCTGCTTCAGCCTCTCAAAGTGCTGGAATTACAGGCATGAACCACCATGCCTGGTCCCTCGGTAGAGTTTCTGCTTTGGATCTTGACCTCAATTCCATGAATTGAACCTATATTTTGCCAGCTTGCCATATTTTTTATTTGGGGACAACTGTATAGCATTAAAATTTTGTGTTCCTTTTGAAAGCAGCCTGATATGGTGGGCAAAAAGATGTATTGTAGTGAGGAAGACCTGGACTGAAATTATAGCATAGGCTAGGACTTAGGGCAAATTATTTAGCTTCTCTGAGTTGCAGCCTTCTCAACCATAAAGAAGGAATGTTTGTAAAGGATTCCTTTTCTTTCACTCCTCATTCATTTCCCTCATTCATCTATTGAATACTCCCTATTTGCCAAGCTGTGCTAAGCACAGGGGCAGGGCAAGAGGGTAGTGAATAAGAGGTAAATAAAATACCGTCCTGTCCTTGGTGAGTTTGTGGTCGAGTAGAGGAAGATAGGCATGTAACAAATTAATACAGTCGAGTGGTACTAGTGCCATAAAGCTTTATGGCAGTGTTGTTAAGCAGACTGCCTGGCTCTACATCCTGTCTCTACTAATTATTAGCTTGGTAATCCAGTGAAACTTACTTAACCACTCTGCGCCTCAGTTTCCTCACCTGTAAAATGGGGATAATATAGTTATTATGAGGACTTAATTAGTTAACACATGCAAACTTCTCAGTGCCAGGCATATAGTAAGCATTCCATACATGTTAATACAGTCATTCCTCGGTATCCATGGGACATTGGTTCCGGGACCCCCTCAGATACCCAAATCCACATGCTTAAGTTCCTTATATAAAATGGCTATTTGCAAAAATCCACACACATCCTCTTGTATAGCATAAATCATCTCTAGATTACTTATAATATCCAATACAATGCAAATTTTATGTAAATAGTTATGTTGCATTGTTTTATTTGTATTATTTATTGTTGAATTGTTATTTTTCCCCCGAATATTTTCTATTTGTGATTGCTTGAATCCGAGGATGCATAACAGAGGGTCAACTGTACTATTACAATGGTGGAGAAGCGTGGAGTATGATGGGAGCACGAAAGAAGCAGTGGTCAATTCTATTGCTGAGAAGGCTAAAGAGGGGCTTCATTGAGATGGTGTCACTTGGGCTTACTTTTGCAGGAAGTTTGGGAGTTTTTAGGTGAACAAAAGCAGAGTGGGCATTTCAGACATAGGTGACTGCATGAGCAAAGAGATGGGACAGATGTGAGCAATTAAACAACCTGGGACTGGCAGAGCCCCACTTCTGCCAGTCTGCATAGAGGTTACAGGGGAGGGTGCAAGGCAGGAGGACAAAGCCTGCTGGAAGAGGACATTATGTGCCACCATGGGGGTTCAGCCCCTATCTTAGGAGTGCTGGTTAGAAACCATGCTATGTAACTTCTGTTTGCATGTTCCCCTTCCCCAAGACCCATACTCCTCCCTTCTCCACCTGCTCCAAGCTCTGGATGCTGGAGGCTGGCCTGTAAACACTGTACCAGTCTCCCTTATCCTCATCCAAAGGCCAGCACTAACCCAGGTTCAGAAGGAGGAAGCAGAGGAAGAAGGAGTATTTCTTTTACTCTGTACTTTCCTGCCACTTGCTGCAGGCTAGATGACTCTTTCCACTAATTTCACATCTGGCCAAGCAGCCCTCTTTCATTGCACAAGTAATTGCTCCCTCCTCTTCCCCCTTCAGGCCCTTTGCTGTTAGCCCTGGGGTGTTGCTCAGGCCTTATTTGTGTCCCACATCCTGCCACACTTTTGTAAATATCACCAGCATTAAACTCTCTTCATATTGTCCAGTTTGATGTGCCATGTGTATCCTGCCTTGAACCTGACTTATTTAAAGGAAACAAAAACTCTGGCTTTTAACAAGGAATGAATGAGATGATCAGATTTGCATTATGAAGAGGTCTTTCTGGCTCCTGGGTTCAGGATGTTTGGGGGCAGCAAGAGTAAAGGCAGAGCTTTTAATGGTGCTTTCTGAACCAGGAATCCTGGTTAAATATGTAGATTCCAGGGCCCACCTCCAAAAACTCTGATTCAGTCAGCTAGAAACAGGGTACCCAAATCTCTATATTTAAATAAGAAGTCCTTGTGATTATGACAGAGTCTCATGGTTGTCCGGGTCACTAACCAGTATGTTAGGAAGATCCAGCAGAGATCAAGAAGAAGGAGAGAATATCTGAGGTAACAGGGTCTGGTCCTAGAGGACCTGAGGGTTGGGGAGGAAAATCAGAAGCAGAGATAGGGGTTTTGTTTTGAAGAGGCCAAGGGACACCTTTTCCTTTAAGGGTGAACAAAGAAAGCAAAGTGAGTGTAAAAAGGAAGTTGAAGGAATTCACACTTTGTAACCTCAATTCCCCCTGGAAATAGGAGACAAAGTCATATATGGAGACAGAACAGGAAGGCAAACGTGCGAATAGCTGGAGTGATGCAGGTTTGGAATACCATTGTGGGTATGGGATAAAGAGTGACTACAAGGGACATTTTAGGACTGCTTGGTGGAGCTGAGATAACAAACCATGAAATTGTGTGTCATCCAAAAGTTTAGCTTTGTCATTTCTCTCCAGCAGTACTTAGCCGTCTATATCTAGAAGTGGAGAAGTCAGTATTAGATTGATCCCAGTCGGGAAGTTGCAGAGCAGGTGTAATGGAAAGACAAGGGGCCCAGGATGTTGAAATCACACGCAAGCATGGGAATAGTGCATTAAAATGTGAGGGGGAGCGTCCAAGGAATGCTGTCCTTGGTCCTGAACTAACGCACAGAAGGGCATGGCCACTTCACTGTGAAGTTGGGAGTGAGTTGGTACATGTCTCCCTGCCTCTCCATTAATACCTCCACCATACCAGAGTTAGGGTCTCAAAAGATCGTGCTCCAAGCCCCATAACACTGTGAATTGTGTGACTATAGGTCTTGTAGTCTGGGCAGCATCATTTGTTGAAGGATACAATTCCAACAGCCACAAATATTATTTAAGGAATTAATTGAATAAATATTAACTGAGAGCTATCTATGTGCCAAGCATTGTGCCTGATGCAAGGGACAGAACAATGAAAAAGACAGAGAAAGCTAATTCACAAGCTAAATCTTTTATTTGCTTTTGTTAGAGAATATCAGAGGGGCCCATTCACCCTTTCCCTTTCCTCTCCAATTCCTTTTATCCTTTAGCTGCTGCAGAACACTCTTCTGCAAAATGACCTCCCCAAAGTTTGCTGTCTCCACATAGATCTTTGTGATTTTTGTGCCTCTTCTCCTCCCCCTGAGAGTATAGATTGTTTTATAGATGAACTTAGCTTCTCTCTCTCA
The DNA here is from genome assembly GCF_000001405.40 of Homo sapiens. Lineage (NCBI taxonomy): Eukaryota > Metazoa > Chordata > Mammalia > Primates > Hominidae > Homo > Homo sapiens. Next base: position 94,066,026 of record NC_000010.11, on the reverse strand, counting down.
GCTAGCCAAAATACTGCCTCTTTAAAGAGAGGACACTGACAAAGCAAACACAGACTTATCTTTTACAGGTTAAAGGAGGGGGAAAGGCTATTAACACAGCAATTTTTGTGCCTTAATGGTTATCTAGAAAGTCTTCCCCAAGCAGAGAGGTTGGCCACCTCACTGACTCTGTCAAATGGCCATGGGACATTCCCCCAAATAACTTGAGGCTGAGATACCATTTCTGGAATTATTCCAAGGTCCCTGCTGCCCTCTAACAGCCAATGGTCCTACTCCTCCCTGACGCTGTGGGTTGACCTTTTCTGGCAGAGTGTCAATTTCCAATTAATACTGAAAACATTAATTAAAGGCCTTCTTTTGTATAACAGGCCCTGAACAAAATACTGGAGACACAGAGATAATTAAGGACAACTGCTGTCTCCAGAGATTTCATAATTTTATGGGGGTAGGCAAATATGATGCAATAAGCCTCATGCCTGCGATCTGACTAAAGTACAACAGAGTGAGGCCTGTAGAATTCATGATGATAATCCACGGGTCATGTCTTTCTCATCCAGGAAGAAATAAAAGCAGCAACAGCATAAGGTTTTGCACACAGCACATAAGGCCAAGAGAAGATTGGCCATGATTCTGGGTCTAAGCTTGGAAAACAAGGTTTAAGTTTCTCCATAGAGCAAGTGTCATACATGAGCTATGGCCCCAGAGCCGAGAGGTCAAAGGGAGGAAAAGGAATAAATGGTATCACCAATCCAGTGCAATCCAAGAGTCTGGGACCAAATTGGTGGACAGTTGAAACAAAGACAATCAGGTTCCAGTGACCAGGGAAGACAAAGGTCCAGAATCCAGGACGGGTGAAGGCAGGAGTTGGGTGAGAAGCTGGGGTGGGAAATAAAAATATGGGGAGTCAGGCTTAGGTGATGTGAGAGCCAGAGACAATAAAAATAGGAGGAGGCAGACACAAGCTAACAGAGGAAAAACAGATAGTTTCCCTAAGGAGCAAGTGAGAAACAGAGGCTAGGACTAAACCTGGTGCCAAATACTCTTGAGTTTAGAACAAAGAATGAGAAAAAGTTTTTGGCTCATACCCTAAGAAAGCAGTCACAGAATAAAACATCAATAAACCTGAACTCCCACCCCAGTTATTGCTCAGGGCTCTGCCAGGAAAAGGTGGGACACAGCTGAAAAAGGGCTTGGGCTACTCTGTTTCTTACTGCACAGGGACTCTGAATGCTCCCTGACCCTCAACAAGCACAGCCATGTAATGAACAATTCATGCAACCCAGGTTCTGTACTCAGCACTTTTACCACATTTGTTTATTTAATCTTAACAAATCCACATGGTAAAGATTATTGTCCTCATTTTCGGATGAAAGCTCAGAGAGGTCAAACTTGCCCAGGATCACCTAGCAGCAAGGTGACGAGGCTGGGACCTGAAACCCAGCTTTGCCTTTGTAAGGCTCATGGTCTTTCTTTTATTATTTTTTTGAGACAGAGTCTCACTCTGTCACCCAGGCTGAAGTGCAGTGGTACAATCTCGGCTCACTGCAACCTCTACCTCCTGTGATCAAGTGATTCTCCCACCTCAGCCTCCTGAGTAGTTGGGACTACAGTGTGCACCACTATGCCCAGCTAATTTTTTGTAGAGACAGGGTTTTGCCATGTTGCCTGGGCTGGTCTTGAAATCCTGGGCTCAAGTGATCCACCTACCTCAGCCTCCCAAAGTGCTAGATTACAAGCCTGAGCCACCACGTCTGAACAAAGCTCACGCTCTTAATTGTCCAACTAGCCTGACTTATTATGACTAATTTGTTTCCAAACTCACCATTGTGATCACTCTTGAGTTGAAGATAAGACAAAGAGCTTTTACAGGGATAGAAATAAATAATGTGTAAAAACATGGAGGGCAAAAATCCTTTGTACACAGTGGATAGCCATGATGTTAAGAAATATCAAGGTTAACAAAATGAGTGCTGAAGCCCCTAGACCTGACCCCAGTCCACCTCTCAGTACCCTCACCCACTCCCCCTACTCCTGCTCCTGCGTGTCTGGTCTTTTTTCAGCCCCTTCAATGTGTACCATGCTCCTTCACTCCTCAGGGCCTTTGTACGTGCAACATGCTCTGCCTGAAAAACTCTTTACTCTTCCTTCTTCTCCACCCTCCTTGACTTTAACTAATTACTATTGCCTCCCAAGTACAGATTTGAACCTCACTCCCTAATAAAAGCCCTCACTGGCTACCCTCATCGCCCGTAGGTTAGGCCGCATAAAATCCTGCACTTTTTTCTTCAAACACTTCTCACAACTGTAATTAATTTATGTATGTAATATATCTTCCCCTCACTAAATGGCATGCTCCAAGAGAAGAACCACATCGTGTTTGCCACTGTACTCCCAGTGGCAAGCCACACCTAGCATCTCTACAGATGTCTATTCAGTGAATCAATAAATAAGGACAAGAAAATGTGCTTAGGATAGGCAAAAAGCAGTGTGGCAGTTGCTAAAACCTTTTAGGAAGAATCAATTATTCACTCGCTCATTTATTATGTTCACGTGGCACATATTAGAATGCCTACTATGTGCCAGGCTCTGTTGTCAATATTCCATCTAGGATGGTGGAAACGAGATGTGGCAATGCGATAGCAAGGGCCTTGGAAGATGACATGAACATCCCATGAGAGTCAGGGAGAAAGTGGCAGTTCAATCATCCACTCTCAGAACAGAGCGACGAGAAAGTAAAATTCCCCCCTTTCCCACAGAAGAAGGTGGGACTTCCACATGGGAATACAGCAGAGTATGTGATGTCTTCAGTTAAAAACAAAACCACCATAAAGGAAAAGAGTAGGAGGGAGAGTGGTGAGTGAGGCAGAAGTACACAGAGCTTGCGCATAGCATAGGAGGTGTTCTGAAGAATGGGAAGAAGAGGCATTAGGAAGGGAGCATGTGGGAGAGGAGTCCAGGTGGGAAAGGATTGGGGATTGGATCAAAGACAACAGGAAGGGAGGCTTGGACATGGAGACCAGCGAAGAGTTGAGAAGGCAATGGAAGGTGAGTGCCAGTGGGTAAAGAGAGGAGATGAAAGGATGTGAGAACAGCAGGGAAGATGGAACTTAGCTAGGGATCTGCTAATAGAATCACATGTTTTTTATGAAGTTCAGAGGTACAGATTAAAGAGTCCCATCATGATTCATGTACTTTCCCGGAACCTGATGTGTTGCCAAGATCTGCTATAGAACATCATGGTCTGGAGGGTGAACTCAGAAAGACAACAGTTGACTATGTCATTCAGTGGCAAGCATACAAATCTGGGAACAATCTTCCAGCAACTGAAGGTGGAGATAAGCCCCCAAAAGATATTACTCTCAGATTTTCCAACATTCTGCTTGAGGGCTAATTGCATTCTCTCTGAGATCTAAAAAAAAAAACAAAACAAAACAAAAAAAAAAACAAAACCAAGAAACCAATAACTAACACTTATTGAGTGTTTAATATATACCAGACATGGTGTGAATTATGAAGTGCTCTGCAAATTCTCATTTAATTCTCACATAAGTCCAATAAAATAGGCACAAAAAGTCTAATCATTTGAGCTGGGCAGAGTGGACTGCTACTTGGGAGATTGAGGCAGGAGGATTGCTTGAGCCCAGGAGTTTGAGCCTGTAGTGCACTCTGATCACATCTGTGAATAGCCACTGCACTCCAATCTGGGCAACTTCATGAGATCTCACCTCCAAAAATGAAAAAAAACAAGAAGGAAGGAGTCTAACCATTTAGCAAATATAAAGACTAAGAAGTTAGATAACTGTGTGAAGTCAGCTCACAAGTAAGAGAGCTAGGACACAAATTCAAGCCATCTGAGTCCAGTACCAACAGTTTTAACCACCAACCTATCAAAATAATAGTAGCTAACTCATATCTAGTGCTTACTATGTACATCAAGTATTGTTCTTAACATTATACATTTATTAATTCTTTTAATCCTTATAACTCTGAGATAGATACTGCTATTCTGCCATTTTAAAGATTTGGAAACTGAGACACAAAGGTCAAGAAACTTGCCCAACGGCATGTAGTTGGAAGAGGTCAAGCCTGGATTCAATCTCAGGCAGTTTGGCTCAGGAGTTTTTGGTCTAACTCAGGTTGCTGACTCCTCCCATGAGCTGTCCCTCCAAATGGTGTTATAAGAGGCATGTAACAGCAAAAACTAGTTTTTGCACTTGAGCTTTCAGTGTGCTACAATTTAAATATATTGGATAAAACTTTCACTTCCTTATTTGCCTGAACAAAAGGTAGACAGAAAATCCTAAGGATTAACTTCTTTTTTTTTTTTTAATTCCTTTTTTAGTAAAGACAAGGTTGCTCTGTGTTGCCCAGGCTGGTCTTGAACTCCTGGCCTGACAAGTCATCCTCTTGCCTCAGCCTCCTAAAGTGCTGGGACTATAGGCATGAGCCACACCTAGACAGTGCATTATCTTCTTGATCATGTAAGTACAAAAGTCAGTTTCTCTTTGGCTAATGGTATGCACATCATAAGAAAGTCTGGCTATTGCTTGGTGTAATGTTAATGAAAAGCCATCAAGGAGTTCTCATTTGTCCTGGACACCTTCCTTAAGGGCCTAGCCCTTAGAACATTTCAGTCCCCATCCACAGATTCATAGTATGGGTTTGCTATTGTCTTTCCCATTTCCATGGACTCCTGGGGAACTGTCAGTTGATCACCTGCTTAAGCTAATCTTTACATCTCCAATAGAAGAGTTTCAGTTGCAGTACATCCTGTTATAATCTTACACAACTGGTTTCCTGAGCTTTGTCTAAGTGAGAAGGAAGTTTTGTGGAAAGTTCTCTCTGATCAGGAAGAAACAAAATACAACCAAAAAGCAGGTTTTGCTTGAAACCTGACATGCAGAGCATCCAGTGCCCTTGCCCCACAGTTTCCTCCTCGCTGAACCCCTGGGAGGCAGTACAGTACCTGCTTAGTCTCAGTACGGAGACTAAGAAATGCTGAAAGGTTTCATAAGTTAAATAAGGGCAGGCTGGGCGTGGTGGCTCACACCTGTAATCCCAGCATTTTGGGAGGCCGAGGCGGGTGGATGATCATTGAGCCCAGGAGTTTGAGACCAGGCTGGGCAACATGGCAAAACCCCATCTCTACAAAAAATACAAAAATTAGCTGGGTGTGGTGACATGCGCCTGTAGTCCCAGCTACTTGGGAAGATGAGGTAGGAGGACTACTTGAGCCTGGGAGGTTGAGGCTGCAGTGAGCTTTGATCACACCACTGCACTCTATCTAGCCTGAGTGACAGAGTGAGACTGTCTCAAAAAAAAAAAAAAAAAGTTAAATAATGTCTAAGTCCAGTAATTGTGCCTGGGTTCATGCTAACGTTAATGTATCACAGCTGCAAAAAATATTTCCTACTTTGCAATCAGAGAGTCTAGGAGTTCAATATAAATTCACTAATCCTTGCAATTTTCTTGTAAGGCAAGCCACACGAGTACTCATTCAAGGCACAGGGAAGTAAAGTCTTGCCAAGCTCACAAAACTAAGAAACAGACATTTACAGCAAGCTAATCTTGTTTCCCATACTCTTTTATTTTTCATACCTTTATTCTTTTCTATATAAATTAAAATTTCTAACCAGTTCTATCAGTTGTAGGCCTCACATAATTCCATTTCCAATAATAATAAAAATAGTATTCCTAATGTATTGAATACTTACTTGGTACCAAGAACTGTGTGCCTTTAGTACAGTATCCATGTATCACCTCACTGAAGTCTTAGAACACATAATGAAATAAGTAGCATGAGTATTTCCATTACACAGCTTAAAGAGCAGAAGCTTAGACAAAAAAAAAAAACTTGACCAAGACCAGCATGTAGCAAGCCTTAATTAAAAGCCACACTGCCTCTCACATCACCTAATCCTGACCTACATACCACATGCCATCAAAATCATGCAAGTTAAAGACCTGTCCATGTGGATATTGTTTTCTGCTGCCTTTTTAAGACAGCAAACAAAAAACACAAAAAACACTTCCACTATAATTTGATATAATTGAAGGGTGTAACAAATTTAATCAAACCCAGGTACCTTCTTCAAAAGCCACAATAGAAACTAACAAACAGAAGCCACCAAGGAACAAGCAAGACGTGAACACCAAGTGCTTGGGTTGAAATAGCAACCACTCACTACATTCACTAAAAGAGAAATAGAATGGGGCTAGAAAAGCAGTATAAATGTCAGATGTTTTGAAACACTAATAAATTTACCCTCAAACAAGTTAGAAGTTATGTTAAATGGAGTACAGAGGTACCTGCCCAGTGCAATAGTGCATGAGTAAATAAGATTAGCATGTAACACACATATTTCTAATATGCAAAGCAACTGTGATTTTCTCAGTCCCACTTCCCATGTGCTTGCCTGGCCAGCTCCATTTGTCTGCCTCATAGCCCCTCCAGATCTCAATACATGTAGTAAAATTTAGAGGTAAAACTTTCACTTTACCTCTAAATCACTATTTCTGCACACACACCCCCTCCCCGTATCATCAACTGTACCACATCCCTCATCTGAGATCTCCACCCAGGTGTTCCCACTGGTTCTTCCTCTCCCTCAACAATCAGACCTTATGAGTCATCATGTTCCAATAACCCTTCCTCTACATTTCTCTAGACATCAACCTGGCACTGTCCATCTCTTCCCACCATGTTGTTGTCAAGGCCTCAGTCCCAGTTTTTGTGGCAATTCTCTCTTCTGATCCATCTGTCCACTACAGCCTAAGCAACTGGTCTAAACCATACCGTTCATAATGTTATTCCTATCCTCATGAATGAACAAGGGCTGCCTTTTAGCCCCAAGTCATTCAATGCTCTCAGCTCTTTCCTTTCCACATGTCTAGTTTTCTCCTTCTCCATCATGACTGTGTCTATCCAGTCAAACTTCTTTTCTCCTTTTTCTTTGCACATTACCACCAACTTTGTGGGTCTGACATATAGGAACATACACCTGACTGTCATTTAGACAGATCATCACAAACTATATGCCCATAGGTACATGTGTTTACGCTATGTGACTAAGCAAAAATTCATGAGTAAAGATTCTCATGATCCAATTGCTCCTGAGAGGTCCAGCAGGTGATTTTTATTTTTTGGTTTTGCTATGGTTTTCGTTATTATTTTATTTTTGGCAAGGTTGTGTTTATGAGAACTTTTTTCCTTTATACTTTTATAATAAAGTAAATGATAGAATGCCATAATGTTAGAACTGAGGCTTTAAAATGTGTAATTAAGTCCCCATCACCATTTTACCAAGGGTGAATTAGCATCCTAGACAGGTTAGGTGATTTGCTCTAGGACACCAGAACCCAGGACTTTGAGCTCTTAATCATCACCCAGGGTTTAGATGACCCACTCAACTCTGCTTAACCTGACCAATGAAGGGAGGGAGACACATAAGTCAGCATTGCCCACAGCATGCTCATTCCATGGTCAAGGAAAACTTGCTCTACTAATTGAAACAAATTTTTTACTGAAGAACTTTTCATATGCCTATGACTTTTCAGAGGGGTGTGGAAATGTGATGTTTCCCAAACTTGATTATCGTGGAATGCTTTGCTCAAGAAAATACTTTCCAGGGCTAGAGTTCCACAGAACACACTTGTGAAAGGTTGTTATCATTATTGATATCTCTGCTGTTGACATTTCTAATTCCAGAGACAGGCAAAATCCTGAAAGGCGATGAGAGAAAGACTGCACACTGCTCCCCCAAAATATACATGCCAATAAGAGCTAATGTTTATGGAGCACTTGACAATTTAAAAAAGTATTTCAACATGCAGTAACAAGCAAAAGAAATGTTAACTCTCTATTTAAAAAAATGTCTCTTTGACATTGTTAATTGTAGGAGTTCCCCTGAAGGACCACCAATTCAGTTAAGGTTGGGTTTCTATTGTAAAAAGATGGCCACATAGCTAACAAACTGAAAATATTATACCTAGAAGGTTCTTAAAATTAATCTAGTTCACTGGTTCTCAAATGTCAAGCCTGCAGAGCATAGGTATTCAACTACTAAAGGTGAATAGAATAGAAGTGTGTCTTTTCCTAATTCACAGAAAAAGAAAATAACTTAATGAATAGAAAGTAGGAGAAGGAAATGAACCCTGCCAACAACAAGTGAGCTTGGAAGAAGATCCCAGCCCCAAGTGAGAATTGCAACCCCAGCTGACACCTTGATTTTAGCCCTGAGCAAAGATTACAGCCACACCATGCCAGATTTCTGTTCTACAGAAACTGAGATGATAAATTTCTATTGTTTAAAGCCACTACACTTGAGGTCATTTGTTATGCAGCAATAGAACTAATACATATAAGTTTTTGTTAAGTTCTCTTTAGAAAAATTAGCAAAGGACACAGTTTCGTGGAAGTATAGGTTGGTAATTCTTCTGAGAGAAAAGTGCGGCATCAAAGTATCAAGGATATTAAATATGTCTATACCCTTTGGCCCCATAACTCTACCTCTACATACTTACACTAAAGAAATAGACATGCATACAAATGTCATTGTATCATTGTTTATAATAATAATGTAAAATGTCCAAAATTAGGAAAACAATTAATTTGCTTATGTAACCAGTGGAGTGTAGGTCAGCTATTAAAAATACTTTCATAATCTGTTATGAGCGTTTTAAGGAAAATAAATTTTTTTGAAGAAAATTTAAGACATATATAAATAATCATGATATTATGGTAGATGAAAAAACAGCCTATGAAAACGAAAAAGTGCAGCCATTTTTTAAAAATTGTTGGGTAATTTCTCAAAATATTAAACATGGAATTACCAAATGACCCAGCATTTCTATTCCTAGATATATATAACCAGAAGAATTGAAAACATATATCCACACAAAAATTTGCATATGAATGTTCACAGAAGCACTATTCATACATCCAAAAGGTGGAAACAATCCAAATGTCTATCACCTGATGAATGGATACATAAAAAGTGGTATATCCACACAACGGGGTAGTATTCAGTCATAAAAAGTAGTGAAGTACTAACATATGCTGTAACATGATGAACCTTAGAAACATTACACTAAGTGAAAAACGCCCGTCACAAAAGGCCAAACATTGCGTGATTCCATATATGAAATGTCCAGAATAGGCAAATCCATAAAGACAAAAAGCAGATTACTAGTTACCAGGGACGGGTGGGTGGGTGGAAAGGAGAGGATGGGGGTGACTGCTAATGGGTATGGAGTTTCTCTTTGGTGTGATGAAAATATTCTAAAATTAATTACGATTATGATTGTACAACTCCATGAATATGGTAAATTAAATCATTGAATTGTATACTTTAAAAGGGGTGAATTTTATATTATGTGAGTTATCTCACTGTCATTATTTTTTAAAGGCTAAGAAAAAAAGCATTATATATGGTAAGACTCAAATTTTGTGGGAAAAAAATATATATGCATAAAATGAAAATTGAAAGAAAATTTACCAAATATTAACACTAGGCATCCTTTAGTGGTTGGATTATAGATTTTTTCTCTCTGTTGTATTTTTAATTTTTTTGAATAGATACACAATATATTAAAATCTGAAAAATCAATTACTTTAAAAGAATAATAAGGTATTTAGTACACAATTATACTGTTAGTTATTTTATGTTTCAAAGGACAGAATTACACGGTGTTTGACAAAGACAATCATAAATTCTAGGGGCTCTTCCAACCCCATCTGAAAAGCACTTATCTAATCCAACCCTCTCTCTGCTTTTTTTCAATCCTCTCTTTTTAACATGGACTAAATCTAAGAGTAATTTGTATAAATTTAAACACAAGAGGCTGCATTTTTAAAATGAAACCAAAATAATAAATCTCTAGCTTTTAGAGAATTCAAACAAACTGACACAGAAAAGGGTTTGCTAAAAAAGATGATCTTGCTCTACAGATATCCATAGAATAGCCACACTACAGAAATCTACTGGCATGTAGACTATTCAACTAAGCAGCACCTCAGAAGGGAGTCAAAGGTCCTTTGACCATTCAAATTAACATACGACCACAACAGTGATACAAGCACTCTTATTTACATGAAATCACACAATGCCTTGAATGGTTATTTAATTCTTGAGCGTATGACAGCAAGGTCTCTCTGAACAGGGATCTTGGAGTATCTCTATGGATCCTAAAACAACTTGAAGTAAAAAGGCCATAAATTTGTTACTCATTACGTTGGGCCCTGAGAAGGGATCCATAAATAACTCTGTAAAGTATGTATCATTACCATCAATACTTTATGGGTGAAGAAATGAGAATCAGAGAGATTAAGTACACTGCCCAAGGTTATAACAAGTAGGAGGCAGAGCTGGGACTTACACCTAGGAAGTACAACTCAAAAGTAAGACAACAGCTAGGCACCGTGATTCACTCCTGTAATCCCAGTACTTTGGGAGGCCGAGATGGGCAGATCACTTGAGGTCAGGAGTTTGACACCAGCCTGGCCAACATGGTGAAACCCTGACTCTACTAAAAATACAAAAATATTAGCCGGGTGTGATAGTGGGTGCCTGTAATCCCAGCTACTTGGGAGGCAGAGGCAGGAGAATCACTTGAACCCGGGGGGTGGGGTGGAGGTTGCAGTGAGTGGAGATCGCACCACCACACTCTAGTCCAAGCGACAGAGCGAGACTCCATCTCCAAAAAAAAAAATAAGACAACAAAAATAATAAACATTTACAACTTAGGCAATGTTCTGTGCATTTGACTAATTTATTAATATATATAATTATTATTAGGTTATTTAAAACATTAACTTAATCCTTAGAACAACTCTGTCACATAGGACCAATTATTATCTTCATTATTATACTGCCTCCTTATAATAAAATAATTCATTTTCCTCTTTCAGATCACAGTTGAAATTTCAACTCCTTAAAAGTGACTCTGTAATCTATTTAGGCTTGCCCTTGTATTGTGTTACTGAACAGGGCATTTTTCTTTTTTTTTTTTTTTTTGAGATGGAGTCTCGCTCTATCACCCAGGCTGGAGTGCAGTGGCCCGATCTCGGCTCACTGCAAGTTCTGCCTCCCAGATTCACGCCATTCTCCTGCCTCAGCTTCCTGAATAGCTGGGATTACAGGCACCCACCACCACGTCCAGCTAATTTTTTGTACTTTTAGTAGAGATGGGGTTTCAAGGTGTTAGCCAGGATGGTCTCGATCTCCTGACCTCGTGATCCGCCTGCCTCGGCCTCCCAAAGTGCTGGGATTACAGGCATGAGCCACTGCACTCGGCCTGAACACGGCATTTTTCTTTTGCCTAAGTAATTTGGGTGATTACTTTGTATCTGTCCACCCCAATAGATGTAAAGCACTATAAGGGAATGTTATTAATGGCTGAGGGAATGTTATTAATTCGAACAACTATAAGAGATAAACCCTGAACTCTCCCAGAGGCTTCACAAAGTAGTTTAGTTCTCGGTCTCTGAGTCACCTGCAGGTGCTCAGATTCAGGGAGCAAGCTCCTTAGATCTTGCCCTCCAACTATTCCAGAAACTCCAATCCTTCCCTTTCAGCAGGCTGATGGGAAGAGGGAGGGTATAGGATTGCCCAGGAGGTTCTGTTAATGGGCTAGGCCTAGAACATGGTGTACTTCACTTCTTTCCATATTCCAGTGGCCAAAATTCAGGCACATGGATGCATCTAACTGCAAGGGAGTCTGGAAATATGGTCTAGCTGGGCACTGAAGAGGAAGAGAAAATAGGTTTGGTTAAATAGCTAACCAGTCTCCTTCACCAAGCAGACCACCGCATTATGTACCTTTTCTTTTCTGCTGTATTAAAAGACTAGAGAAATGAGGGGCTCTCCAACTTTCCATGTGATGTGTTTTTGTGCCTAGGGATGTGTCTTTAATTGCCGTGACAGAAGGAAGGCCCCACTAGACCATAAGGAAGACTCACTTCCTTAATTATGTCAGGAGACTCTCAGACTTGCATTTTTCCCTTGATGATTGGATAATTTCTACTGACACTCTTACTGCCTGTTTCTTCAACCTGGATTCTGGCAGTTTACAAATCTGAATCTCATGTTCTGAACCATTTACTTTTTAATAATTCAAAATATGCAATATAAAAAAAATAAAGAAAAACTAATCTGGTCACCCTGAAAAATGAAATAACTTCTGTTTTCCAAATCTGTTCTACTTTTCAACTTCATTCAGCGACTGGAAGGCTGGCTCTCACTATTGTGACTAGCATCTTGGCAGCTCCAATTCCTGGTTGAAATGCGAAATCCCAAACCCTAGTCCTGGCCCTTATTCAACTGCTGCGAGGATATTTCTGAGGCAGAGACCTCACTCTGGAGCAAGCTGGATCCCAGCCCTCCACCTATAACTTCCCAGTGCATTCAATAAGCCTTTCTTGAGGACCTGCTAAGTGCAAGGCCTTCTGAGTCTACTGGTGCATGCAAAGGCTAATCTAGAAGAGCTGCTCCCTCCGGCCAGCAGGCTTACAATCTAGGAGGGGCAACCGACTATAAATGACCACATAGCAAAGTAAAAATGTCATGCGTGCTAACAAATAAAGACTGTGGCAATGTGCAAAATATTTGCTCAGACATAAAGAGCACATTCCTGTACTAAAGATCTTCACAATTCATTCTTACGATTAGTAGTCACAGAGATCATAATGACAATAGCAGCAGCTAAAATCTATTGAACAATTTCTATGTGCCATGTTGCTTTTTCAGATACCGAATCCTCATGACTCTCTAGATTAGGTGTTATTTTCATGATTCTCATTATAGAGGTGAGAAAAACTGAGGCTTAGGGAGATTAAGTAAATTGCTGAAGGCTCCACTGCTAGTTAACGGTGGAGCCGGGACTCCTTCCAGAGCCCAGCTCTTAACTGCTCACTAGGCTGCCTGTATAACACATTCCACTCTTATGAAAACTCAAAGAAATGAAGGGCATTCCAAAAGTTTTCTCTTCAAAAAGCGTTATTTGGGACAGTACGCTTCAGGTTCAGTGGGAGGATTTAAAAGCATATCCAAGGCAATTAATCAGAAATGGCAAGTGGCTTATTCCACTCCAGATTTTTTCAATTTGCAAGCACCAAATAAACATTTTGTCATGGAGTCAGAGGATAATGAAATAAAAATGAAACCATGGGGAAATAATATGAAGCACACCTTAAGACTATATATTTTTTGAGTCTTCAAAAGTAATTGCTCTTTATATGTAAAGGGAACTACCGGTTAACTAGAAATGAGATATGATGCTCACTACCTTTATTCCCAAAGCCATAATTAATTTTTCAGTCCAAATAGGAAAAGACACTTTGGACTTTCCTCATTCCTTTTTTCTAGCTTAAAAAAGAAAAAAAGAAAAAGAAAGAAAGAAAAGAAGGAGGGGGAAAAAGAGTTCCCTTTTTGCTTAAGGAAATAAAATACAATATGTTTAAATTTGCAATGTGGAGTCTAGATATGTTTTTACCAGCATAATTTCAACTTTCTCCAGAAACATCTGCAAAAGAAATTACCAATAAAAATGTTCCACAGCAAATTTTACAGTCAGGCAATACAGAGTAACAGATTTATCTACTGCGAGGACACCTCTACTGTCTTCCCCAGCCTCTCCTGCCTCATGTCCCTCACTCTAAGAAGGAGAAGTAGGGAGGAGGGACTCACACTTACCTTTTCTCAAAGATTTGTTTATTATCTCTTTGTGAGTTGGTATTTAGGGGGAAGGAGGAATTAGAAAAGTAGCAATTAGAGTGCTCCTTTAAAGGTTATTAGTAATACTTCTTGTCAAATGCAACTGAATTGAACTTTGAAAACATTGCTTTTTGGTTTGGTTACAAGCCTCTAGGTTTCCATGTGGGCATTCTCCCCTCCAATCCTTATTCAATCAATCATTAGTCAAATAAGTTATGTACTGAGAACTTGTTTTGTGCAAAGCACTATTCTGGATAAAAAGGATTACAAAATTAAATAAGAAATTCATGCCCCGAAGGAGCTGAAAACCTAGACAGAATTCACAGGAAAGTGTGAAACCAGAACCAATGAACTGTTTGTTCACTTGGTGGGAGAAATTGGAGAAGAGGTCACTTTAAAAGTTTTATACACCGATTTTTCTTTACAAGGAGAGTGTATTACTTTTATAATTTTAAGTTTAAAGCCAAGTTAGGTAAGATTAAACAAATACAAATGAAGGCAGCCAAGTAGTGAGTCACATGATCACAAGTAGGTATGTAGATGTGTGCTTGTCACTGTTCAATTTTAATCACGTTGATGAGAATACTGATGTTTAGCAGGTTTAGAAACTGTGGACTGTATTCAGTTCCAGCGCATTTCAATTCTGAATCCAGGCCTATTTTACTAACAGCCACTTTAAGTTTCAATCTTAGCAGTAATTTTACAATGCCCATTGGCCTCCAACATTGCCAAGTGTTTGACCACATAATCAGAAATTTCCGGCTAGTTTTGGGATGCATATACTTATCTACAAAATTATTTGAATGACGTATCCTTTGGATGGGCATGACTTCTTTTTTAGATGGATCAGTTTCTTTTACAATGAGCTTCGATGATGAAGCAGATGTTTAATCATCTAACTAGACCAGAGCAGCTGGCAAAATCTTCATGCACGGTTCTTACACATGAAAAACTGCAAATCTCTTCTGCAATTTCCATTTCTTCTAAGTAACTCTGAAAGTCTTTTTTTTTTTTTTTTTTTTTTTTTTGAGTTGGAGTCTCGCTCTATCACCCAGGCTGGTAACTCTGAAAGTCTTATTTGTTTGGCTTGAATTTTGCTTTTATCTTAACATTTTCTAATTCAGTGTATTCAGATATCTTGTCCCATTGGTAAGAAAATGATGCACTTCAAACCACTACTAAGTCACATGGCTTTTTGGTACCCCAAAATCCTTAATCTGAAAAAGTAGTTGAGGAGATCTTTTCAAGTTTCCATTGCCTAGTGATCTGACAGCTTCACAAACTAAATATTAATACTCTGCCTCAGCTCTTACAAGTATCCCATCCCATAAACTGGCCAGAGTTAGGAGCAGAACCATGTAAGTCAACAACCTTGATCATTTTCTCCATCACTTCATGCTGTGAACCTAGCCTATGCTTTCTTCTGAAGAAAGATGAAATGCAAGTTGGTTATGCCAATCATCTCTTTGAATTGAACAAACTCTTGGAAGCTGTTTCTTCCCTCCTTTCCTTGCATATTATGACTACAAGTAAACTCAGTGTTTACATGTTTAGGAAAAACTTCTCTTAATTCATATGTGCTAGATAATTATTTTTTTGTTTTCTTTTAAATTTTTATTTTTTTGCAAAAAAACCTTCCAAGTATTACACTTATAGTTCAACTCATAAGCTACAAGGTTAGATGCCCTGACAGAGAAGAACTTGGTAGATTAGGGTAGTCTAAGAGCTCTTCACAAAAGGGATGGGATGTACTTACCTAGGTTTTGTTAAATGGCCAGGATCTTAAGTAGTGGAGTAATATAGTTTGGCTTTGTGTCCCCACCCAAATCTCATCTCTAACTGTAATCCCCATAGACCCCACGTGTTGAGGGAGTGTCCTGGTGGGAGGTGACTGGAGATTGCATCATGGGGGAAGTTTCCCCCATGCTGTTCTCATGATAGTGAATAAGTTCTCATAAGATCTGATGGTTTTATAAGTGTTTGACAGTTCCCCCTTCACATGCTTTCTCTCTCCCCTGCCACCTTGTGAAGAAGGTGACTGCTTCCCCTTCCGCCTGATTGTAAGTTTCCTAAGCCCTCTGCAGCCATGTGGAACTGTGAGTCAATTAAACCTCCTTTGTTTACAAATTACCCAGTCTCCAGTAGTATATTTATAGCAGTGTGAAAATGGACTAATACGTGGAGTAAATAGAGATATGACAAGAAGAGGGAACTAGCTCAGGCAAGGACTTAAAGGCTGGCAGGAAACAGACTAGCACTATTCATAGAAGCCCCAAACGGTGAACAAACCAAATGACTGTTAACAGGGGAATGAATAAAGAGTGGGATATTCATGAAATGAAATGGGAAATAGCAATGAGAATGTACAAACTATAACTACATCCAGCGACATGGATGAATCTTACAGATATAAGGTTGGGTAAAAGGAGACATACAAAATAGTACCAACTATGAATTCTTTTATATAATGTTCAAAAATAGGCCAAGTGAATGGTGTTAGAAGACAATATTAGTTTGTTTTGTGGGAGGGAGAGAGACACTGAAAGGAGATACAACAAAGGCTTCTGGGGTGCTAATATTCCATTTGTTGGTTTGGGTGCTGGCTAAATCTGTGTTTACTTTGTGAAATACATTGACCTGTACACCTTATATGATTTGCATATTTTTCTGTAGATGTGTTATACTTCAACAATAATTATGAGAGAGAGAGAGAGACAGACAGACAGACAGACAGACAGGGTAACTAAAGGGCCAGGAATAGTAAAGACACTTCTTAAAAAATGTTGTTAGGACTTCCTAATGTTACTGGCACAGTGATGGATGAATTAACCAATGAACTAAATTAAAGGGCTCAGAGAAGGCCCACACATGTATGGAATTTTGGTATATGATAGAGGTGACATGTCAGATTAGAGCTGGAAAATGAATATTGACACAGAAAATGACAATGGATTCCTGCCTACGTCACACCATATACAAAATCAAAGATTTAAATGGGTTAGGGAATTCGATGTCAAAAATAAAACTTTAAAGCTTCTAGCAGAAAATATAAGTGAATATCTTAGACTTTAGGTAGAGAGAAAACATTTAATAAACAAAAAGCAGTGTTCATAAAACTTTAATAAGTTTGACTATAAAATTTAAGAATTTTGCTTATTCAAAATCTTACAAAAAAGAAAAGACAATTAAAATATAGGAGAAAGTATTAACACTATACACAAACAAAAAAAGATAATATTAAGAATATATCTGGCCAGGCACACTGGCTCATGCCTATAATCCCAGTATTCTGGAAGGCTGAGGCAGGAGCATAGCTTGAGCTCAGGAGTTCAAGACCAGCCTAGGCAACACAGTGAGATGCCATCCCTACTAAAAATAAAAAAAAATAGCCAGGCATGCATGCCTGTAGTCCCAGCTACTCGGGAGGCTGAAGTAGGGAGGATCTTTTGAACACAGAAGTTTGATACTGTAGCGAGCCAAGATCCTGCCACTGCACTCTAGCATGGGTGACAGAGTAAGACTCTGTCTCTCTCCCTCTCTCTCCCTCTCTCTCTCTCTATATATATGTGTGTATATACATATATGTGCATATATACATATATATTTAATATATATTTATATTATTTATAAATATATTAAATATATATGTATATATGCACATATATATATTTAATAAATCCTACAAATCAATAAAGAAGCACAAGCAACCCAACAGAAAATGGGCATTTTACACACACAAAAACTACACGGCCAATTAAAACACAAAAATATGGTAAACATCATCAGTGATCAGGAAAATGCAAAATTAAACAAAGAAATATTTTTTAATCCATTTGATTGGCAAAATAACAAGTTGAAACATATAAAGTATTAGAGAGAGTGTAGATCCAAAGAATATTTTGTACATCATAGTGGCAAGGGTTGGGGGGTGTGTAAACTGATGCAACCACTTTAGAAAACAGTTTACTACTATCTCCTAAATTTGAACATTCACATACCCTGTGTTTCAACAGTTTGCTTTCTAGGGATATATCCAAGAGAAAATTTTGGACACATATAACAAAGAACATATACAAAAATATTCATGGATGGATTGTTTAAAATACCAAAAACATAGAAACACTCTAAATGTCCATCAACTGGAGAATGCACCAGTAAAGTATGATATATTCACATACAGGAATATAATACAGCAATTAAAACAAATGAACTACAGCAACCTACAAAAGTATAAATGAATCTTAGGAATAAAATACAGTGTAAAATAAGTCCCAAAAGATTGTACACAGTGTACCTTTATATAAACTTCAAAACAACTAAAATTTAAAATCTGAAGTTTTTTTTGACATGAATTCACATAGTAATCACCATTTTGAAGTGTACAATTCAGTGGCATTTATTAAAATATACAGTTCTTAAGAATACATGTAGATGCAATAACACTGTATAAAAGGAAAGTAAGGGAATGACAGAAACAGAATTAAGGAAGATGGTACCTGGGAAGGGAGGGACATGTAGAGGTTTGGGGTGGTCAAGAGCAGGGAACCATATGGCTAGGCATAGGGTTTGTCAAGGTTCTAGTTTTACTATTGGCTGTTAAGTTCATCGGTGCTTATTTCACTACTGAAAATGACTAACTATATAAACAAAAAAACAAATAAAAATAAATACATTGGTCCCCTTTGCCTCACATCAACAGATGCTGGCAACAATTTCTGCAAAGTGTAGAAGGCAATTTTCAAAATAGATGCTTTGAAAACACAACAGGAAAATTTCAATTCTATTGAGAGCAATTATATCCCTTTAAATTTTATGTGAAGTCATAAAAGGCGGGAGGAAAAGAACTGGCTAAAACAAAATGGCAAAAGGGCCTCAGAAATCAATATTATTTTTGGAATAAATCCCATGGACTCCTGTGAAAGAAAACGGTGGTCAATTTTCTTATGGCGGAACACTTTGCCTTCTCACTGGTAGGGAGACAAGCAATTCTGGCCCCTGGCAGGAACTAATATCCCACTTCTCCCATGAAGCCTTCTAAGACTACCCAAATTACCCTGCCACTCATATAGCACTTAAGAGACAGTATACCACGTTTTATAGCTATTCTGTCAGGGTCCCTAGAGAAAAATCTTTATTTACCTGGAGGTAATATAGCATTGTGGTTAAAAATCAAGACAAGAATCAAAGAAGGTTGGTCCAATGGTAGTGGGTTATCAGAACTTATTAACAGTGTCACTAAAGTTGGTATACAAAACCCACTGCTAAATTTGGCTTTTTATTTTTTAAAAGGTTTTTTATTTTAAAAAGGTTATTTATAAAAAAATAACAAAATTTTAAAAAAGAATAAAAGGAAACAACAACAGCTACATAGTGCCAGCTACTGTTCTAAATGCTGAAACATTTGTAACGTGTTTGTTAACATATGTTAACATTCAACGTATAAAAGTCTACTAATCTTTACAACAACTCTAAGAGGTAGGTACAATTATTTAGAAATAAATAGCAGCACAGAGAGGGTAAGTAACTTGCATTAAGCCTCAGAGCTATAAATAGTAAGTGCCAGGTCAGAATTTGAAACTAGGCATGCCCCTAACCTCATACCTTTAATCATTATGGAGCCTTAAGCCCTCCATTACTTAGCTGTTATAATTTGATCAGTTCAGCTCCACACCCAATGGGTCAGAAATAGTGTTTGGCATCCAGGCACAGGGCAGGAAAGTTGATCTGAGAGCAACCTGGGCTCCAGGCCTGGCTCTGAAACTGATGCCTGACCAGACCTGTGAAAGGTCATTGTCTCTTTGAGCCTCAGTTTCCTATTCTGAAAATGAAGGGTTGGACCTGATGGTCTCTAAGGCCCTTGCAGTGCTGATGTTTTATGAGCCTGGGGTTCCTGGCTCAATTCCTTGCAGCCCAGACCATACTGGCTCTTCCTGGGCCAGGTCTGGCCCCTCCTGCTGGGCTCAGTGTCTTGCATTTGGCTCTGCTTCTCACAAATAAAAGAAAAAGAACAACGGGAAATATCCTCCTGAGAGACTGGGAGGGACCCCATGGCTGCTCTGTATGCTTTGAAGCACTCACACTCATTAACCAGAGAGAACTACCTGCCAAGTGAAGGATGGAAAGAAACTAGACTAAGGGGAGAAATGAACTCACAAAACCTGGCTACATCCAAATTAAAAGGGCATCTCTGAGCACTTAAAGAATTGACAATGTTATTGCAACAAGATGTGCCAGTTTCTTAAAGAAATGAAGACAGGATCAGCCAAGAAAACCATAATGGATCAGAGAAGGCAGGACAAACCTGAGAAACTATGCACCAACTAAGGTTATTATTACTTTTTTTTTTTTTACCACGCCTGGCTAATTTTTTGTATTTTTATTAGACACGGAGTTTCACCATGTTAGCCAGGATGGTCTCGATCTCCTGACCTTGTGATCCACCCGCCTCGGCCTCCCAAAGTGCTGGGAGTACAGGCGTGAGCCACCGCGCCTGGCCCAACCAAGGTTATTTACAGCCTGGGAAGAGGATGAAATAAGTGAGAGACAGACATGTCTGCCTCCACTATCCCACCATGAACTCTTCCAGGGCTGGTGCTCTGTTTCAGGAATGTATGCATCCCAGGAACTGTAAAGGCATTAGGGTTCAGAATCTGCCAACATCAACAGAGAACCTACTAGGTGACACAGCTATTTGTATCAGAAATGTATTTTTTATAATATTTTAGAGATGAGGAGAGAGAGTCTATAGAGACCTTGATTCCAGTTCTGGATCTTCCATCATTAGCTATGTAAACCTGTTCAAGTAACTTCACCTGTCTAGGGCCTTGGCCAGTTTATCCATAAAGCAAGGGACTGAACGTGATTATAGAAGATGGGCCAGGCCAGACACCATGGCTCATGCCTATAATCCCAACACTTTGAGAGGTCAAGGCGGAAAGATCACTTGAGGCCAGGAGCTTGAGACAAACCTGGGCAACAACGTGAGACCCTACCTCTACAAAAAATATATATATATATTTTTGATTAGCCAGGTGTGGTGGCACGAGCCCATATTCCCAGCTTCTCAGGGGGCTGAGGCAAGAGGATTACTTGACGCCAACCTGGGCAACAAAACAAGACCCAGTCTCTACAAAAAAAATTTTTTTAATTATCCGGGCATGGTGGTATGCATCTATAATCCCAGCTTCTCAGGAGGCTGAAGCAGGAGGACTGCTTGAGCCCAGGAGTTCCAGACTGCAGTGAGCTATTATTGAACCACTATACTTCAGCCTAGGTGACAGAGCAAGACCCTGTCTCTAAAGAAAAAATAATAATAAAAAATTTTTAAAAAAGATGAGCTAGCTCAAGAATCTATAGTTCGTAAAGTTACCAAATAATTATTTTATATTCATGTAGAAAAGCATTCACCTGAATTAATTTAATGTCTTCATATTTTAGGCCATTGGAACTCAACAGACTCCACTGTTCTGAGCATATAATGTATGAATCCAAGAAAAAAAAATCGAAGTTTTGGGCTTCAGAAGCTCTTCTGCTTCTGTTCCATGTGCTTCTAGCTAGCATGACCATGTGGGGCTGGGCAGGTTGTGCCCTGTAGAAGGGCATCTAGCCGAGGAAGGTGGAAGAGACAGGGCTAAATTCCAATCTGCCCTTTGGCATGAGCTTTGTGCCCATGAGGCTCAGTCCAAACCAAAGCTGCATTCTGAGTTTGTGAGTGCCTCTGAACTGTCCATCAACACTGAAGAGAGCCATGGCCAGGACTGTGAAGCAACGGCCAAGTCTGTGTTCAAGTTTGTGTTTTGTATACAAAACATATAGTTTTACCTTTGCTTAAAATATTTCCAGACATCTCCTTTCACCTCCATTCAGTTTTTAAGATCTCTAATAAAACCAATCCTGTCCTTTATAATCACATGTCAATATGGACCCAAACCACCATTAGCCAGGATGCTTGAATGGATTGTTTCTAAAAATCTCAATCCAAGGGTTGAGACATTGTGCATAATGGCAGCATAAATGGAAAGTGGGGACAACCTTTCAAGGTGATTCCTTGGAAAGGGACATTATTTAGCTGAGCAAGACCTGGAGTTTAAATCTATTTCATTACTTTCACATTTCCAAAACATGGTAGCTACTAAATGTACTCGGCAAAAATACAGAAAAATAAAAACTCTGAGAAAAACAGTCACTGGATTCTCAGGGCATCTAATGTGTTTTCTTTGCATGTAGATGGTGATTCTTTGCCACCACTAGCAAGTCATTCATTTTGAGGCTCCTGACTTTTCTAGCAACCAATTAGATTTGCACTGGTTCATTCACATTCTTTTTCCTTTATGCTGTGATCAATAGCTACCAAGACCATTCATTCTGGATTTCCTGGGTCAGTCTCAATTTCAAATATTCTGCCCCTCTTTCCTCTGAATAAAAAGTTCCCAATTTTTTGTTTGGAAAATATGGTCACCATAATAATGGCATTCTCCTCACAAAAATATTAGTCAGGCCAGAGTCATACCATCATTACACTGCCCATATTTGGTTTGTGGCCATCAAAAGGAGAACTGGCTGGTTCAACCAGGGTCTGAAGCCATTTTCTTGGTCTCATTAAAGAGACAAATAATGCATTTGCTATTAAACAATTTAGAACTCAAATAAACTTTCCCCTTGTCCTGGAAGAGAGTTTCTCAAGGCTAAGGAGTTACTATCTGATGGAAGGGTACAAAAATCTGGAAAAAATGAAGCTATGGGGCTTTCCAACTGCCAAACTCCCACAGGCTGGCTCCCAATGCACATCACACTCACTATTAAAGTGTCACCATTTATAATTTGGTGCTAAATCTTTCTGAAGCTAAGCTACTCAGCATGGTCTACCAACAAATTGATTCTCTATTCCTTATTCTATTAAAACATAGGGATAAAATGAAGTAGGTGTTGGTGATAAAAGTTATCTAATCTCAAGTTGAAAATGAAGTTATTATTCATTCATGCCAGCACCCTGAAAGGCAAACCAAAGCGTCGGGTTTCCATAGCGGGTTCGACTGCGCTTGCAGCATTTATGAAAGGAAAACAGGGTGCCTCTGGTTTTGTTTTGTTGCCTCCTCTGTAGTTTTGTGTCTGTTTTTCCTCCAGGTGCCTCACTCTGAATCCTTTAGAGCATGGAGTAAGAGGAGAAAAGTTATACTTGCAGGGAGGTTTAAATAGTGTTTGCCAAGCACTTTAATATACAACACGCTTAGATCTTTTTCCTACCGCCTCACAACCTTGTGAAGTAGGTGAAAACTTCATTCTAATGGTGTGATTATGGAAAGAAATGCTACTGAGTCATGTCTTTCATACTTAGGTCGGTTGGTCAGAACCCTGAGAGATCACAGAAAACTAAATTAAAATGGAAAAATACTAACATACGTTGCCAGTATTTTTGGGTATCTCAGCATGATTGTGAATAAGCTATAGATTCTGACTCAAGATGTGTGCAGTTTGCTTTGGACTTTGCTCTTGCTTACTTACTTATAAAACTTCTTAACTGTACTTCTAAATTATAGCAATTCTGTAAAACATTCAAACCTTGGGGCTTGGTTTCCTCCTCCTAGCAGGCTGAGTCATAAAAAATAAATCTTAGCCATTTCAATAGACAACACACCCCTCGCATTAAGAATTGGTATTGTTCCCTGCATCTCCCATTTCATCCAAAAGTCACACCCAGTTCACATTTGAAGAAAAAAAAGAGCTCAGGGACTCATCCAGCTCAACATTTGCACATTTAATAAGAGAACAGAATTTCTGCCAAGTTATAGGGGTAAGTTGCATCAGAATCTTCCAGAGGAACTTAGGAGCAGTTATGAGTATGGACTTTAGAGGTAGCCAGACCTGGGTTCAAGTGCTAACATGGTGTGACATTGGTCACACAGGACCCAATGAAATGGGGGTGTTTAACCTCATAGACAGTCGCCATGAGAATGAAAGGAAAGAAAAGATAAAAGACAAGACATCTGGGAAGCCCAGTGTAAGACACAGAAAGCATCCAGCCAGTACTTACCATCTTACTTCTACAGACATTTCCAGGCTTAGCCAAATCCTCTGCCCTTCTACTACACAGCGTCAGGGAGTGAGTCACAAGATTCATTCCAAATCAAACCTCAAGGAGGCATTGCTGAGGGAGGTAGAATACTCAACCTGAAACTCAGGGTCAGGATTTAAATCAGGAAGCCACAGACTGGCACAATTTTAGACTTAAGAGGAAGTGTTAATTTATAATTTGTTAAATTACTATATGCAAATTATAGACACAGTGCCTGACATACAGCAGGCAATGAATACATGTCTGCCCTCCCTCTTTTTTTAATACTGAAAAATACCTAAAATTCTCGGCCCTAAAGTGACTTGCTCAAGTCACACAAGCAGCCAATGGCAGAGCTGGAATTAGTACTTGGCTCTTTTTAGAAGAGAGGGGTGCTGTTTCAGGTCTCTTACCAAAAGTATTGGTGTCAAATGGTTTGAAGGAACTAGACAAACACCTTCCAAACCCCAGGAATGAAATGATCTCCCCAACTTACAACGACAGCATGCTGTCCCTATCCCTCCACCACCATGTCCATCCCCGAACCCCCACTGACAGAAGCTAGATTCCCTCCAGTCCATGTGGAAAATTCTGTCTAGGAAGCACTGGGGGTTCTGAAGAGCAGAGACAGAGCTCTGGGGTCTTGAGATCGGGAGGCGTGTTTCCTTCTTGGCCCACTGAAGCACACAGCTGTCTCAGGTGTTCCCTTGTAAGCAAAAAGGATCCAGAAACTTTCTCAAGGGTTCTAACAGCCAGTTGAAATGGGGAGCCAGGGACAAGGAGATGCAAACATGACCTTTCAGGCCAAGTCTGGGGAGATGACAAGCATGGATTGCTGGGTTTGCAGGACTGAAAAAGATCCTTTCAAATTTCAATGGAAAATCCTGATTCCGTCCTACAGGTATTGCACAAAAGAACTGGTTCCAAGCTCTGAGGGTCAGGCGGAGGACAGCTAACAAGCCTGCAGTAGTTCTGGGGAAGGAAAGAAGGAGACAGCAGAAGTGGGTGGAAACCGCCCTTCTTCATTTATAATTCAAAGAGTCATTCGAGAAATACATATTGAGCACTGACTGTCAGAAACTCTGGCCTAGGGTCCAGGGTGGGAGTTGGGGGCTGGCAGAGAAGACCACCAAGAGAAAGTGAAACTAAGCTCAGGCCTGAAAGCTGAATGGGAGTTAGCCAGGTAGCGAGGGATGTTCTAAGCCAAGGATAGGCAAAGGTTTCATGTAAAGGACAAGATAACAAATATTTTAGTTTCTGCAGGTCAT
The DNA here is from genome assembly GCF_000001405.40 of Homo sapiens. Classification (NCBI taxonomy): domain Eukaryota; kingdom Metazoa; phylum Chordata; class Mammalia; order Primates; family Hominidae; genus Homo; species Homo sapiens. The sequence continues at coordinate 94,040,995 of NC_000010.11, read as the reverse complement.
ACAGTGTCTGTTGTGGCTATTTAACTCTGCCATTAGAGGGTAAAAGCACCAACAGACAATACATAAAAGAATGAGTATGGCTGTGCTCCCTAACCCTTATTAATGAGCAATACAATTTCAATTCTATATAATTTTCATGTCATGAAATAGTATCCTTCTTTTGATTTTTTTCAACCATTTAAAAATGCAGAAGCCACTCTTAGCTTTTATTTTACAAATATCTGTATTGATGTACCTGAGGGTTCAGTCAAGGTCATTCCTGAACTAGGAAGATGGTATTCATTTCTAAACCACAGACTCTCTTAGGCCCTTGTACCAAGGCTAGGACTAGAGTGGGACAAGGGAGCTGCCCAGCACTCACAATTTAAGGAGGCACTCACTAAGAAGTATATGGGTGGCACTTCTGAGACCCTGAGAGAAGGTGCACAAGGGTGAGACACTCACTTGTCTCACCCTAGTGATGGCCCTGCTTGTACCTGTGCATAACGGAGTGCATTATTGTGATGTGGCGACCTCTTCCTCAACCATCACTGTGTTGGATGATGTCCTTGTGCCCAAGGTTGTGGACTGACAATCTCATTCCCAGCCACTGCTCTGGGGTGCAGAGTTTGGATAATAAAAAAAACAATTTAGATAACAACATTTAGGCAGAAAGGGAGGAGGGAAAAAAAAGAAAAGCTATGCAGACTGGAGTTTGGGAGAATCTGGAGAAGTTGGAAAATTTTTAAAATCACATTTGGAGCCAGGCACAGTGGCGCATGCCTGTAATCCCAGTACTTTCGGAGGCTGAGGCAGGAGGATCAGTTGAGGCCAGAAGTTGGAGACTAGCCTGGGCAACATAGCAAGATCTTGCTGCTACAAAAAAAATTTTTAATCATATTTGAAAGTTGTTGCTGGTAGAATAATGTGAGAAATATTGAGAAGGAGATGAATGTCCAAGGGACATGTTTAACAAGCTCCACTGTAAATAAAATTGTAAACCTCCTTTGCCACTTGCCTGATCTTCATTCATATATCTATACCTATACATATATCTAAATCTATTTTGCAAACCACATATCTGATAATGAACTTATATCCAGAATATATATCAAAAATAAAAAAGACAGCTCAATTTAAAAATGGGCAAATAATTTGACTAGACATTTCTATGATATACAAATGGCTAAGAGCACATGAAAAGATGTTCAGCATCATTTGCCATCAGGAAGATGCAAATCAAAACAATGAAATATCAGTTTACACCCACTAGGATGGCTATAACCAAAAGACAGACAATAAGAAACACTGTTCAAGATGTGGAGAAATCAGGCTGGGTGTGGTGGCTCACGCCTGTAATCCCACCATTTTCGGAGGCCAAGGTGGGCGGATCACCTGAGGTCAGGAGTTTGAGACCAGCCTGGCCAACATGGTGACACCCTGTCTCTACTAAAAATATAAAAATTAGCTGGGCATAGTGGCACGCACCTGTAATCCCAAATACTCATGCCTCAGGTTGAGGCATGAGAATTGCTTGAACCCAGGAGGCAGAGGTTGCAGTGAGTCTAGATTGTGCCACTGCACTCCAGCCTGGGCAACAGAGCAAGACTCCGTCTCCGGGAAAAAAAAAAAAAGATATGGAGAAACTAGAACCCTTTTGCATTGCTGGTGGGAATGTAAAATGTGCAGCTGCTTTGGAAAACAGTCTGGCCATTCCTGAAAAGATTAAACAGAGTTATCATGTGACCCAGCAATTCCAATCCTGGGTATTTATCCAAAAGAAATGGAAACTATGTCCACACAAAAACTTCTGCATGAATGCTCACAGCAGTATTATTCATAATAATCCAAAAGTGGAAACAACTCAATGTCCAACAATTGATGAACAGATAAATAAAATGGGGCATAATCATACAATGAAATATTATTCAGCAGTGAAAAGTATGAATATTGATTCATGCTACCGTATAAATGAATATTTAACCTTGAAAAGATTATGCGAAGTGAAAGAAGCCAGTCACAAGACCAAACAGTATGAAAGTCCATTCATATGAAAGTCCAGAATAGGGAAATCTATAGAGACAGAAAGTGGATTAGTGGTTCCTTAGGGCTGGGGGAGAGGCACAGGATGGGGCGATAGAGGGTGATAGCTAAAAGAAACAGGGTTGCTTTTTGAGATGATGAAAATGTTCTAAAATTGACTGTAGTGATGCCTGCACATATCTGTGAACATATTTAAAACCACTGAATTGTATACCTTAACTGGGTGAATTGTATGGTATGTGAATTATACATCAATAAAGCTGTTAAAAAAAATAAGAAGACACCAAAGCATTTCTCCTCCCCTTCAAGGAAATCTGCTATTGTGTTTCAAAGGACTGGCTTTCCCTATCCTTGAACAATGATAGCATGACTTTGTATTGCTGAAGGCTGAGGAGGTTTTCTGCTGAGCTTTCTCAGGGTTTGAGGAGTGATGGCCTAAATAAGAAGGAAGGGTTTGGGGTTCCTTGTAAGGGACTGAGCCTTGGGGTTAGGGGTTCAGGGTTCTGGTGCCTGAGCTCTAGAAGACCTATATTTAATGTGAAGCTCTGAATGTGTTTAAGCAAGCCACTAGAATAAAGAACCACTGAAAGGGGCACCATTTGGTTGTCATGGTGCCAGAAAATAAGCCCAGCACCGCTGTCTAAGAACAGCTTTTGAGAGAGGGCGCTGTCTGAGCCACCAGTTAGTCTAGTCGTGGGGGTCAGTGGGTGCACCTCCCCCCACTGATGCTTCAAATCCTTGAATGCTGAATCATTTGATCAACAGGGTGGAAACCTCCTCTCTAACCCCAGGACTCCCTTAAGCTCAGAAGGGGCCACTTCTATGACTCGTGACTTTTCAGAGGTCATTCAAAGGGCAGCTTGAGTCTCTGGTCTGCAAAATACAGGTTGTGGAGCAGATCAGGGTTTCACCAGATGGTTTTATCCTTGCCCACTGGATCTAATTCTTTTCAGGCCACATACTACCACGGCCCATTTTCAGGGATGGGGCCTCTCCAGCTGCTAATTCCCATTATGTAGGACATCTAGGGAAAAGAAAAATAATAATAATCCTAATGCTGATACTGTCCAAAGAATACTATGAGAATAACAGTGGCCACCAGTGCATTTACCTTACACTGGAATCCAGAGTCAAGGTTTTTCATTCCCGCTCTTACCAAATCTTAGCCAAAGGGCTGGTATAACTACAGAGATGCGGGGGGACATTTATCCTATAGTGCACCAATGCAGCTAATAAGGGAAAGCAGTCCAATCATCACAAAGCTGGACTCTGACAGCCATCACATTTTCCACTGAGGCACTAGACATGACTAAACTGCACAGGAGCTGAGAGGAAGCTGGATTCCCTTTCACTGTGCCCAGCAGGAAGGGGCCAGCATCATCCTATACCCATGTCATCAACCCATCACTACCCTTCGTAATGAAAGAGGCAGCCTGGCAAATCACCAAGCACAGGCTTCCAGCTAAGCCTAAGCACCCCACGAAATTTTAATTGTCTCAAGGTCCAAACTGTACCCTAGCTCCAGGGCAACCAAATTTCCAGACCAGAAAACAAGACATGTTGCTATCTCAACAGCAATCCCTTACAACATTGAACAGTGGGGCTCAATGGATATTTTATCATCCATAAAAATTACAACTCAGAAGATGAATTTATTAGCGGTTGGTCCCTTTGCACACAACAGACATTATCTCTCCCCTAAGGTTCAGGTCTCTTCAATTTGAAAGAGACAAAATATAGAATCAAGGACATGTATACCAACAAAGGCATTTTTGTGAAACACTAAAAAAAAATTGCCTGTTAGGTTTAATTTTCTGTTCTTGAGAGTAAAGTATGAAGAAGAAAGGCAACTTTTAAAAGGAAGAAAGCAGAATAAGAAGCAGCAATACAGAAGCTGCTTTTGACCTTCCTTTTTAAATTATAGCTTTTCTAGACTGATGTAAAATTTTTTTATTCAATCTTTACATTTTTATTCTTTGTTTTTTACTCTTTAGTGTATCTGAGTTTTTTTTCTATTTTGTCATACATATTCTTGTACAGTAAATCTTGTGGAACAAAGAAGGGAAATAAGTAAAGTGATAATACAGGAGCCAGTGGAATTTCTGCCCTGGCACCTTCACATTCTCTGAGTGCACGTGGATCTCAGGTTACATGAGCAATTCCAGCAAGGCAGAAGCAGAAACTTCTTGTACTTCACATTCAAGATAACTATATGTATCTAAACTCCTCAAAATTCAGGCAGGTTGAGAATTTTTTTTTAAAGGAAAAACACCCCTAACCAATCTTTAGCTTGGAGACTTTAGCCACCCATCAAAATATCCTGTCTTATTTCAGAGCAGGAGAGAGGGAGTATGACTGTAACTGGATAAGGGATAGGGTTTTAATTTCTTATGAGGAGGAGAAGGAGGATACCAGTAGTTAGTATGTCAGCAAGCATTAATCTTCATTAATGTTTTCCATTCAAAGCCAATCTTCTCTACACAGCTGTGCAAATATAAATTAAATGGGTCATTCTGACCAAGGTATCCAAGAAAAAAAAATGTTTAATGTGAGGGCCAAGGAATTAATTGTACAAACAGCACATTCTTTAAATGTGTGGGAAGGATTGTTCAAACTACCTCATTATAGATTGAGAAACATGAATTCAAATTCATACCACTGTAAACATCCCTGAGTGAGAAGACACACAGCAGAAGGTGGTGGAAATGTGTTCTCGACAAAGCATATCCACAGTGGCCAGAGTGAGCAGAGCAGCACTCACTCCTTGCTAGAACTGTGTGGTGGGTAGCATCTCATTTAACGCCACAATAACACCATTATTCTCAGTTTATAAAAAAGGTAATTAGAAACAAAGAGGTCAAACTGTGTACCAGAATTCACATGGCCAGTCAGTGATGGAGTGAGGGTCACAATTTAAATTCAGGTCGACTGACTCCAGAGACTGTATTTGTAACCATTACATTGCCCTTATTCTCTGTATACTTGGCATTATGCTTGCATTATGGAGAGTAAAATAATGCAGAACTTATTTCTTGTCCTTAATCGATTTACAATCTGATTGAGGAACCAGAACGGACACATATGTAATTACCAAAACACAGGAAAAGGAGCATATCATTAAGATCCGCATCTTTGAAGGAAGTAATTCATAGGAGCTGGGAAAAACTAGTTATAATTCACCTGTGCAACTTTTGAGAATTTCTACCAGATTCTAAACTAAAAAACAAGATATACAGAACACCATACCTTAGAAAATACTGATTCATTGCTGATATGGTGTGGTTTGAATATTCAGAAAGGGCCCCCCCTTTAGAAATCTCCCTTAAGAAAGGACAGGACAACCAGCCTATTCCCCAGCCGCATCTTAATGGTTAATAAAAATGCCAATAGCCTCCTCCAAGCCTGCTCAGACCAAGGGGATAAAAGTTCCTGGAGTCTACTCTGACAGGTGTGGCAACCTCTCCCAGCCTCCAGAGACTAAGAAGCAGGGAAGAGACAATTTGCATCATCCCTTTTGTCCTTTTCAATTAGAAATTAACCATCCCAGGCCTTTGATGAACAAGGGCAGGTTTGAGCTGGGGACCAGTGAACAAGCTCAGAAGAAACAGCAGCAGGGCTATAGAAAAGAAGAAACTGGAGGAGGGTATAGGCATACCAAAAATTATTCTGAAATTTACACCCGATTCACAACCCTCATAGGGAAACAATGATAAAGGTTCTAAAGCAACCTATTTCCATTCACTTTGCTATATTTAAATTTCGATTGTGCTCTTAATGTTCGAGTGTACATGATTTTTTAAACCACTGCATTTTTAACTAAGATGACACGTTGCTCTCAGCAGCAGTTTCATGGCAGGGAGATGCTGTGCAAGTCATCTAGTGCTGAGCAGGACAGGCATGCTGGTGAGGGGCTCCTTGTCTGTGACTCAGGTTTCATGTGGAATCAGGTCAAGAGACACAGAAACACATCCTTAGACACTGGCTGGGGTGAGTGGTCAACTGTATAGAGAAGGACCTGCAGGCTTTCACTTTTCAGGCAGGTTCCCAGGTCAGCCCAAATGTTCCTAAGAACCCAAGCAGTGTCTTTTTTAGGGAAAGGCAAATATTCCTGAAATGTCCTGATCAAAAAGCAAAGAGCTCTGTTTAAACTCCTAGCCAATGGTTCCCAACTCCATAGAATCTATAGAATCACCAAGGGAACTTTGAAAAAAATATTCATGCTGTGCCCTACCCCAGTGATTCTGATTCAAAGGGCCTGAGGAGGGGTCTGGACAGTGACTGTGACGTGTAAGCAGGTTTACAATCACCATACCTAACATGGCCAAGTCTGAGATACCGTGAGCATCAATGAATGGGGTCACTCAATCAACAGATGCTGAAACGAACAGAATTCTTCCGTTCTTTTAAAAGCTTCCTCTGAATTTTATTCCTTTCTGGATCTTAAGAAACCACCTAGGAGTGTCAGCTGCCTGGATTAAATCTTAGTTATTTCACTTACTAGCTAAGTAACCTTGATGAGGTACATAATTTCTCAGGAAATCAGTTTGCTTAGCAATAAAAGTGTTAATTATCATATCAAAATCCTAAGGTAGTTAAGATGATTGTACAACATGGAATATGTAAATTATTTAGCCCAATATCTGGCATTTGTTGAATGCTCAATAAATGTTAGCTACCCTGATTGATGACTCAAATGGTTGGGCTGTGTCCCTACCCAAATCTCACCTCAAATTGTAATAATCTCCATGTGTCAAGGGCAGGGCCAGGTGGAGATAATTGAATCATGGGGGCGGTTTCCCCTATAGTTTTCTCATGGTAGTGAATAAGTCTCATAAGATATGATGGTTTTATACATGGGTGTTCCCCTGCACATGATTTCTTGCCTGCCACCATATAAGACATGTCTTTGCTCCTCTTCTGCCTTCTGCCATGATTGTTTGGCCTGCCCAACCATGTGGAACTGTGAGTCCACTGAACCTCTTTTTCTCTGTAAACTACCCAGTCTTGACTATGTCTTTATTAGCAGCATGAGAACAGACTAATACAATGATGATGATGATGATGATGATGAAAGTAAAAATATAGCACTTATATTTCAATAAAAATGATGTTTCTCTAGACCAGGTGCTTATTTCTAGGGTCAGGTTTTAAAGGACTTATGAAAAATTGGAATGTGAGAGTTCTAGAAACAGTTTCACATAGAGAATGACTGAAGGAAGCAAGAGTTTTCAGGATAAAAAAATCCAAGATGGCACATGGCACTGTCCTCAGATGTACAGATAAGGTCTGAGAGCAGGCAGCCTGATCATGTGTATTTCCAGAGCAGGATTCTTAAAGAGGGGAGACTGTGGATAGAATTCAGAGGACCTGGAAATCTGGTTGAGGAAAAAAAAGTGATTCATTATTTTCATTAATCTCAAAAAGGAAATTTAGCATTTCCTTTAATTCTGAATATAAGCAACAAACTTCAGTAGTAGTAATAGTAACTGTGATCTTGTCACCAATAGAAGTCACAGATATTTCCATATCCTATTACAGTTGTGATAGATATCCTAAAATGTTATTGATATTTAGGGTGATCGACTGCTCTGGTTTGGTCTGAAGGGTTTTCCAGGACATGGAATTTACAGTGCTAAAATTGAGAAAATTTCAAGAAATCCATACTATATATACATAAGTATATATACATAATCCAATATATGCATAAGTATACAATCTATACTTATGAATATAAGGACTTATATTCATCACTACAATTATCCCTCAATAGCTCAGAGGAACTGGTTCCAGAACTGCCCCCTACCCCCTCGAACACCAAAGTTCAAGAATGCTCAAGTCCCTTATGTAAGATGGCCTAGTATTTGCATATAACATACATGCATCTTCCCGTATACTTTAAATCTTCTCTAGATTACTTAGAATACCTTATACTATGTAAATAGTGTTACAGTGTATTAGATTGTAAAATCTGTGTTATTTTTTATTGTTATATTGTTATTTTTTGTTTCTTACAAAAATATTTTCTATATGCAGTTGGTTGAATCTGTGGATACAGATGAGGGCTAATTCTATTTTGAAATTATGATAGTTATCACATAACTAGATATTATTATTAAATGTATTAATAAAGAAGCACCTAAATTGTCAGGTTAATTTAAAAAAATCATGATAAATGTATATCCGCATAACTTGTCCTTTATGATGATTTCTATTTCATCTGATTCATTTAAAAACATCATTCTGAATCCATAGGTTTCATCACTTTGCCAAAGGAATCCAGGGCATAAAAAAGTTTAAGAGGGAAGGAAGTGGGGCCATTAGTTGGAAAATGAAAAAAAACAGAATTAAGTTCTGTTAGGTCTGGAGACCTAAAAACAATAATGAACTACACCATAGAACAGGACCCAGGCATTTATCTCAAAAGAACACAAACAGATAAGCAACAAATGGAGCCATTTTTCCACTACCAGGAAATCTCCCTAATTCCTCCACTCCCAATAACATTATTTTCTGACACACTTTTATGTTGTTGCAGTATCAACTCAATCTTGATAGCTATCAATTGGAGTATCTGTTTTCAATAACCACAAATGCTTAACCTAAGAATCATAATTTGACAGATCTTAAAATTTCTCATCAATTATGACAATGGAAATTTGGACTTTTTTTTGAAAAAAAAAGCAAGTTTAAAGAAATGGTAAAAAGAAACTCAAATGCTTACAGGATACCACTGGGCTTCTGACAGACGTTGGCTCCCATCTTGCCTTATCTCCACTGTTGACGGGGGTTCCATTACTCTCCCACAAGGCAGTAAGGGACCATTTCTCTTCTGATCTATGTAACTCCATGCAGTCAGCCCAATGTGGCCAGAAGGCAGAGTTCTCACAATTGCTCTTGTTCCAGTATACACAGATTTCTTAACTTCTCTGTCATTTTTACAGAATCTCCTGACTAACAAAGTGGATCGCTCCTTTTTGCTTTTAAAAGCGTCTTCTTCTACATCATCACAATTATCAGGGAAGTCCTCAAAATGGCTCAAAAAGGTCTTGGCAGCTTGACTGTCAGTAAAGTCTTTCCTACAAAAGCTATCACCTGAATATACCATGTCAACCTTCTCACAAGAGCCTTCAAAGCAAAAGTATTTATCATTCAAGGTGTCACAATGATCACACTGCAGCTGCTCATTCTTATTATCACAATTTTTGGCCAATTCCATCAGTTTACAGGTATATGCCACATAGTTTTTCTTTTGCTTCTCCTCACCCCCAGGTAGTGGTACACAATTTCCACAATCGTCTAAAATTAAGTTTTCTGATAGGGTACAGAAAGTGTCTGACATTCTTCTGTCAACTTCATAATGAAAATGAAATACTGCCCTTCTGCTGTCAGGGTGTGCTCTGCCTGTCTCTATGATCACTGACTGATTTCCTAAAGGACTAATGCCCATGGAAGGTCTGTCTAGTTCCAGTTGAATTCCAGGGAACACCTTTCTTTCCAGTGGAGAAGGAATTCCAGTTTCTAAACACAAGTCTTCCTCAGCAACAGAGTTGTACATTTCATAAAATTGTCTCTGAGGAAGGCCATGCTGATGGTTTCTCAATATGTTGTTGCAGTTAATGTTAAGGTTTTTCGCAGAATCTGGCATGATTTTCTCCCAACATTTTTCATTACTGTTCTCATCACTCACTATTTTCTCCCTCGCTATTGAGAGAATCTTTGGCAAGTTGCTTCCAGAAGGTTCTTCTTTAAGTTTGTTCAGTTGTGAGATGGTATGAGAAGTCTCCCCACTTCGTCTGACAGTATGTGCTTTTGAAATATTGATGTCTGAGACCTTTTCACTACTTTCATCTGCAGCCGACTGGGCAGAAACCACTTTTCTCTGAGTCACAGGTATGAGAACAGAAGCTGTCATTTCTTCAGAAGTCATCTTGGACTAACACACAGGTTTTGACTATTGCTCTATTTTTCCTCCCTGGTGATCATGTCAAGGTTTTAATAAAATGACTGATTATTACAACAATCTCAGATACACAAGTCCTCCCAAAGAACAAAGGGATAATTCCTTTCATTCAGGAGCATTAAGAGGCAAATAAATTTTCTTAGTTATAACTTCCTATCATGAATATATATTTTTTCTAGATCAGGGTTTTAAGGTGGTAGATCAATTTTCCTTCCTCTGTTACCTGAAGCAAAATTTTTTGAAGACTTTTACTCGGGATTGCACTCTGCAACTTCTGATCCATCACTGATTTGCAATGATTTTAAAATCCAGTTTGAATGATTCCTGTTTCCTGTAAGAAAAGAGATAATGTCAAACACTGTGGCACTCAGTGAGTTTTTAAAAAAATGATCTCACAATCCTAAGATACAGACAATTTTGAGAAAAAAGGTTTTTTTTTGCAATCAGAAGTTGGTTTTTATGTTTTTAGTATTTTTTTTTTATTTAATGTTTCAGAACTTCTGCTTCCAGCCAAAATGGAGTAACAAGGGCAAGATTTATTCATCCACCTTAAATAACTAAAAAGAAAATCAGAAAAAAACCCAGTGGTTTTCAGATATTGAACAACGAGCAACACAGACATTGATGTCTGAAAGAAGAAAAAAAAAAGAAGTGAGCCCTATAAATGCCCTAGCTTACTGCTTAGAAAGTTTCCAGGCAACAAGGCAAGGAAGGGAAACTCAGATAAAATCCAACAATTTACCTGAGTAGAAGAGAAATAGTTAAGACTTCAGGGAGGCCAAGGAAGCTAGAGAAATAAGGCACATTAAGCAAAGAGGCACAAAGATAAGAATGACAGCAGACTTTTAATCAGAAACAATGCAATCCAGAAGAGAGTGGACAAATCTTTAAAGTACTGAAAGAAAAACTACTGTCAACTTCAAATTCTATACCCAGCAAAAATGTCTTCTGCAAATAAAAATTAAGTAAAAACTTTTCCAGGCATATAAAGCTGAAATAACTTATCACTAACAAGCCTGCACTGCTTGTAACTCTGTTAGTAGAGAGAGGGAATCAAAAAAATTTCTATCCAATGTGGAAACACAATTATAAAGGATATACAAGGCACTATAGGACTAGAAGGTGCCCATGATGAGCATATCATTCCCTTCCAGGAGAAGCAGTTGCTCCCGAGAAAACTAATCAGCAGTCACGCTCTGCTGCCAACACCAGCTTTGCCTTGCCTTTGCTCTTTGACAAATAGATGTCTTTCTTCCCCTTGCTTCTCCCGTACCCTCTTTTCCCAAAGAGTCATCAACTACCCCTTAATCCCTTCTATATGTGTTCCCTCAAGCACAAACACAGCCTCAAGGGTGAGAGGCTCCCAGTATATTCATGTCTCTACAACTACTCTGAAAAATCACTGGAAACCCTAGAAATCATATTCTTTGCAGGGAATAAACCAGCCCACACAGAGCAGCAGTGTCCTAGCTCAACATCCTAACAAATCCTATCACACAGCAATAACTATTATCAATACTTTCAGAAACCTCCTTCCAGAACACTCCCTATGCATCAACATACATAGAGATATATGTGTATAACTATGCAAATACCAGATAATGTTGGTCATTCTGTTCTGTACCTGCTTTTAAAAATTCAAAGCACACCATGAACAACTTTTCAGGTCAAGATTATATAGATAATTTTAGTGGCATATGGCACTAACTTGAATTCAAATATCTGCTCTATTTTTTAAAGAGATTTTTCAGGCCAAAGCCTTCAGATTGACAGCTAATATGTCCTTTCTTACCCATGAGGTAAGCAATTCAAAGGAGGAGAAGGGGAAAACATTTTTGGTGATGCTTAGGTCCTGTTCTAAGGACTTTGTAATTATTGTTGTTATTATAATTATAAATATCATCATCATCATCATAATTTTGAGACAGAGTCCCATTCTGTTACCAGGCTGAAGTGCAATGGCACAATCACTGCTTGCTGCAACCTCTGCCTCCTGGATTCAGCAGTCACATACTGTTCCTTCTATCATATTCTATATGTTAGAAGGAATTACTAAGTATAACCCACATTCAAGGGGAGGGGAATTAGGGTCCACCTTTTGAAAGGAGAAATATCAAAGAATTTGTGGACATATTTTAAAACCAGCCTGGGTTCAAGTGATCCTCCCACCTCAGCCTCCCAAGTAGCTGAGACTATAGCACTGCGCTTGGCTAATTTTTGTATTTTTTGTAAAGACAGGGATTCACCATGTTGCCCAGTCTGGTCTTGAATTTCTGGGCTCAAGCGATCCTCCCATCTTAGCCTCCCAAATTGCTGGAATTACAGGTGTGAGCCACTGTGCCCGGCCACTTTGCAATTATTATCTTGTGTAATTCTCACTCAATACTACAAGATAGTGTGATGGTTTTAAAATATGTCCACAAATTCTTTGATACTCCTCTCTTCACAAGGTGGAGCCTAATTCCCCGCCCCTTGAATGTGGGTTATACTTAGTGGCTTCCCTCTAATGTATGGAATGTGGTAGAAGGAACAGTACATGACTGCTGAGAATCAGTCATGAAAGTCATTGGAGCTTCCTCCTTGCTACTCCTCTCTCGCATGCTCTGGGGGTAATCTGCTGCCATATTGTAAGAAGAGATCCCTGTGGAAAGTATGGAGGACTCTTGACAACACCCATGTGAGTGCGCCATCTTGGAAGCGGATCCTCCAGCTATAGTCAAGGCTTTAGATGATTGTATCTGCAACCTATATCTTGACTGCAACCACATGACAGACCCTCAGACAGATAAGCCTCGTCCCAAATTCCTGACCACAGAAACTGTGAGATGATAAATGTTTATTGCTTTGAGCCACTACATTTTGGGCTAATATGCTACACAGTGATAGATAACTAATACAAATAATTTCTGCTATCCACATTTGAAAGAGTAGAAACCAAAGCAAAGAAAAGCTAAGTGAATTGCCAAAGATCCCTCCACTGGAAAATGATTGAGACAGGATTCAAATCCAAGAAGACTGACTACAGAATCTCTTCTCTTAGCCATAGACTATGCTGTTTTATCTTCCATCTAGTCTGAAGCCCTATGGGTTTGGGTTTCTGATGTCTTCTAGCTATGAAGACCCATGGCTGCTAGGAGAAGCCTTTCATTTTTTATTTTTTATCTTATTTATTTATTTATTTATTTATTTATTTTGAGATGGAGTCTCACTCTGTCGCCAGGCTGGAGTGCAGTGGCATGATCTTGGCTCACTACAACCTCCACTTCATGGATTCAAGCGATTCTCCTGCCTCAGCCTCCTGAGTAGCTGGGACTACAGGCATGTGCCACCACGCCCAGTTAATTTTTTGTATTTTTAGTGGAGACGGGGTTTCACCATGTTAGCCAGGATGGTCTCGATCTCCTGACCTTGTGATCCGCCCACCTTGGCTTCCCGAAGTGCTGGAATTACAGGCATGAGCCACCAAGCCCAGCCAAGAAGCTTATCTTATATGTGGCTTTGTCTCTGGAAGGCTGAGGATATACACAGACATCGAAGCAATGGTCTTTGCTTTGCCTCCAGCTTACTATCATGAATCATGGATGAGCAACATTACAGGGAGCAGACTTTATAGAGCACTAGACTTGGTTCAATCTCAGACCATTCCTTTATTCAGCAAATATTTGTTGAGTACACAATTAAATAAGGCAGGGATCTTGTCCTGGATTTCCTTACCATCTGATAAGTCACCAAAGTACAGTGTAAATAGAGCTATAATCTGCATTAACACAGAGGAAGAACATCTAAAGCAGACAGTGCTGATGGGGTGGGAGTGATTTCCAGGGAGGGTTTCCTTCACAAGAAGACAACTCAGTTGAGTTTCAAAAGATAAGTAGGAAGTAGTTAGATAAACAGGTGGGGTGGAGTTTTCAGGGAAGAGCAAATATGGGCAGTCATAAAAAGAAAACAGTCAGACATTGGGGTCTGGTATCTCAGGTAAAAATTTTAACCACTTTGGGGTTTGATTTCTTCTTCTGTAAAATAGAAATAAAATCACCTACTCCATCAGGTTGTGAAGGAAATACTTTGAAATCCAAAAATTCAAGGCAAATGTTTATTATTCTATGCCTTGAAATATCTTGGTAAGAAAGAACAACCAAGGTCTGGCAGCTCTGTTGTATCAGTGAAATGGCATTGAATTTACTGTACCAGATACACACCCTTCACTAGGTCCACTCCAATTTTAATTTCAGTTCTATATCTGGGATCAACTCCTTAAATCTAAGCTGCATGATCCTGAGCTGATTAAATTATCAATTTTGAGATATACTTTCCACATCTATAATATTGAGATGAAATATATATATACATTTTGTATGTCAGCAGCAGCTGACCCATCAATAACTGTTAACTTTCTATTTACTCACTCTTGGTCAGCTCTAGGTTGTTTTTAAGGGAAGCTGGCTAGGTTAGGTTAGATTTAGAGTTATAGTGGCATTCAACTGTTGGCTAAAGATAACCTAAAGCACTGAATGAAGAACATAGTCTAGTGGGTTTGAAGAAGAAAAAGATGGAAAAAGGGATTCTTCTTTTCTTAGTGTGAACAGGTTTATGGGGGAGATTGGATAAGTGCCAGCCTGGGAGAGGTCAAAGGTTGTGTGGGCTAAAAATATGGCAGAACAAGAGGGTACCTGTCAAGATAGTATGTCCAATCTTGAGATATTTGGGGATAGGTAATATGACTAAAGAAATGACTGGCCAGGAAGTCGATCTATGGAGATGCAAGAATTGCTGGAAATTCTAGCCAAAGCATTAAGACAAGAAAAATAAATGAAAGGTATAAGCAGAATCAGGAGTGACAGGGTAAGTTTTCAGCTTCAGGAGAGGGGACTATGGGCCAGGAATAATCCTGTTGATGGGTGTTTTCATGGGCTAAATCAAGGGCTGGAAAACTACATACTGAGTCCCAAATCTGGTAAGCCATCTGTTTTTGTAAATGAAATTTTATTGGAACACAGCCACATCTATTTATTTATGTCATGTCTGTAGCTGCTTTTGCATTATAATAGTAGAGCTGAAAAGTGGTAACAAATACCATATGGTCTACAAAGCCGAAAATATTTGCCATCTGGCTCTTTACAGAAAAGTCTGCCAGTCCATGTACTAGATAAATAATGAATTAATGAAATGCATGGTTAGAGCAAGAAAACTATGTGGGAGGCTTGATAGCCATCTTTATTTATTTGAAGAATTGAGATGAGGAAATGGGCTCATCTCATATTCTTTCAAAAGGGAGGATCAGGACTAAGACATGAATTATAAGAGAGGTAAGCTTTGGATCCGTCTGATAAAGATTTCCCTAACTTTTAGAGCTTTTCAACAAAGGGTGGGCTATCTTGGATGATGGCCTTCTTTCAGTTACTGATAGATTTAAACAGAGGCACATTATTCAGCATCAGGGATGCTCAATATATGCTGAACAAATAAACAGAGAGAATTTAGAATGACAGAGTAAAAATGGATGACTGTATACCAAGGGTAATTATAAAAACAATGACCTAATACTGAGCATGTATTATCTATCAGGCATGTTCTAAGCACAGAATACATACTATCTCATTTAATCTTTACAACATTATCAGTAGGGTGGCAGAGACTCCTAATTTCCCCCCAAAATCTGTTCTCATTTCCTCAGTAGTAGAACCTCTGAATTTGACCTAAGCATATGGATATTCCTTTATTAGCCTCCCTTACAGCTAGATGTGGCCATGGGACTAAGTTACAGCCAAAGAGATATAAGCAAAGTGGTTTGCAATTTCTGGAAAGAGAGCTTGAAGGAATAGAGTCTGCCCTTTTCCTGCCCCTCTTTCTTCTGCTGCTGATTGGAAGAAAGGCATGATAGCCAGAGCTGGAGCAGCCATCTTAGATTGTGAGGTGAACATGAGAATGAATGTCATGTATAGGAAAAAAAAAACAAGATAGAAACCTGACTGCCTGTTTCCGGGACTTAGGGGAGGGAAAAAAAATTCTATCTTGTTTAAGCCACCATTGTCTTGGGTTTTCTGTCACTCACATCTAAATCTTTTCCTAACTAAAACTAAAAAGGTGGGGGTAGTATTATTATCATACCTATTTTAGGAATAAGGCTCAGAATGCTTGAATGACTTGTCCAAGAGTACAGAAGAGTGAAATAACAAGAAACCTCTATAGAAAATTCCTGCATTGGTGGGAAAGTTATAGTCACTAATTCCTAGAATGTTTCCAATTTTATTCTCCTAAGCCAAATGGAATTCTAAAGAATAGTTAAGTTAGAAAAATATGAAATACAAGCATATTAAAGGTGTTTAAAGGAGGTGTGACTTAACAACAATAACAAAAACTAATTTATCAGTTAACTGCCTATTGGTTAAGCACCTGTTGAATTCCATAGAGTTTAGAAGGTAAGATGGCTACAAACCAAGAGATCAGTAAAGTCTAATGATAGGGTATTTGAGCTAGGACTTTATAGTAAGGTAGTAATTACCTGTATTCATGAAAAGGAAAAGAGACTTTAGATAAAGGGAACCAGGTAACAAAAGACAAAGTAGGAAAACACAATGCATAACCATGAATTCATCTGAAGTCCTCAGAAGAACATTTCATCCAATCAAAGACAGTAAAAGTTACTCAGTAATTTCACCATCACGGAAAAGAGACACTAAAGTAACTGCCAAAACTGGTAATAGAATTTAATATCCCTATTTGCTTCTTTAGAGTTTTATAGAGTCCCTTTGAGTATCTGTATATAACAACCAACCAACATTGGTCAGTTATTTACTTATGCATTCTCTTCCCCAAGGCCCACTCAGCAAAGAGATTAAAGAAAACATTTTGCCTAAGCAATCCTTTCCTCCCTTTTCCCTTATCACGTGCACACGGTGCACATGGATTTAAGTGTGTATACACCCACATGCAAACCCTACATAATATGAGTCAGTCTTTACTTTTTCTTCTCCCGAATATCTGCTGCTCCACTCCTTCCTGACCTCCTTTCTCTGAACTATTATGATGAAAATTCCATAACTCACAAGGAAACAAACCTCTTAAAACATTCCCTAAAGGCACTGGTGTACTCATCTGAGTTCTTTTCCAAGACCACAAAGATTTAACCCTTTGTGCCTTTAACTCCCTTTATTAGAAAAGTTTCTGAGTCTGGAATGCAAGGCTCCAGACTCAAAAAACCCAGATACCCTAATCTTTATACTTTATGTATATTACATATTAGAAGTTGACTAATAAGTAGATGAGAAAGCTACACAAATATTTTTGAACTAACACATTGATAAGGCTGCCAATACAGTAAAATAGAGGATCACAAAAAAGTTTGTCCATAACAGGTTAATTCCCAATTGCAAATCTCACAAGGAAAGGAAATCTTCCCTGTAAAGACAGTCTCTAATCAGCGTGCAAATCATCATAACTCTCCCAGAAATATGGGTCATTGATGTTAGTAGAATGTAACTTTAAGCCAAGAGTGGAAGTGGATAGAATTGTGATGTTGTGATGCTCACAGGACTCCCTCTCCTTCATTGTATAATAATGTCAAGATTCTGGAGTTATGTGTGTGTGCAGGCATGCACAAACACACACAGATCTACAACTTTGATGATATGAAAAGAGAGAAAAGTGGGCAACACAAGATTTTAGATGGCACTAGACCCACCAAAAGTCAATCCTAGTCTATTTTTTCCAGCTTCATCTCTGGCCAACCCCCAAAGAAGAGTTATGCAGTCACATTGGATTTTGTGCAATTTATTGAATCAGCCTAGCACTTAATGCCTCTGTGCATTTCCCTTCCCACTATTTTCTAACTCTGTTGACTCCATCATTCAGCTTAAATGCCATCTTTGTTCTGCAGCCCTCCCTGACACCCACCTGTCCGCATTAATTGCTCTCATCTGTTTCCTGTAGCTCTTCCTACCTTCCACCACCACATCATGTCATGGCACATTATTTTGTAACTATTGATAATATAGGGCCCCCTCACAGATTGAGAGCCCCTGAAGAACATGCATCTTTAAACTGAAAGGGTTTTATAAATATGCTACACTTTACATTTCCAGCATAGTACCAAGACATATAGTTAGTCTTAATAAACATTTGACCCTTTCCTTTCCTTCCATGGCTATATGAGCCCAATCCTTGTCCATTAAGATCTGGATTACTTAAGGGCTTCCAGTCTCTGAAACTGACTTCCTTCTGTTTCAATCCATTCCATATAATTTTCAGAAAAATCTTCTCCAAACACTATTTTCATCATATCACTTTACCTGAGAAGGAACAGAGTTCCATCTAGTAGTGTGTTAAATCCAAACCATTTACCTTGATCAGTAAGAAAATCAATTTCTTAAAAAAAGGGGGGCCTATACAGACTCTGATAAGATTGGCTTAAATCAATATATCAATTCTGGGAAAAATAACATCTTAACTATATTTAGGCTTCTACTCTATAATATAGTTAGCCAGTGCTAGTACACTTTCTGCTTTCTCTCTCTACATGGATTTACATATATATTTATATATATATGCAAAGAAAAATATATATGCATATACACACATAGACAGACATATGAATACACACACACATACATATGTATATATGCATATCTTCTTTAATTTACCTAAGCAATGTTTTTTATTTATCTGTATAGAGGTCTACACATCTTTTGTTAAGTATGTTCCTAAATATTTTATGTTAGTGGTGGTCTTGTAAATAAAATTATCTTAAATGTTATTTTTCAGTTGGTTGTTGCTAATACACAGAAATACAATTGTTATTTATAGACAACATAAATTATAACCTTGTTAAATTCAATTATTACTCCTAGCAAATATTTTTTAGGTGACTTAGAATTTTCTACATAGACAATCATCTCATCTTCAAATAAAGTTGTACTTCTTTCTTTCCAAAGGTAAATCTTTTATTTATTTTTCTTGCCTTACTCTAGTGGCTAGAATCTTCAATTATGATGCTAAGTACTAAGAGCATACATCTTTACTTTGTCCTCATTCATATGGGGAAAATATTCAATACATCACTATTTAATATATTAGCTGTAGGTGTCTTAATAAATGCCCTTTACTAAACTGAAGATTTTATCTTGTGTTCCTAGTTTGCTGAAAATTTTTATCACAAATAAGGATTTTCCAATGTTTTTCTGCATTTAGTGAGATAATATGATTTTTCCTCTCTTAATAGGTTAACATCGTGAACTATATCGACTAATTTTTCAAATTGAAACAATCTAGCAAATTTGTGGAAAACATAAAGGCTTTAGAATGGTCAGAATAATTCTTAGAAGAGAGAAAAATTGGAGAAGTTAACCTAATTTCAAGATACTACAAAGCTCCAATAATCTTGACAATGTGATACTGGCATAAGGATAGAAATTTACATCAATGAAATAGAATATAGTCTAGAAATAGATTTACATATATATGGTCGATTGAGTTTTCAACAAAGGTACAAATGTAATTAAATGGGGAAAGGGCAGTCAATAAATGGTGCTGGATTCAAATAAAAACAAAAATGAACATCAACCCCCATGTCATACCATGCACAAATATTAATTCATAAGGGATTATAGGCCAGAATATAAAATCTAAAACAACAAAAATTTCTAGAAGGAAACAGAAAAAATATTCAAGACCTTGGGATACAGAAAATTTTCTTAAGACACTAAAAGCACTAACAATTAAAAACACAATAAAATGAACTTAATCAAAATTTAAAACTTCTGGTCTTCAAAAAAAAAAAAAAAAAACCATTAAGAAGGACAAAGGTAAGACACAGACCGGGAGAAAATATTCACAGTACACATATCTGAAAAGGTTCTTGTATTTGTACATATAAGAAACTATTATTGGCCAGGCGCAGTGGCTCATGCCTGTAATCCCATCACCTTGGGAGGATGAGATGAGCAGATCACTTGAGGCCAGGAGTTCAAGACCAGCCTGGCCAACATAGTGAAACCCCATCTCTACTAAAAATACAAAAAATTAGTTGGGTATGGTGGTGCAAACCTGTAATCCCAGTTACTCAGGAGGCTGAGGCACGAGAATCACTTGAAGCCAGGAGGTGGAGCCTGCAGTGAGCAAAGATTATGCCACTGTACCCCAGTGTGGGTAACAGAGTGAGACTCTGTCTCAAAAACAGAAACAAAACAACAATAAAAAAAACTATTACTGCTCAATAATAAGCAAACAACCCAAGTTTTTAAGAAATGGGCAGAAGACTTGAACAGACACTTCCCACAAAATAATAAATGCAAATAGCCTACAAGCATATTGTGATGGATCAACAAAACTTCTGCATGAAAAAAAATGAACCTCAACCCCTATCTCACACCACACACAATAATTAACTCAAAATAGATAATAGTCCGACACATAAAAGCTAAAATTATAAACTTCTAAAAGAAAGCAGAAGAGAAAATTTTTACAATATTGGAATAAACAGAAACTTCCTAGGCTAAATACAAACCACAGAATAAAAAAATGGTAAATTGAATTAATCAAAATTAAAAACATCTCCTCTTCAAAAGACAAGCCACAGAATGATAAAAAATATTTTTAATACAAACATCTAACAAGGGATTTACATCTAGAATACACAAAGAACCTCTATAGCTCAATCATAAGACAAATTACCCTATTTTTAAAAATGGGCAAAGGTTTGAATAAGCACTTTATTGAAGAAGAAATACAGATGGTCTATAAGTACACGAAAAGATATTCAACATCATTAGTCATAAGGGAAATAGCAATTAAAATCACAATGAGATAGCACTTCACACCCACTAGACTAGCTAAAATTAAAATGACCAGCCATACCAAAGTTGGTAAAAACATAGAGCAACTGCAACATTGCTGGTCAGAATATAAAGTGGTACAGCCACTTTGGAAAACATTTTGGCAGTTTCTTATAAAGTTAAGCATATACTTAAATACATTTTACAATCCAAAAATTCTATTCGTAGAAGAAAAGTAAAAGCATATATCCATAAGCAGACTTATACAAAAATGTTTATAGCAACTTTATTCACAATAGCCCCCAACTGAAAACAACCCAAAAGTCTACCAGCAGACAAATAAATAACTTGTAGTATATTCATAAAACTAAATTCTACTCAGCAATAAAAGGAATGATTTCCATTATATAACAAACATGGATGACTCTCAAAAACACCACATTGCATGAAAGAAGCCAGACACTGAATGCATCTATTTATTTGAAGTTTAGATCTGTGCTGTCTAATACTGTGGGCACTAGCCACACGCAGTTATTTAAATTTAAATTAAGTAAAATTAAGTAGAATTTTTAAATTCAGTTCTTCCATTGTGCTAGCCACAATTCAAGTGTTCCAAGAGTCACATGTGGCTAGTGGCAAACATATTGGACAGCGGAGATATAGAGAACATTTCCATCATCGCATAAAGTTCTACAGGACAGTGCTGCTCTAAAACATGCAAAATCAAGCTATGGAGATAGAATTGGATCAGTTGCTGCTGGAAGCAGGGTGGGTGATGGGGAGGGTGGACTGGGAAGACTATAACATGTCCCAAAGCCACTTTTTGAGAAATATTGGAAATGTTCTCTCTTGATTGAGGTGGTGGCTATATAGATGTATACTTTACTCCCCATAACATATCAACTTTTCAAGTGGACCACAGGCTGCATTTCAATCCCACTTGCTCCTTTAGCTGGGCACCTCTGAGCAGCAAACAACTTCCTCAACTGTACAGATCTGATGCTGAAAATCTCAAATGAATTCATAGCACTGGCATAGCAGTGTTTGGGTTCATATCCTGCCTTCATCACTTAACAGGTTTATCTTAAATAACTCAACCTTGCTAGGCTTAGTTTTCATATCTGCAAAATGGGGAAAAATAAGTTTCTCATGTAATTCTCATAATGATCCTATGAAATAGCAGTCTCTCAAAAAGTAGTACCTTTTATTCTTATCATTATAAAAACCTCTCCAGAGTCATCAAATATTATTTCCTGATATAGGACTATGTCTATTTCTTTTAAATCACCCCTTCAGCACTATAATAATAAAGGCTCAAATATCTGTACACTTACTGTTTTGTGTAGGATATTATTATATGTTATATGTGATCATTTTCCTTATCTTATCCAGTGCAGGAAGCTAAATGATTCTTAACATTTCTACAAGTTTACTGGGTGCTTAGCACATGTGCAAGGTACCAGATTAGTTCACAAGAAGAGAAAGACAGAATCCCTCCCTACAGGAAATCATTACTTACTACAGAGTCATAAAGAAAAAAATTAGGATATGAACTAATACCACAAAATATTCAATAGTATAGTTCAGGTAGTAAAAAAGTTAGAGAATCATTAAATTGTAAGCATACTAATTGTGCAACAGACCAAAAGTGCAGATACAGATGGTAGAAATCAGCATAAACTCAAGTCATCAGTGAAGACTTTCCAGAGAATGTCATAGTCTGTAGAAGAGGACCTGCCCTGGGAAGTAAAGTCAGGAGAAAACAGAACAGAGAGGGAATCACAGTCACTTATTGGAGCTGGGATGGAAGGTCATGGGTTGGCCTTGCCTTCTGTTTAGCAAGGGCAGAGTAGCCTCCATCAGCAAAAGCAGTAGAACTATCCTGGGCAAGCCCAGGAAAGTTCTCATAGCAGGTCAAAGTAGCATAGCACATTTCGGAAGCCTGGCAACGAGGGGGAAGAGAAAAGTGGGAAGGGCCCTGAGCTGCTTCCTTGAACACATTGCATGACACATCCATGCATCAAAAATACAAGCTTCCTCAAGCAGCCAGTTGCCTCCAATTAGCTGGGTTAACTCAAGCTCGTATTATAAGCAATTTTAAATTAATTGACAGTCAACATCAGCACACCTATTTGCTAAATGCTTTTTCAAACCAGTACTCTAGAAGTCATTCCTTAATTAAGGTAATTGTCTTCAAAAGAATTAAAAACTCGTAAGATGAAAACTCACTCTGGACGAGATAAACATAAAAGAAACACTCTACCACCCTCACACATTCTTACATTACAGTCTTTCAGTAAAATGATCCTGATTTAATCAAAAGAAGATATGATTCAGCTTCTGCAACTCTTTTCTTCAGGCTCTGCCTCCTGTCTGGATCCCCTATGTCTGATGATCCCCTCATATCTGGATCCCCTACATCTGATGTCTAGCCTACATTTTATCATCACACTAAGCAAAACATTTTCCAGACTAAATAACTCTCCAGTCTCATAGAGATTCCCCCACAAAGCCGTAGCAGATGGGAAGCATTTTAAATCCATATACTTAATGTATAAGTATTATGTCATATAAGATGGTGATTTCTAGCCATTTTCTTTTTTATATTTGTATTATAATCAACACCAACACCAATTGAAGGCCTTCAGTGGCCCTCCAGTTAACAAGTTTAAAAACTATTCCTGCTTCTCATGGATGCCCATCAATGACATCAAATTCTGGGTGGATGCCCAAGGCAACAGCTGACTCAAACACTTGATGTCATTCTAATAGCTTGTTTTGGATAGAATTAAAAATGCAAATAGAATACCTCGTTAAAACTCAAAGTTCATTTTAGCTGTGCCTCTGATTTGCCACTGAGAATTCATCATCCAAAGGAAGGACACAATATTACTTACACTTCTTACCTAATTGAAAAGAAAAAAATGAAGCAAACAAGTTTCAGGGTTAGTTTTTGTTTTTTAAAGTGCTTAATCTGCAGGCCAATACTGCAGCACTTTTGCTATTTTTCTGGATGGTGTAACCCCAAATAAAACAGACAGAACTGTTTTCAGAGTCCACAATCTGAAGCAAGCAGGGTGGCTCTGACCTGTCCCCTCCCAGCCTTCAGGCCATTTCTGAGGCTCTGATGGGGGTTGGGGGTGGGGCTACCCAGGAAGGTCAAGGGAAATGCAGGTGTGGGGGATGGAGCAAATCCCAGGACCTGAATGGTGTGGGCTCCTCAGCAAATCAACTGCATCACAGAACATGAGTAGTATTAGACTTGACTAAGCATAGGAAGCATGTTAAGTATAGTTCATTTTTTAATATCATTACGTCATCATTTCAAATATCAGTTGTGATTTTATGGGTACCAGGGATTAAAAAAACAAAGCAAGCTTTGGCCAAAGTGCCGTACCATACTCTACACTAACTTTTTAACAAATAAAACAGGCTATTATATATTTTTCTGATTATAAAAGTAATACATACCTACACATTTACTGTGGAAAATTTGAGAAAGGGGCTGATAAACAAAAGAAATGATACCATCAATAAGTTCTAATTTTGTTATAACTTCCTCCCAGCTTTTTCCCCATGAACATAGATCTTTTACAGAATTGAAATTATACTATATATTGTTTTTATCCTGCTTCATTAGACAAAACACAGGTTAAGCATCCCTAACTCGCAAATCTGAAATCCAAAAATGTTTGAAAATCTGAAACTTTTTGAGTGCTGACATACCTGATATCATGTGACTGGTCAGAGTCAAACTGCAGTCAAAACTTTGCTTTATGCACAAAATTATTCTAAATATTATATAAAATTACCTTTAAGCTATACATATAAGGTATGTATGAAACATAAATGAGTTTAATGTTTTAGGTCTTATCCCCAAGATAGCTCATTATGTATAATGCAAATATTCCAAAATACAAAAAAGTCCAAAATCCAAAACACTTCTGGTCCCAAGTATTTCAGATAAGGGACACTCAACCTAGTACTATTGTCTAAATATAATAATATATAATAATATTATACTGTCTAAAGGAATAATTTTTGGACATAATAAAACCTACATAAATAGCAGCAATTCCTTTCCCAAAGTTCTAAATGTTATGTTTTAAAAGGAGGCGATCATGGAAAATCATACTGCCTTGCCCCTCCGAAGCCACACATACTCTCACCTGTTTTATGTATTTGTAAACACATCCTTGGACATATAGCGGCTTCCAGATTGCTCAATGTTTCCTCCAAAAGCTGATCAACCAACGGGTATGATTCATTCACTCATTCAACAAATAATTTTTAACACCCACTATGTGGTAGGTACCAAGTAAAAATGGTCCATAAAACTACTCTAATTGGCCTAATTGATATTTATCAAAGGGAAATTTACTAGGGTTAGGTGATAGTTTATATTTCATTCGGCCAAATAGAGCTGGGTTTGAGGCTGGTCTGATCAACACTAGCCTCTCCAACCCATTAGTTTGACACTCATTTCAGTTAGGGTGCGCTAGCCCCCTATTCCCTGAACCTGGCCTATTCATTCCCATTTCTGAGTCCTGTTTATCATTCCCAGGCTCCCATTACCTTCCTTTCTCCTGAGCCACGTTCTAGTCAGGAAGCTTTTCTGACCACTGTCTATAAGCCTCACTCTCAAACGACTGGGGCACAAAACATCCAGAATAGTCTTTAAACAACCCTGACTGCCCTGTTCCCAGTGGGGCAGTGGTAAGGATCTGGTTCAGGCACCAATCCCTCGTTTTCTTTATTATTTCCCACAGCTAAACAATAGATGCAATGCATACTACTAGTCACTTAACCATTCATCTCAGGAACTTTTCTATCTGAATCTAACTCTGAAAAGATTTTTCAAGAAAAGCATTCTACCCTCTCAGTTGCTACTGGCATTTTTTTTTCTATCCTGACTAATAACCTTGGTTGCTTTCCTGCAATGGATGACAGCTAAGATAAAGCAGCTTTGAGGTAGTAAAATTTGATTCATTTTACCCATAACTCCTCAAGAAAACATAACTACCTTGCACACAGCAGCCCCTATACTATATCAAGACCTCTGACTCCATGACCTGTGCTGAGCACCTCGTGTGTATAATTTTATTCAGTCTTCACAGGAACTGCGGTGAGGTATGTACCAAGATGACAATTTCCAATTTAGAGATAAGAAAACTGAGGTTTTGACAGATTAAGTCATACAGTGAACCACAGGTGAAGTGAAGATTCAAATCCAGGCAGCTGTCTCCCCATACTGTGAGTTAACCCATCCACCCTGGCTAATAGTCTTCCTCACTTTGTCTTCCCATGAGGCTGAGGCTAGTGATTCTCACATTTACATCAGCATCAGAATCATGGTGGGGACTTGGTAAAACTATCCTTGCTAGGGTGGAACCCAAGAGATTTTGATTCAGGAAGGGGAAAAGAGATCTGCATTTTTAGCAGGCACCTCTCCTATCACCACACTGCCAGGTGATTCTTGTCTTCAGCGTATACCTAAAGATATTACATTGAGCATAAGAGGATCCTACACATCAGAGCAGAGGCTTTTGTAAAATTTCCTCATTACCCATGATCCATCGGGGCTTTAAAAATGGCAGGAAGTTATTGTTTAATGGGTATGGAGTTTCAGCTTAGGATGATGAAAAATCTTGTGAGAGAGGCAATGGTAACAATTGCAAAACAATGTAAATGTACTTAATGCCACGGAACTGTACACTTTATTTTTTATTTTTTAGAGACATGATCTCATTCAGCTGGGACTACAGACATGCACCACCACACCCAGCTAATTTTTTTTTTTTTTTTTAAAGACAGGATTTCTCTATGTTGCTCAGGTTGGTCTTAAACTCTTGGCCTCAAGCAATCCTCCTGCCTCAGCCTCCCAAAGTGCTGCGATTACAGGCTTGAGCCACTCCACCTGACCTGTACACTTTAAAATGGTTAAGATGATCAATTTTGTTATGTATATTTTACCACAATTTCTAAGATGGCAGGATCCTAACCTCTTAGCTGCCTTAGGGAAGGTGTCTCTTGACACCCCCTCCTGTTGACCCAGAGGAAAGTGAAGTTTAATCCTAAGGGACCCCTTGAGAAAGGGACTACTAAAAGGCAACAGATGAAGCCAAGTTGGCCCTGTGTGGCCCCTCTTCAGTTTTGAGCTGGCTGTGTATACTCAGGTTGAGGGGACAGGGCTGTGCTTGTACGAGTTCCCAAGAAACTGCATCACACCTCATCCCCTGCCTGCCCACCGTGAAACAAACCAATGTCCAGTCCCTAACATAACCCATAGGTGGCCATGGACATGGGACAGAGGGAAGAGAGGAGCCCAAAGGATGGTAGGGAAAGAGCCCTCTTCAGGTTTCTAATGTTAGCCCCCCCAGGGATCATCTACAAGTACTTCAGGCCATTCCGATTTCGGCTCAAATGTCATCTCCTTAGAAAGGCTTTGCCTGCTTGAAAGCAGCCCCTCCTCCACACCCATTACTTTCTATAATATTACCCTGCCTGGTTGTCATTTGAGCATGCACCACCACTGGAAATTATATTTATTACTTATTTGCACACTAGTAACTTGTTTGCCTCCCCAGACTAGAACTAGAATTTCCTGAGAGCTGAGAATGTGCTACTTGTGTTTACTGCCCATTCTCAAGGCCTCACTTGAGACACGGTGGGAACCCAATAAGTATTTGTAGAATAAATAAATGAATCAGCCTCATTTGTTTCCTTTTGTATAATCAGTTCTTTCTACCTCACAAGGTGATTTGTAGGAAGGGTCAAATGAGATCAGATATGCCAAAGTGTTGCAAAAGGAAAGGTATCACATACATGGTGAGGTTATTGTGCTTGGCAGGGAGGGGGGCAGTTCACAAAACCCTGAGTGCCTTACAAGGCCTCCTTCTGTGACCTTGGCATGGTGATATGCTCCCTCCTCACTTCACTCCTCCTAGGTGGAGTGGAGATTTGTCTGGAATCTAAAAATGACAGTGCTCCACTCTGCAGATCATCCAAACAGAATGCAACCAAATTATTACAAGGTGAGGCCTCTCAGAGAGTTTTCTTACTAAGGGGCTCAAATAACAAGATGATACTTATGAAGTTAGGGATCTGCCAGGAAGGCAAACTTAGGGGAAGAACACAAAGATGCTTCCTGCCTTGGGTTAGTTGGGCTAAACAAGTATGAATTGAGTGAGTCGCTAGTATATTCCAGTTCCTGGGCTCAGTCCCAAGGATAGAGAGAGAGGTGACTGAGATTGTTACAGTGGAGTTGGGGAGACAGTTACTAAACAGAAAACTCAAAGTCAGTATGGTAAATCTGGCCTACACTAGTCAAGGAAGGCTTTCTAGAGTGACTGATGCCTAAATGAATTTAAAATATAAAGGATAGAGGAAAGAGGGGTTGGGGAAGAGTGAGTGGCCAAGGTAAGACACAGAATAGAAAGACTACACAGAGTTTAGGGAGTTCCAAGTAGTGAAAGCTTTGGGTATTTATTGCTGGAGTATCTATGTTGTGAAAAGGTTGGGGTGCAGGGGAGGGAAGGGGACCAGAAGATGTACCTGGAGAAGTGGGCAGCAGCCACTCTCCCACTTTGGGCTAACTGCAGCACCTCTGTCAGCACTGATGCAGCTGCTGCACTGCCCTGCCCTGTGAGGTGATGAGGAAGCTGCACCGTCCAGGGTGAGACTGCCTGATGCACAGCTTCCCAGGCAATCGTGAATTAGTGACACGGCCGATGTTTTCCAGCATGTGAGGCTGGGAATTCCTTCCCTTGATACCTCTCTCCAGTTTCCCTAAGCCTTACCCCTCCAAACTCAAGTCCTCCCTGTTTGCAGCACAGGGAAGTCTAGTTTATCTTTTGAGTGTCACCTGTTTCTACTCCCAGCCAAGCTTGACTTGCCCTGTTGGCTACTGGACCAATGAATGGGCTCATCCTGGGCAGAATTCCATAGGCATGTGTCTGAAACAAGAGGCCTCAAAAGATAAACCAGAGTTCCCTGTGCTGCAAACAGGGAGGACTTGAGACCGGAGGGGTGAGACTTGGGGAACTGGAGAGAGGTATCAAGGGAAGAAATTCCCAGGTTCACATGCTGGAAAATATCGGCCATGTTACTGATTCGCAATTGCCTGGGAAGTTGTGCACCAGGCAGTCTCACCCTGGGACGGTGCAGCTTCCTGAACACCTGGCAGGGCAGGACACCTGCTACATCAGTGCTGATGAAGAGGTGCTGCAGTTAGCCCAACATGGAAACTCCTCTGAGCCCTGAGTGAAGGCAGCAGAAATGAACAGAAGGAGTAGAGCCCTGGGGTTTTAGTAAAATGGTTATGCCCCAAATTTGGTCACCTGGTATGATATGATTCAGAGCATGAAAGGCGGAAAACCAGAGGGAGAGAGGGAAAGAAGAGAGAGTAGAAGGTCCCTCCATTTCTTTTCTCTGTTTTACACTGGAGCTGCCTCAATCCCATGCACATAGAAAAAAAAAGGAAGAGGCTAACAGTTGCTCACCTGGGGTTATATTTTCAGGGGCTGACAAACAAGAATTTTAAATTTTATATATTCATTTGGATATTTGTAAGAAGAAAAATGTTTTCAAATCCAACCCACCCGTCCCCAGATAAATCACTCCAGCTTTGGTCAGAACCTGGGGACAGAGGTGAAAATCCTTATCTCACTAGGACACTCATTTTTCCCATTCCTCCCCATAGCCTCCAGCTCTTCCAGCTTACTGGCACTGACAGCGTCCTGTTGTGGTTAAGCATAGCAAGTGGCTTCCCTGTCATAAGAGGTGAGATGGTTTGGATGTTTGTCCCCTACAAATCTCATGTTGAAATGTGACCTCCAATGTTGGAGGTGGGGCCTAGTGGGAGATACTGTATCATGGAGTGTATTCCTCATGAATGGTTTAATGCCATCCCCTTAGTGATGGTGATGAGTTCTCTCTCAGTTAGTTCACACAAGATCTGGTTGTTTAAAAGAATCTGGAACCTCCCCCTTCTCTCTGTCTTGCTTGCTCTTTGGTAATGTGACATGCTTGCTTCCACTTCACCTTCCATCATAAGTAAAAGCTCCAAAGCCTCACTAAAAGCCAAGCAGATGCCAGTGCCATACTCATACAGCCTGCAGAACTGTAAGCCAACTAAACCTCTTTTCTTTGTAAGTTACCCAGCCTCAGGCATTTCTTTATAGCAATGCAAGAATGACTAACACAGAAAATCAGTACTGGGGACTGGGGCATTGCTATAAAAATACCTGAAAATGTGGAAGTGGCTTTGGAAATGGGAAATGGGCAGAGGCTGGAAGAGTTGGAGGGCTCAGAAAAAGACAGAAAGATGGGGGAAAGTTTGCTACTTCTTAGAGAGACTGGTTAAATGGTCATGACCAAAATACTGATAGAAATATGGGCAGCAAAGTCCAGGCTGATGAGGTCTCAGATGGAAATGAGGAAGTTATTGGAACTGCAGTGAAGGTCACCTTGTTATACCTTAGCAAAGAACTTGGCTCCATTGTGTCCAAGTCCTTGGGATCTGTGAAAGTTTGAACTTAAGAATGATGACTTGGGGTATTTGGCAGAAGAAATTTTTTAAGCAGCAAAGCATTCAAGAGGTAGCCTGACTGCTTCTAACAGCCTACAATCAAGTGTGATCAGTCTAAGGAATGACTTAAAGTTCGAACTCTTATTTAAAAGGGAAACAGAGTATAAAAGTTTGGAAAATTCACAGCCTGGCCATGTGGTAGAGAAGAAAAGCCTGTTTTCAGGGTAACAATTAAAAAGGGCTGCAGAGCAACCACTTGCTAAAGAGATTGACATGACTAAAAGAGAGCCAAGTACTAATATCCTAGACAACAGGAAAAAGGCCTTGAAGGCATTTCAGATCTTCCAAGCTGCCCCTCCCATTGCAGGCTCAGAGGCTAAGGAGGAAAGAATGGTTTCAGAGGCCAGACCCTGGACACTCCTGCCATGTTTAGCCTCAGGACACGGCTGCCCCAGTTCCAGCTGTGGCTCAAAAGATTCCATGTACAGCTCAGGCTGCCTCTTCTGAGAGTACAAACTGCCATATGCCCTGGTGGCTTCCATGCGGTGTTAAGTGTGCAGGTGCACAGGATGCAAGTGTGACACAGGATGGCAGCTTCCCCCTAGATTTCAGAGGATGTATCAGAAAGCCTGGGTGCCCAGGCAGAAGCCTGCCATGGAGGGAGAGCCCCCACATAAAGAGACTCTACTAGGACAGTGCCAAAGGAAAATGTGGGGTGGGAGCCCCCACAGTGTTTTGTACCTAGTGGAGCTACCTAGTGGAGCCATGGAAAGGTGGCTGCCACCCTCCAGACCCCAGAATGGTAGAGCCACCAGCAACTTGCACTCTTCAAGCCTGGAAAAGATACAGATAGCAGACTCCAACCTGCGAGAGCAGCCATGGGTACTGCACCTTGCAAAGCCATAAAGCACCAGTGTGCTCTGAATGTGGGACATGGAGTCAAGGATTATATTGGAGCTTTAAGGTTTAATGCCTGCCCTGTTTTGTTTCAGATTTGCTTCGGGCTTCTTGCCCCTTTCTTTGGGCCAATTTCTCCCTTTTGGAATGGGAATGTTTACCAAATGCCTGTACCACCATTGTGTCTTGGAAGTAAATAAGTTGTTTTGATTTTATAGACTCATGGGTAGAGGGAAATGAGTCTTAGATGAGACTTAGGAATTGGTACTTGATGGTGGAATGAGTTAAAACTTTAAGGACTATTGGGAAGGGATGATTGTATTTTGCAATATAAGAAGAACATGAGATTTAGGGGGCCAAGGGCAGAATGACATAGTTGGATGTTTGTGCCCTCCAAATCCCATGTTGAATTGTGACCTCTAATATTAGAGGTGGGACCTAGTGGAAGGTGTTTGGATCATGGGGATGGATCCCTCATGAATGGCTTAGTGCCATCCCCTTGGTGATGAGTGAGTTCTCACTCCATTAGTTCACATGAGATCTGGTTGTTTAAGAGTCTGAGACCTCCCCCTTCTCTGTCTCTTGCCCCTGCTCTTGCCATGTGACATGCTGGCTCCTCTTGCCTTCCACCATAATTGTAAGCTTCCTGAGGCCCTCCCCAGAAGCACATGCCAGTACCATGTTTCCTATGCAGTCTGCAGAATGGTGAGCCAATTAAAATCTCTTTTTAAATTTTTAATAAATTACCCAGCCTCAGTTATTTCTTTATAGCAATTCACGAGAAGACTAACACAAGAGGTCAAAGGTGTGTTACTAGTTGACCCCTGGGAGGTGATGGGACCAGAGCAGTAAGGAGCAGTACTTAGAGTTCACCTCTAGCACCCATCCATGGTTCCACCCTGCAAAACCCATACACACGGCTCAGCCTCTCTCATCTACTTCTGAGTCCCCAAAATGAATAGGTCTCCTTCCTCTAAGCCATGGCAGCAACACTAAGAAGGAGCATTTTCTACCTCCTTTCTCCTTATGTGCCTCTTGTTGCCCCAGATGGCTTGTTACCTCCTGGCTGACTATTTACCAAAGTATTCCAGCCTCTGGGGCACTTCAGCAGTCTCCTAGAAGCAAATTCCTGTAGGATGGACAGATGTAAAAGTTGGAAACAAGGCATATTCTATCAATAGTGGAATGATTAAATAAAACATCATACATTCACCAGGCATGATGGCTTAAGCTTGTAATCCCAGCACTTTTGGAGGCTGAGGCAGGCAGATCACTTGAGGTCAGGAGTTCGAGACCAGCCTGGCCAATGTAGTGAAACGCTGTCTTTATTAAAAATGCAAAAATTAGCCGGGTGTGGTAGCACGCACCTGTAATCCCAGTTACTCAGGAGGCTAAGGCAGAAGAATAGCTTGAACCAGGGAGGTGGAGGTTGTAGTGAGCTGAGATCATGCCACTGCACTCCAGCCTAGGCAAAGGAGCAAAACTCCATCTCAAAAACAAACAAAACAAAATATGGTACATTTGTACCCAGAAAGCAGGTTTTATTGTTTTTGTGACTTAGATCTAGATAAATTTACCTGAAGATTTTCAGAGCATATTGTTACTTTTTTTTTTTTTTTTTTTTTTTGAGACAAGGTCTCACTCTGTTGTCCAGGCTGGAGTGCAGTGGCACAATCACCACTCACTGCAGCCTCAAACTCCCAGGCTCAAGCAATCCTCCTACCTCAGCCTCTCGTGTAGGTAGGACTATAGGTGTGTGCCACCATGTCCAGATAATTTTTCTTTTTCCTTTTTCTTTTTTTTGGAGAGATGGGGGTTTCACTATGTTGCCCATGCTGGCCTCGAACTCCTAGCTTCAAGCAATCCTCCCACTTTGGCCTACCAAAGTGCTGGGATTACAAGCATAAGCCACCATGCCTGGCCATATTCTTAAAAATAAAAATAAATCGAACAAAACATAGTATGAACTCATTTATAGAAAACAAAAGAAAACCACACACGAAAACAAAAGTATATCTTTATGTGCATGTGCATGTGTGTAACTATGTAAATACATAGAAAAAAGTCTATAAGAATACCCACCAGACCAAATAACTCCAAAAAAAAAAAAAAAAAAAAAGAAAGTAGGCTTTGATGGGGACTAACAGGGGGCTTTTAACCTATATGCAGTTTACATTATTTAGAAACAAGAATGTATTCACTCTTCTGGAAACACCAGTAGCAAAAAAAAAAAAAAAAAAAAAGAGAGAGAGAATGTATTTGTATATCACTTCTGTAATTAAAAATATAATTTTTTAAACCTGAAATTGTTAGGAGATTCTTTTCATCCTGCAGAACTTTGCTTTAACAAGTTACATACTAGCACCAGGAAGGCAGTGGAACTAGTTCCCACTTGGGCAAGGGTTTGTTTACACTGCTTATCTAAAGTTACAGCCAACAATGCTAATGATTCTGAATAGCACCAGCCACTCCTTGGCCATCCCCTCCCCTCCCACCCACAGATTCAACTATCACCTCTATGTGGATGACTTCCAAATGCCTCTTTCCAGACACAGCCTTTCCTTGGAGCTACAGTCCTGATTTTTCAACTTCCTCTTCAGTAGAGCCAACACACGATGTAGAAAACCAGACTCCTGTCCTCTCTCCCTCTCCCTAATCCAGCTCTTCTGCCTAACTTCCTCCTTCCTATGAACCGGTACCTCTTTTTTCCCCTAGAAACCCAGAAAGGAAACTTCCTAATCATCCATAGTCCTCTTTATCAACACACCCACCCCCAAATATCCAATCAGCTGTCACATTCTAATAAGTTTTCTAAAAGGTTCTTCCCAACTAATAACTCCCTGTATTGCCACTGACACCACCTCAATTCAGATCCTTTGCATACATCATCAGGACTAGCAGAATCACCCTCAGTGGTCTCCCTGCTCTTAACTGCTTTGACCCACTAACTAGATGTCCCATTTGGTAAAGGACCAACATTCCAGCCTGCCACAGTCATTTTGAGCCTTCATTCCATCACCTATTGTATCAGCTATTTTCCCAGCTTTGAGTCATTTGCCAATTTGGGAAATACGGCTTTATGCCTTCTCCAAGTATCTGATAAAAATGTTAAAGTGAGCTTAGCCAAGAACAAGGTTCTGACCGCAGATCTGTTTCCAAGGAAACCTAGAGCTTAGTACTAAAGTAAAGAAAGTAAATTTTAAAAAAAACAAGTAGTGTTGGATGTTTTTGACACCATCTCATTCATACCTTACAACAATCCCTTGTAGGAGGTATTGTTACCCCAAATTTTAGAGACTTTGAAACTGAGGCTGAGAATGGCTAGGTAAACATGTGAAAAAGTCTCACAGTTATTAAATGGTAGACTTGTCATTTGAACTTGTCTGTTGATTCCATAGCTCACGGTTTTTCCACCACACAGTAGAAACCTTTCATGGATCCTTACCTTCTAAAAGGTAAAGCACATGTCTCTTAATCTGCACTGAACGTCTTTCACATTCTAGCTCCAAACTTATCTTCGTAATAACAGATGATATTACATGTCAAACACAGTAATAAGCTTTACATGCTCTATTTCATTTAATCCTCATCACAACCCCATGAAGTAAGTGCTATGACTATGTCCATTTTACAGATTCAGAAGCTGAGGCATAGAGAGATTAAAAATAGCTTAATCTGTAAATCAGAAATTATCTAAAAATAATTTCTTAAGAATAGCTTCATCAAGGCCCACCCAGTTAGAAAACAGCAAAGCTGGATCAAACCCGGGTATGCCTGATTACAGAGATATTTAGAAGGCAGAATGGGCAGGAATTCCCATTTGTACAACCTATCAACATGTATTTCTTGAGACCTTTGTCACATGTTCAATATTGTGTGAGGGCTGGAAATAAGAGAAATGAACAACCAACAAAAGTCCCTGGCCTTGGCTTCATAGGGCACACATACACTCTATTGGGAAAGACAAACATTAGAATGGAAGGCAGCAGCGTGTCATGACTGGGAAGGTGAGGCCTTCAGTGCTAAGAAACCACAGACTCAATCAGGTGAGGGTTTTGGTCTCAGCAAGTGGTTTGATTAAGGTTCTACTCACTACGATGGAGAACTCAGGAGAAATGGGTTTAGGAAAAGATGCATTCAGTTTGGGACACGAGTTTTGGGGAGATGCTACCCAGCCAACCCGATATGCAGCTTTGGAGCTCAGAAGTGAGAATTAGGCTGTGGAGAGGCTTAGAATCATTGGTGTAAAGGTGCAACTGCACTCACAGAGGTGGAAGTCCTTACCAGACATTTCTTGGTAAAGATGCTGAGAAGTTCAGGTATTTGTCCATGTCTCTCTAACTGACTGAAACATCTTTGATGGCAAATCCTGGATATAGAATGAGGAATGCAGTAAACATTCTAGTTACAGAATGAACCAAAGTCCTTAATTTCAAAACGAGTAACAAAGCCATAAATCAATAGTAGAGCATTTATGTGAACTAGTTACTCTAGATTAACCTGAATGGCTTCCTCAATACAAGAGCAACCAATGTCCTGGGCATCCTCCCAAGTTTTTGCTGAGTCTTCCCACTGAATAGAACTGGTCACAAGGTGAGCATTTGCTGTCTCTCCTTGTACATTCTAGTCTGATTCCTTGGAATGTGCTACCTCAGTCCCAGCAGCCCTTGCTTCCAGAATTCTTCAAATTAAAAATAAATTTCTCCAAAAAGGAAGGAACGAGGATGGAAATGTTTAGCAAAAGAAAACACCAGGTAACAGCAACAGAAGTCTCTTTCCCATGAGTGAAGTTAGAGTTTTAACTAAGCCCCTTTAACAAAACATCGTCAAAATTTACAACTTACAAATGATTCCTCACTTATAATGCTTTGTTCTATCCTTCCATAAATAAATAACTGTTGGAAACACTGAGAAACAGAGAGAGTGAGCAACATCTTGTTTCACAAATGACAGAAAGTGTCAGGTCCCCACCTGCATGATCATCTGGCTCAGGTAAACTCAGATGGGCAGTTGCTGTGGGGACCTTGCTCACCATTGTCCCCACCAGCCAGCATAATGCCTGACACAGGGGAGTGACTCAAAATAACTGCTGAGTGGATCAGTGATGAATGGATGAGAAAAGATGGTTGAAAAAAAGTCCAAAATTGTGGGCAAAAAGGAGACAAGGATGAGGGGCAACACGTAAGCAACAAGAATGTGAAGAAGGCAACCAACCACCTTCTTACATCTTGGGCTCAGATTCTCCTCAGCTTCTCCACAAAGACACCCATGCAGTAGCTAAATCTCTGGGTCAGTTTCTGAGTCCCACAGGTGCTGTCAAACGCAGAGTTAAAGTATTTGACCTTTAATTTTTAAGTTTTATATCTGCTTTCTCTTTTCATTTCTATATGCCTTAGGAACACTTTTTCCCCCCTTAAGCTTTCACCTAAACTAAAACTTGACATTGAATTAGACTATTACTAGATTCTAAGGTCATGATTTGGACCAAGCTTCATCTTGCAGGTTTGCTGCTCTGCTATTTAATGTTTTACTCCAGAAAAGGAAGTCCATACTGTGTGTCCAGAATCCTCAAGGATGGTGTCTATCCATCTGATAATAGAGTTCCAATTCTGCCTGTCTTGGGAGGAACATAAAGAAATGAGAGTATCCTTGCTTACAATTTTTTTTTTTTTTGAGATGGAATCTCGCTCTGTCACCCACGCTGGAGTGCAGTGGCGCGATCTCAGCTCACTGCAACCTCCGCCTCCTGGCTTCAAGCAATTCCTTGCCTCGGCCTCCCAAGTAGCTAGGATTACAGGCGCCCACCACCATGCCCAGCTAATTTTTGTATTTTTAGTAGAGACGGGGGTTTCACCATCTTGGCCAGGCTGGTCTCGAACTCCTGACCTCATGATCCACCCGCCTCAGCCTCCCATAGTGCTGGGATTACAGGCATGAGCCACTGCACCCAGCCTACAATTTTTTTTAAAAGGCATTTCATTTTCATCTCACAGGAAGGCCATTTTAGAGGCTACCCTTGATTTAACACCAAAACTTCTTACAAGAGCACAAGCCCCAATTACCCAATCCATGGTGTGCACTTCATTCTCCTTATACTCGCCCACATAAACAGTGTCCCTAGCTCCTTACCACATCTGAAGCTGCACCTGTCACTCTTAGGAAAGCACACGGGGTCTCCAGGAATTCAATCTATGCACACTCAGGAGCAGCAAATAATTTTAATTCTCGCATTTGATGACCATGGCTAAAGTACAGCTAATTTTTTAAGTTCAAAGTAAAATCCAAGTGGCTTCTAGATTAATATCTCTATTTTAGAGATACAACTGATTAACAAACAGATAATGAACTGCCACAGCAGAATTGCAAATGTGGTTTAATGATGGGAAATTTGTGAACCTGATAGAACACATGAGCAGGTCAAATGTGAAAAAGCATAAAATCATCTCCAAGATTACCTTTTTGGCATTTGATAAAATTCAACTGCCTTTCATCTTTTGCTTAAATCCCGGAATATAAAACTACTTCTTCAAAGTAATTTAAACTATTTTAAACCAAAAGCCAACATTATGCCTTCTAGAAAGTATGAAAAGCATTTCCATTAAAATCAGGAGTAAAATAAAACAGTCTATTATCTTCACTCAGTTATTAATGTTCTAGAATTACTAATTTAAAAGAGAAGTAATCATTATTTGTGGGTAATATAATTCTCTACCTAGACAGTGCAGGAGAATCTACTAAAAAGTTAAGTTGATTAAATAAAAAATATAAAACCTTTAGAAAATAATGAGTAAGACACAGAACTTCTCCACTATGGACCACTGACCCCATTCATTTCAGAACTGGTATTCCTCGAGTGGTCATCTGCAAGCTTTGTGCTCAAATAAACTCTATACTTAATCATATTTTCTGAATCTCATTTGTTAAAGTTGACAATCTTCATGATAGAATGTTAAGCAAGGAATCTAGGATCCAAAATTGCGTATGATGTATTTATCATGTGATCCCAATTTTATTTGAAAAAACAAAAGTTCCATTCTACTGCTCCCCAGCTAGGTAGCTTAGGACAAATCCATGAGTCTCTTAGGAGACCGGTTCCTTCAACTCCTCCAAAACCAAGAGGGCCAAGCTTGGACCCTTCTCCTTTCTTCCCCTCAATTGTAAGTATTGGATAACAGCATATAATCAAAAATTAATAAATAAATATAAACAGAAGTATGTCTGTGTTAATAATTTAAGATAAAATATAGAATTGTAGTTGTTAAAGCAAAATTATTTTTGGATTAAAGATTTTTTTAAAAATGAGTATCTCCTAAATGGGTGATATATTTTATATCTGACTCCTTAGATAGTGATAGTTCATTAGAAATAGACAGCATGGTGAGAAATGAGCACACTCTCTTAACTTCTATGACTAATTTGATCTGGGCTTGCATGCCTGCAACAGGAACGCCCTCCACCTGTTGTCAGCCATCCCATGACTTGGCATTAGAGACGCCCGGACCATTCTCAGCCAGCAAAAGGCAGTCAAAAGCCTATCCAAGAGTGTCATGGGAGAGCATGCAAGGTTGCCTGATGTCTGTGTTGCACTGCTGGTGCAGGAAATTGATTTTTGGAGTTCTTTTTGCAAACTTATATAGCTTCTATGCATAGCTCAAAAGTTCCTGCCTTCTTCTCTTAGATTCAAATAATAATTGAGCTTTTTTTTTTTCACAACTACCTCTAGATTTACCAATCCCTACCACTGTAAATTTTAAAACTGTGCCCAAGCCATGATGAAAGAAAAACCTCAAGCACAGTAAGCCAGACCGAGTTAGAAGCAAATTAGGTCTAAGTGAATCCACTCAGACCCCGACAGTTAACCAAACTGCTCAAGCTCTGCTCTGTCATCCAAATTCATTCTGCCTTTGTGGAGGGAAAAGGAATACAATTTCATGCCCAGAGTATTTAGCTTTTGTGAATTTTATCCACCTTTCTGAGATTGGCAAAACAGGCTACTAGAGAGGGCTTCAATTCTTCCAGGCAAACATTTCATATGTGAAAAACACGCTGAATCAATGAAATCTGAGTTTGTGTTATTAATAACAACAAATGAATTGAAACTTTCTTTAGAAATCACAGTAACTTGAAACAACTCCTGTGATATCCAAATTAAGCCATGTTATGTGATATTTTAATCCCAGATTTGTATAGCATGTACTTGGTCACAGGCTTTTTTCCCAAATGATTTTTTTCCATTCTCCAGATTTTCCATAGTCAGTAATATTATATAGTTTAAACCTAAAGTGAAGTCATCAAAACAGAGTCTCTCTTTATGTCTGTCTCTTCCTTAATTCTACATATAGCAGCCTTACTGTTTTATTATTATTATGTGGCTATTCCTATAAAGCAATGAAAATATACAAATGCTAGCTGAGTTTTGTTATAGCTCTGAACTTGTGTGCACCCATCATCAGCCCCTCTAAAGGAGACCTTTCATTATTTTTACAAATGGAGCACATTTCCTTGAGGTTACCATACAACCACACAGCCAGCAGTGATGCCACTACTAAGAAGAGAGAGATAAGAGGTTTTGGGCAAACATCACCGATGACACTGGCCAGTACTGTTTGACTAACAGCCCTGTCAAGATTAGGCACCCTATCTATGTTTTGTTTTATTTTCCCCAGATATCTTCCTCCTTCCTCTTCAAGCAAGTAGCCCTGTACTCACTGCTTCAGAGGAGGGATATGGGGGGCTGAGGGCAGACCTATGAGCCTTTTTGGCTTTTGTTTTAAAAACTTAAACCCCAAGAGCACAGAGGAAAGGGTTAAAGGGCATTAAGTCTGTATCATAGACCCAGTATTGAGCAGAAGCAGGGAGGAGACTGGAGCTTTACTCTGACCCTTGCCCCCGTTCCAACTCCTACTGGCTGGTAGTCAGGGGAGAAAAGACAAAATGTCTCATAGGTCCTGAAAGCAGAAGGAACCTCGCTTCCTGGCAGAAGGCAATGAGACTTCAGAGACTTCAGGGCGCTGCGGCTGCTGCACCCATGAGAGGCAGCTCAGTGGCACTGTATATGAAGTCACCTATGGACAAGGACAGTGGCTATTTCAGTGGCAGCTGGGGAGAGAGGAAGTAAGACCTGCAGCTGCAACACCATTCAGAGAGCAGTAGAAGGGATGAAGATATGAGGCTAAATCCTTTTTCTGCCATTCAACTGGGAGACTCAGTAACAACAATAAAAATTATCAAAGAAACTAATATTTGTTAGAATTCTTATTCTAGCCCATGTACAGTTCTAACAACTATAAAATTATCAAAGAAGCTAATATTTGTTAGAATTCTTATTCTAGACAATGTACAGTTCTAAGCCTCCGACATGAGTTATTTCATTTAATTCTTACAAAACCTATTTGATAGGTACTACTGTTACCCCTCTATAATGTAGATGAGGATGCTTAGGCCCAAACAGGCCAAGTATCTTGCACAAGGCCATGCAGATGATAAGTAGTAGAGGCCAGATATAAATGAACCTAAGCAACCTGACTCCAGATCCCAAACTTATAAAATGAAATGAGGGAAAATACAGTTATATTTCTTGTACATCCAAGTCTATGGCAAGTCTATTTAGTTCTTCTCAAACTTGTCTCTTTGTCTAACAATAGAGCCCCTCTTTCACGCAAAATCTCAAACAGAGCCCCAGTATATAAGACAAATAAGAGCAGGACTGCTCGGTAAAAGCCGAAGTAAACGATAGAGATCTTCATTCCTCAGCATCTCCCTCACCCTGAAGAGGCCCCAAACACTCCTGGAACATAGTTTGAAAACCCCTGTTCCCAACCAATATCACTCTGGATTATGTGCTTGAGAGACAAAAGCAGCCCAGCTAGAACACCAACAACAGCCAGCATAATCAAAGGAAAAAGGCAAAAATAATCCCCCACTGGCAGTTACAGAGGGCCATTCCAATCTGGGCCCTGACACTAACCAGCTCAAGTTTGAGCACTGGAGGGCCCAGAGGTGGTGGAATTCCGGGCTGGAGCAAAGAGTCAGGAATGAGGCAAATCCAATAAACAGGCAGAGGCGGGAGCAGAGCCAACAGGGCGCTGGGGCCAGCGGTCTGTGGTGAGCGAGGCGGCTGCAGGAACAGAGGTGGGAGCGAGAGGGAGGCCAGCCCAGGAACTGCTCCCACGGCTTCGGGCTGTCCAGATGCAGTCTAGGAGATGGCAACAGTGAAAACTTACGAGTATTTCAATAACCAGTGTTCTGGGGAAGAAAAAAACCAACTACACTGCCCTCTTTCTCACCAATTCCAACATTGCATTTTCCCCACGTACAGTCACATACCATTCAGTGGCTGATAGTGTCAGACTCAACAGCCAGAAATGCCTGCCTTTGGGAGTAGTGTGGGTGACAGTTAAGAGTGCCAGAATGCTTGGACTCACATCCCGGATCTCCTGCATACTAGCTGTGTGACCTTGGGTAAGTTACTTAACCTCTCAGTGCCTCAGTTTCCTCATCTGTGATATGCAGATAATAAAAGTACCTACCTCAGAAAGTGGGTTGTGGGGATTAAACAAGTTAGTACCTATAAATTGCTTAGAACAATACCTAGTACGAAGCTCTTACTAAATGCTAGCTATATTATCATTCTCTTATTTTGATAGCTTTCTTCTCACTCCTGACTGCTTTCTCTTTATTCTTCCATGCTGTATTAGTTTCCTACAGCTGCTGCAACAAATGACCACAAACTTAGTAGTTTAAATAATACCAATGTGCCACCCTACAGTTCTGGAGGTCAGAAGTCTAAAATGGGTTAGTAGGGCTACATTCCTTCTGGAGGCTCTAGGAAAGAACTCATTTTCTCTCCTTTTCCAGCTTCTAGAGGCTTGGCTCATGACCCCTTGCTCACATCACTCCTGTCTCCTTCTTCTAAGAACACTCGAGATTAGACTGAGCCCACCCAGATCATCCAGGATCATCTCAAGAGCTTTAATTTAATCACATCTGTAAAAGTCCCTTTTGTCACGTAAAGTAACATATTCACAGGTTCCAGGCATTCAGACTTGGACATCTTTGGTAGATCATGATCTAGCCTACCATCTCCACCTCCCCAAAACCTAACACTGCAGACTGGGAAGACTTGAGGAGCCCTGGGGGAAGAAACAGTAATATTAGTAGTTAACTTTGAGCACTCAGGATGTGTCTGTCTCTATGCAAAGTGCTTTAGGTGAACCATCTCACTTTGGCCTCAAAGCAACCCTGTACAATTACTATTGCTATTTTACGCAAAGGTCAGTTGCTCATCCAAGGTTGTACTAGGTAAACCCCAGGGAAATTTGATTCTAGAGAATCTTGTATTTACGAATAGAGTGTCCAGGCTCTATACCTTAAGCCATGATAACTGGATTCAGGGAGTCAGGTGGGGAAAGATCATTAGGGGCCTCAGAGACTGTGCCGCAAGAGGTATACATGCCCCCTGGCTGCAAAGAGACAGGGGGTCCTGCAGAGGCCACGCTAAACTACACACAAAAGGTCAAATGTCCAGAACATCTCCTCCTACTCAAAGGAGAAACCTTGGGGTTACTCAATAATTTCTTCAAAGGCAGGTTTGGACCAAAATCTAAGAAGAGATCACTGAGGCTTGCCACTACTTGAGGAGGAGAAATGAAATGTCCATTCTTGCCCCCAGACCAGCCTTGCAGTTCCAGTCGAACTCCCACAAGAAAAGAGGAATTCAATTTCCCTAGAAAGACTTCCGACTGAGTCAGATTGATGCAGACCCTCCAAAAACACGCCAGGAGGGCTTACAATCCTGGTAGTCCACCAAATGGCCCTCGCCTGTAACAGTTGATCTATACTAGGACCAAACCACCGGCCACCCTCCACCCCATAACAGTTATGAATATGTAAGCCCCCACATGCCAAAGATTTCAACATGAGCCCAATGGTTTCACCAGTACCCACCTCTTTTCCTACCAGTTCTTACACAGTGAATGCTCAAAAACAAGTGTGGCTGACACAGGGTGGAAAGGGGCAAGCTAAACAATTGCTAAGCACGTCTATTACGGTGGTTGAACTATCCATGGCATTTCAAAACCTCAACTGCTAAACAATTTAGCCAGATCACTATCTGAAACTTTCTAATGAGCTGAGTTAAAGCTATTAGGTTTCACCTAACCAAAAAAAAAAAAAAAAAAAAAAAAAGGATGGTTATTTGTTTTGGGTCATGAGCCCAGAGGTTAATGTAGGATAGCACAGTGATCAAGAGAACAGACTCTGGAGACAGCCCACTTTGACTGGCTCCTGACACTGGCACTTCCTTGCTGTGACTTTATGCAAATCACTTGACCTTTCGTTGCTTCAGTTTTCCCATCTTCAAAATGGGCATAATCATGGAAGTCCACACTCCCTAATCCAAATTCTGAGCAGCCAGCCAACTGTGATTCAGAAGCTTTATGGATTTTGTAATGGTAAAAATGCATATGCCATATCTTACATAACACTTTCAATGGTATCTGCAGCAAATAAAATATGCCCATAATTTCTGAAGTAAAAATATATGTGTAGTTCTCACCAAGTGAGAAAAATAAAGACTGTCATAACCTCACGTCACTTCAGACCAAGTTTTGTAGCCAAATTTATGAAAATCACAGTTTTTAGAGCTTTTTTGATTTTGGAAATACAGCTAAAGGATAAGATCTCTCACATTGACTGAGTAAT
The DNA here is from genome assembly GCF_000001405.40 of Homo sapiens. Lineage (NCBI taxonomy): Eukaryota > Metazoa > Chordata > Mammalia > Primates > Hominidae > Homo > Homo sapiens. The sequence continues at coordinate 93,997,116 of NC_000010.11, read as the reverse complement.
ATATAAAAATTAAATGCGTTAATTGATAAAAGTTCTTGGAGTGGTGCCTGGCATGTAGTAAGCACCATAGTGTTACCAACAACAACTTCTATTATTTTCATGTAAAATTTGGAAACTTTAAAGTTATGACTAAATTTCATTTGGAAACCAGTACACTTTGGAGATTAATAGGAATTACCCCTTTGAAACAATCCTCTAGGGAAGGATTTTCTGAGATGATGAAAATGTTCTATATCTGCACTGTCCAATACAGTAGCCACTAGCTGCATGTAGCTATCAAGCACTTGAAATATGGGTGGTTAATTTCATTTAACTAATTTCAATTCAAATGTAAATAGCCATATGTGGCTAGTGACTACCATGTTGGACAATGTAGCCTCCGAGGGCTTGGTTCCCAATCTGGCCCACGAAAATCTATTTAAGCCATAACACAGATGAATTATAGCCTCGGTAAAAACCCTGCATTCTGCATCCAGGGAGCAGAGAGGAACACATGATGCTAGAGAGAGTTCTGCCCTTCTTTGTAGGCCACATGGTTGGCCTATAACAAAATGCATCTTTGATATCGTCTTCCTCTCTTTCTCCATTCCCTACTCCTCCATCTCCAACTCTCCTCTTTGGGCCTTACATAACTAAATCACATGCTTCCCTAAAACCCTATCAGAACCTTCCACCCCTCTTCCAGAAGCACCATGTTTCCTAATCACCTGTCTTCCCTCGCCTCAACCAAACCCCTACTTGCTCAATGCCACAGATCTCAACTGAACGTTGGGAGGAAAGCAACTTCAGCAAACAAATTCACACTCTTAGCTGCTTCTACTGTTTTTGGCTTTTCCTCTGCTTCTCCTTCTGAACCCAGAAGCTCTGTTTTATTGTTCTTCCACCGCAGAAGTAGTTCCGGCAGAGAGAGAAGGCATTAAGACTAAAGCAACTGTCCTATATAGGCGCCTGTCAGCCAGGTGTGTGGAACACACACGCGCGCGCACACACACACACACACACGTGCAGCAAGCCTCACTCTGTGCAAATCCCTCCTCTTGCCCAGGCATGGGAAACGTCCCCTGCTGTCTACTTTAGAAAACTCTTCCACCATGCACAGTATTTTTTCAATCTTCTTTTATTCATTTAGAAAGTTACAGGTAACAAATTGCACATCAAACAGTTTTTTTAAAGTATACAACAAAAGCCCAGAGAAGAATGTGACTAAGAATGGTTGTAAATAGAAAAACAAAACCAACCGCCTTCATTGGAATCTAGCTTCTAACCCACTGGAGTATGGAATTTTTAATGACAGGTCAAACTTGGACCACATCCCAGGAGTTTATGTTACTAAGAGGACTGGAAGAATGTCCCTCCAGTTCAATCTGGCTTCTTACCTGGTAAGACATGGCTCCTGGGTATAAAGGGAATTTCCCCCATGGGGCTGTAAATAAAGGATAGTGTTAATGGTAAACATTATACATTCCTCTAGCTCCTTTCAATTATATTATCTCCTTCTCCAAAGTAGATATTTATGTTGTAAAACCAAAGTCTTAAGATTTAATACTGGCCCACAATTATCTCTAGAGTCTTCTAGGTGCAAGCATTTTGCCATGAAAGCCACAGCAAATGCCTTCAGTAGGGAAAATGAGACATCTACATAAATAACTCCCAGAAGGTAGAGAGCAGAAAGGGCCCTGGAGAAAAAATGCTGCAGAAATCAGAGCAGGGGGAGGTTGGCTGTTTCAGGAAAAGCCTCACACCACCAGCAAAACACAGTTTGAAGGATGGTTAGACTTTAGAGTGGTGGATGTGGGGGAAGATGTGCCATCAGATGGTCTAGATGACAACACCATCAGACATTCTTCAGAAAAGTATTTATGAAGACATCGATGCATACAATAACCTAGAGATAGTCCACCTCTCTCCTCAATGACAACTGGGCACCTGTACAAGCACCTATGGGGTCACCTGCTTCCACCTCCCAAGTCAGGCTCTCAAAAATTCTCCCTAGTGGGGTCAAGCATTCTTGGCCTCAGTAGTGCCCATTCTGTGGCAGCGGCCCTGCCCTACCTCTACGGGGGGTATAAGAAACATGAAAACATACCAATCCTGCAGAGATCTAAAAGACCTACGGGCAAATTTTGCATAATGCAACTGAAATTATGACCTTCGTGCAAATAAAACTTTTCGAAGACGTGAATCCTACTTAACAGGTATTCAGGGAACTCACTATTTAAAATGACACTGATTAATCACTAAATGAGTCTTACACTGAATAATTGGTTAAGTCGGCTGAACTCAGTGTCTGATGGCTTAAATACAGAGCGAGGGGCGAAAGCTTCCACAAATTTACGCTGTGCACCTAACATTCGCCACGACAGAAGACTTCTTGCTCTAGTGTATTTATTACTGTAGCATTAAAGGACTTGAAGGCAAAGCTAGCTATTCTAGTTATCAGTTAGAGCGGGACCTGGTCCAATATTGTATTTTCTAGGACTTGATGTACACAAATCTCTCCAGGAACAATCTCTTGAGCACTTTCCTTGAAATACCGCTGCTAAGTACCGCCACAAAAAGAGCTTACGTTTTTCTTTGCACTGGCCACCTCCACACCGTATTCACAACACGAAGGGGCGACCTGAGGCAGGCGTCTGGAGTGAAGGCACTGGCAGGGTGTCCTTTAGCCCCTGCGAGGGCGGCCTGCATGCCCTGGAGGACCGCCCGCCTCGGGTCCCCCGGGAGCGCGAGGACACTTTTCCGCCAGGTACGCGGAGTCGGGCTGCTCCCTTAGGCGGGTCGACTGCCTTGGGAGAGAACCAGCCCATCCTTCCCTTTCTCCAGTCCTCAGGAACCGAGCTACAGAGTCGCTTCCTCACCTCTTGGCTCCTGGCGAGTCTCGCCGGCGTCCCCAAGCGCAGCGTCCCTCTGGGACCAGCCGTCCGCGCGCCTGTCGCTAGCGGCGTCGGGTGTCCCCGCTACTGTGTGTCAGCTGCAGAGCCGATGCCCAGGAACGCGCAGGAGCCAGGCAAGTGCCCGAGAGGCAGAGCCCGGGAGGCAGAGCCCGGGAGGTAGAGCCCGGGCGCGCCGCCGCTGCCCCTCCCGCCGCGCGAGCCCGCCGCCCGCCGCGTTGCCCACGTTGCCCAGCGTTACCGTGTGGACCCGCGCCGTTCACAGTCCGCTCCCGCCGAGATGTGCGCGCTGCCCGGACAGCGGCGGCTGCGCGGGCGGCAGCGGGGCCCCCGCCCTGGGCCGGGCTTTCCCAGAACTCGCCCGCCCCGGGTGAGAGGCCGCTAGCGCCACCGCGGGCGGCCGGGCGGGGGAGCGGCCTGTGCCGGGCCCGCCCCCGGCTCCTGCCGCGCGGGGAAGGCGGGCGCGGAGCGAGGACCCGGCCGCCTCCCCCGGAGCTGGCTGCTGGCGGCGCGACCCCTTCCCAGACCCCTGGCCCTGACCCCTAGGAGCCATCCTTTCTGGCGGGAGCCAGAGAGAGCGCTCCTGGGGCGCCCGGCTCCGGGAAGGGCGGGAACTCTGCACACCTCAGGCGGCGGGAATTTACTCTCACACTACCCCAGGGAACCACCCCTGGTTGACAGATATGGAAACTGAGGTTCACGGCAGATAAAGGACACGATCAAGGTCTCTGTAGTAGATGGCAGCACCAAGTCTCGAATCTGTTCTGTCACTCGTTCATTTAATACATATTCATTGAGCCCCATCAATGTGCCCAGCGTTGTGCCAGGCTCCGGAAATACTCCTTTTGCTGGTAATGGTGGCCATCCAGGACTGCGGACTCCAAATCCAGTACTCTTTCATTGCTCAAGCAAACCTGAAGATCTTCACAACTAGAAACTACAGGCTTTGCACAGAACTTCCTTAGCCGCTGGAGCGGCTTTTATGAGTCTTAGGAGAGCCAAGGACCTGGAAAAAAAAATCAAATCATCATCCTCCTCCCTTTCGCCTAAACCTGTGCCTCCTCCCTCTACCTGTTCTAATGGAAGACCGTTCCCTAGGCCTGACCTCTTCTCCTACATCCGATCAGGACCCATTCCTGTGGCCCATATCGCCTCCCACTGTCCTCTCCCTTGGACCAAATCAATCCTTCAAACCACCGCTGTATTATTCTTCCTTTTTTACAACTTTAATCTATGCAGAAAACTTCACTGGCTCCCTATTGCCCTCCAAACTAACTCTCCATGGCTGTGTAACCCAGCATGCCCTGGCTAATAAGGATCACCCAACAGAATGTCTCTCCCACTCTAGCTCTGTACCTGAACTTAAGCTGAGCCTTCTACCTGGAGCATCTCCTCCCACACACTTTCCTCCTGCTCATGTTTGACCCTTTCTTTCGGGTCCCTCTTAAAAGTGATCTCTCCTTCTTGGAGGCTCCAGAACACAGGAGAGGTTGGAGCAAGAAAGCACAGGAGGCCCAAAGAATCCTGCTGTTAAGAAAAATCTGCCAGTCTGGTCCTTAAACTGTCTTGCTGTTTTCTCACCACTAGGACTTTAATGAAAACTAACATGATTGCCTCCCTGGAGAGCTGATTTCAGAAAGGTCTCTGCAGAGGGCTCTAAAGAAATTCTTTGTTCCTTAAGATCTTGGCATTTTAGCACTAGGACAGTGAGAAGTGGTAATTTACTCAATCCCTGAGGCTATGTTATCCTGAACAAGTAAATAAAGGGCTGAGGAAAGAGGTAGCATCACTGACAATAAACAAGGTAGGCTATTTATTTAATATACAGTATTATATTATGGTTTTATAATTCATTTAATGATCAAATAATATCAAACTTCATCCATCACCTGGCACCCCCAAAGACTTTTTTTTTTTAATTTGGCACATGGGAATAGATAGCTACAAACTGGTAGATGCACAAGCAGTTAACATTGAATCCTCCAAATGAGTCATTGCATGATTAGTAAGCAAGGCAAATCTAGGTCCGTTGAGCAGGAAAGTTATCCAAGTGTGATAATCACTGTGGCCCCATCCCTAGAAAGGGGCGCCTTCCTCAAATCTTTGCAAAGAGAGCAGGTCCAGATCAGTGTCCTTTGCTCGCCCCATGGCTCCCTCTCTAAACGAGATTGGAGGGAAGTCGTGTCCCCGAGGCTGCCTCACCACATTGGAATGTCTGAGCTAACAGTACTTCCAGAGTGTTCATTGCTCCTCTGAACAGCACTGCCCAGACTTTCTGGAGATTTTAATTCACTCCCCAACCTCGCCAACAGTTGCACACAAGGTGCCTTTTTTACACCCTGCTCTCTGTTCAGTGAAACACACAGACCATCTCAGGGGAACAATGGCTCCATTCAAGACTTTTTCAGAAGTGCACCATATAACCTCCACTCTGTGGGCTGCTGCCAGCCATTATCTAGAGGAAGAAAGACTGTCAGATAAAGCGCCTGAGAATTGGGAAAGCACTGGATAATTTCCATGGAAAATTCAGCTTCAGTAAACTAAGTTATGCATCTCTTTATACAAGACCATTCTGCATAGACAACAACAACAGCCCCAAGAAACAATCCTGTGGAGACTTTATTTCAGTAAAGTGCATCTATGTTTGAAATTTCAGAAGAAAACACACATGTCTTTTGAGCTTATTACATTACATACTGGTCTCCAGTCAATGGAAATTGATTTAAATACATGATAAACATAGAGACTAGGGAATTTAAGTAGTAAAATTATTTTAAGAAACGGAACCATCTTCCCTCTTTCTTTCTGCCTCCCCTATCCTGTAATTTTCAGAAAGGAGGTGGGGGCAGTGGTCTCTGACTTCATGGTGGTGGTTGCCAACAAGAGGCCCCACACCCTCTACTGCACATATTACAGAAGAAGGATTGGCGCTTTGCCACACTCAACAAGCCAGCCATCAGTTAACCCGTTCATAAACAAACCATTAGTTTGGGAACTGAGTAGTCAGTGTGGGCACCATTGACTAATGCATTGATCTTTGTCAAACAGCTGCTGATCGTCAAACAGAGGAATTTGCCAACAGACATCTGGGTAGCACAAAGGCCAAGGAAGGACTGAAGGAACAAGGCAGCCCTCAGCTTTTGCAGTTGCCATTTTCTCCCTTTCAAAGTCACTGCATCAAACTGTACCGGGCTTACTAGCTGTCTGCAAATAGACTAGCAAGTTCAGATGGTGAGCAGAGAGCCAAAAACACACTTCCTAGAGTTGTCTTGTATGTGAGGTTAGATGTACTAAGGCAGTTTGAGGTTGATGAAAAACAACCAGCTTGTTAAAGCTGTAGGTATCTCTACCTGTGTGACATGGTTAGGAGTGAGGGTCCCCAGGGAACAGTAAGCAAAGCAGGGAAAGATGATCTTAAACATCCTCTCTCAGCGCAGCCGGTGTTAGGGGAACAGAATTTGGTGTGGGACCACTTGAGTTGGATGCTCAGATCCACCCCCAAGTTGTGAGCCCTCGGACAGGTTACTTATCTCACTGTGCCTCATTTTCCTCTAGATAAATTGTACCTACCTGATATGGTTTGGCTGTGTCCCCACCCAAATCTCAAATTGTAGTTCCCATAATTCCCCCGTTGTTGGAGGGACCCAGTGAGAGGTAATTGAATCGTGAGGATGGGCCTTTCCCATGCTGTTCTCATGACAGTGAATAAGTCTCACGAGATCTGATGGTTTTATAAAGGGGAGTTTTCCTGCACATGCTCTTTCTGTCTTGCCTGCTGCCATGTAAGCTGTGACTTTGTTCCTCCTTGCCTTCTGCCATGATTGTGAGGCCTCCCTAGCCAAGTGGAACTGTGATTCCATTAAATCTCTTTTTCTTTATAAATTACCCAGTCTTGGGTATGCTTTATGAGCAGCGTGAGAACAGACTAATACAGTACCCCTCAGCGTAATTGTGAGGATTAAATGAGCCAGTGTATATGAAAACACTTAGAACGTATAAAGGTTTATTACTTAAATAAATAAAACTCAGATTTTTATTTTCATTTAGACTTATGGTATTTAAAGGCCATAAACCCCTTTGAATATTCCAAAATCTTGTCAATCTTTTGACAGAACATTTTTTTCTTCTTGAAACATTCAGGAATCTCATTGTAATACCTGGTTCAGAGTTGTTGTCAGCAAAAGTTGGGACCAGCTCAAATTGTTTCAAGGAGCCATAATGAAAAATTATAAAAGCACAATTTTTTAAAAAAAGTTTTAGCAACACTGGAATTCCAAAGCATAGACATTAGAAACTTCTTGTTTTTCTTCTCGAGGTAGGGTCTTGCTCTGTCACCCAGGCTAGAGTGCAGTAGTGTGATCATAGCTCACTGTAACCTAGAACTCCTGGGCTCAAGTGATCCTCCCTCCTCAGCCTCCTGAGTAGCTAGGACCACAGGCAAGCACAACCATGCCCAGCTAATTTAAAAAAAAATTGTTTTGTAGAGATGATGTCTTGCTATGTTGCCCAGGCTGGTCTTGAACTCCGGCCTCAGGTGTGGAGACTTCTCTAGATGTAGTTTTTAAGGTTTTATGTTGTTCTTAGTGGCCAAAATGCACAGTTTAAAGAAACAGGAGAGAATACAGAATGTATTTTTCAAAAGTAGATGCAGCTATATTTCCAGTCCCACATCCTCTTCTAGAACCTTGCCACTGATATCAGGTGAAGTCTAATTCCCCTTCTCTTGAATATGGGCAGCCCCTTAACTAATAGAATGAGGTAGAAGTGATGCTTTGTGGCTAGAGTACCTATGTCATGGAAGTTGAGACAGCTTTTGTTTGCCTATCTTGCTCCAGAACTCTCACCCAAGAACCCAGATGCCATGTTGTAAGGAAGCCCAGACCACTTGGAGAGGCATGTATGATCCCAGCTGACAGCCAGCATCAACCTTGAACATGTGGGTGAATGTGCCTCCAAGGGATTCCAGTCACTAACCTTCAAGCCATTCCAGCAATAGTAAGTAGAGCAGATCAAAGCTATCCCTGCCATGCCCTGCCCAAATTGCTGGTTTTTGAGCCAAATAAATGGTCAGTCTTTTAGGCCATAAGTCTTGGGATAGTTCCTTACATAACTTTCATAACTGGAACAATAGGAACGAATGTTGGGAGGTAGGTAGAGTTAGTTGAAGCTCGTGAAAGTTTTCTTCTGCTTGCCTGTATTTTCACAGTGGAATGGTAAACAAAGTCAGCTGGACGTGGTGGCTCACGCCTGTAATCCCAGCACTTTGGGAGGCCGAGGTGGGCAGATCACGAGGTCAGGAGATCCAGACCATCCTGGCTAACACAGTGAAAACCCGTCTCTACTAAAAATATAAAAAATTAGCTGTGCGTGGTGGCGGGCGCCTGTAGTCTCAGCTACTCAGGAGGCTGAAGCAGGAGAATGGCATGAACCTGGGAGGCGGAGCTTGCAGTGAGCCGAGATCGTGCCACTGCACTCCAGCCTGGGTGACAGCAAGACTCCGTCTCAAAAAAAAAAAAAAAAAAAAAAAAAGAAATGGTAAGCAAAGTCATCAGATGAGACTGAGAATGGGGTAGGACATGCAGAAAGTTTGAGAGAAAAGGTATGAAGTAATCATCCTGGAAAGTGAGAGAGCAAATGGAATAGGGAAATGCAATGCCAGGTATTAAATACTCACCAGAGTACAGTGAGCCCAGTCACAATGATTGTACATTTTTCTTCAGCCAGGTTTAGCTGCATAGGTACAGGAAAAGAAAAAATGGAGAGTTGGATTTAAGTAGGGTTGTTAACAAAGCAAGAAAAGGTCAAGGGCTTAGGATACACTCAAGGACTGTTTATAATGATTGATGATAACATTAAACCAGGAAAGGAAGAAAGTGAAGATATGAGGATGGTCAGAATCCTCATAGCTAAAGGTGAGGTTTACTGTGCTAAAAGTTTTGTACAACAATATGTTGTATTTATTTTCACAAAACCTATGAGTGGACACTTATCATTTCTGTTTTAAAGATAAGGAAATCAGAAGCTCAGAAAGGTTAAGTAACTTGCCCAAGTTTACACAGATACCTAGATTTGAACTTAATCTGGTCCTAAAGCCATCCTCTTACCCCAGCCTTCCCTGGACATCTGAAATAGCTTCTTCCACACTGAGTTCACCTTGCTGACCCCAACACCACATCATTCCTTGAGTCTTCTACAGAGGAAGCTAGTTACTAGGGTAGAAAGAGGAAGGGCTGCCTAGCTCCTGCTGTCCCACCGCCACTTTTCCCATGGCCTTCCCGAGAGAGTCTTTCTGCTTTCAAAACTTAGGACGCTTGCATATTCCACTTTCTTCCTGTCTTCACTGAAGACTTACCAATGTCCTACGTCTTAGCTTCCTCTCCAGGCTATTTCTGGCATTATTTTAAAGGAGTTCCACCTCCCTGCCCCCTTCCATATTGAGACTATGTGGTGTCTTCCATGAGGGCAGGGACTTGTGCACACTTTATCTTAGGCTGGAATACCGTACCTGCAAAATGATAGTTTCTCAGTCAATCCGGGAACCTCTTGCCTCAGTGCTCTTATTTCTATTCAAACTCAGCGGAGAGTTTGCAAGTGAGGTTATACCTGAGCCCTCTAGGGTCTCCCTTCTGAAATTCCCTTCACTGACCACAATATTCCCTTCAGCTTCCACTCTTAGTCTGACACGTCTTTTTCTTTAGCCTTATTTTCCAGAAGCAGCTTCTCACCCTATGCTATATCTGTCTCACCCTGACAAAGACATTGCATGCAGTGTATAAAAGAATTACTTCATCAACCAGAGCCCAGTGTTCGTGAAATGTGTCCCAAACCTGTGCTCCCGAGCATCTAAAATCTGCATTTCTATTCTGATTCCTTTCTCCCTTCTGTCCATCTTTCCCTCCTACCCTCCTTCTGATGTCCTCCTATCAGCCCTTCTGATGTCCTTCGGATCTCTCTTTTTACCTTGAGATAGCTACCTCTCCTGCTAATGGGTCTTGTTCATGCCACATGTTTTTATAACTAACCTTTTGGCCTGAATTTGTTCATGATTTTGGCATAGATTTTTACTAATATAACAAAAAAGTGGACTGGGCACAGTGGCTTATGCCTGTAATCCCAGCACTTTGGGAGGCCAAGGCAGGCACATTGCTTGAGGTCAGGAGTTCGAGACTAGCCTGACCAACATCGTGAAATCCCATCTCTACTAAAAATACAAAAATTAGCCGGGCTTAGTGGCGCACACCTGTAGTCCCAGCTACTCAGGAGGCTGAGGCAGGAGAATCACTTGAACCTGGGAGGCGGAGGTTGCAGTGAGCGGAGATGGCACCACTGTACTCCAGCCTGGGCAACAGACTCTGTCTCAAAAAAAAAAAAAAAAAAGTGAAGAAACAACATCTAAACTCTTTATAACCTTTACAGTCTACACAGAGATAATATATCTTCTCTTCCAAGTTTCATGAACATTTACAAAAATGGGTTCAGAAAATCTCAAGGAATTCCAGGAAATATATAGGCCATATTCTCTGACTAAAATGCAAGAAAACTAGAAATTAATACTAAACATTTAAAGCCAAAAAGCATCAGCTGCTCGACAATTAAGACACAGTGTCCTAAATAATTAATGGATCACAAAGGAAACCCAAATTATAATTAGAGGTTTTTTGGAACATAACAAAATGAAAATATTGCATAATCCAAATTAATGAAATATGGCCAAACAGTAATCAATAGCAAATGTGTATCTTAAATTTTTTTATTATTAAACAAGAAAGAGTAAAAATATATGAACTGAAAATTTAAATTAAAAACACCAAAACAATTCTAAGAAAAAATAAAACAAAAATAGTAAAGATGAAAGCCTTAACCAACTAGAAGATAAATCCAAGAGCTGGTTCTTCAAAAAAACATAAAATGCTTCTTTTTTTTTTTTTTTTGGCAGGGGCAAGGAGGAGGATGGGGAGTGGTGTGGGCATTAAAAAAGAATAACGCTTCTAGAATATATAACCAAAAATAAGAACACCAGCAAACTTATAAAAGAAAAAGAGAATTCTGCATAGATATGTAACACTTTAATTATAAAAGAATACTAAAAGTCTAAGCTAATGAAGTTTTAAAATCTGGATTAATGTATAATATTCTGAGAATTTTTATCACAGTTGATCCAAGAAATAGGAAAATATGTATTTTGAACACTATTGCTGGGTTTGGAGAATTTTTTGTAATTTTGTTTTCCCAAGTTATTAGCCATGAACTACCTTTGCCCAGCCTCCTTTGCAGCTAAGATAGTGACAGATTACCCAGCACCATCAGCCAGGCATACCTGTGTGAGATTTAAATTCAGAACTGAAGTATTTGGACTTGTAGCTGCTGCTAATCAAAGTGTATATTCAGGGCAATTTGAGTTTATGCTCCCCAGTAGCAGTCCTCAAACTTTTAGCCCAAATAAATTCTCTCTCTATATATATATACACACATATATATACGTATATACATATATGTATACATATACATACATATACATGTATATACGTATATATACATATGCATATATATACATATACATATATATGCGTATATATATATAGATATGGAAAATATATATATATATGTTTTTGAAGTTTTTTGGTTTTTTTGTTTGTTTGTTTTTTTGAGACGGAGTCTTGTTCTGTTGCCCAGGCTGGAGTGCAGTGGCATGATCTCGGCTCACTGCAACCTCTGCCTTCCAGGTTCAAGCAATTTCCCTGCCTCAGCCTCCTGAGTAGCTGGGATTACAGGTGCCCACCATCAGCCTGGCTAATCTTTTGTATTTCTTTTCAGTAGAGATGGGGTTTCACCACGTTGGCCAGGTTGGTCTGGAACTCCTGACCTCAAGTGAACCGCCAGCCTTGGCCTCCCAAAGTGCTGGGATTATAAGTGTGACCCGCTAAAGAAGTGAATAGGCCAGGCACGGTGGCTCACACCTGTAATCCCAGCACTTTGGGAGGCCTAGGCGGGTGGATCACGAGGTCAGGAGTTCAAGACCAGCCTGACCGATATGGTGAAACCCTGTCTCTACTAAAAATACAAAAATTAGCCAGGCACGGTGGCAGGTGCCTGTAATCCCAGCTACTCAGGAGGCTGAGGCAGGAGAATCGCTTGAACCTGGGAAGCAGAGGCCGCAGTGAGCCAAGATCGCACCACTGTACTCCAGCCTGGGCGACAGAGTGAGACTCTATCTCAAAAAAAAAGTGAACAATTTGAAAATTACAAAATACATTTTGCTGTTGAGAATGACAGCAGAGACACTCATGAGCTTTTGAGAGCAACCATAAGGCTGGATTTTTGGTGCCAAGGTGGCTTCAGGGCTGGTAGCAGGAGACTCCAGAAGAAAGAGCTCCTGGTAACAGTGCTAAAATATACTTCCAATGTCTAGGACGTGGCTTGAGGAATTGTTCTTGGAAGCCTGTCTCCAAGCTACTCAAATTCCTTTGGGAAATTGCTTTCTAGCATAAATTACTTTCTGTTGCTTTCAGCTGAGAACACTGGCCCAATAATCAGTGAAATAAATGAAAATATTTAACTCATTAATTAAATATTTACTGAGTGACTCTTGGGGCATAAATTATGCAAGATACTGAGAAAACGGCAGTAACAAGTACTGACATAATCTAATGAAGTATTTATCAAAGAATCCTCACCAAAAAAAAGCTTTAGTGTGATTGAAGTATTTTCACCCAATACTAGTTCGTCAATATAAGGAACTCTGTGACCAAATAAATTTGAATATGCTGGAGGTTTACAAGGCACAATGACATAACTATGAGAAGTACCAGAGTAAGTGATTATTTAACTGCATTTAATCCAGAAATTCCCTAATTTATAAAGCATTGCACAGAACTCTTGTTGTGAAATGCTGCCCATGGGCCAGATAATTTTACCATTTGGTTCTTCCGAACTTTCAATTGACATAAATAAAATGCTTATAAAATATCTCCCAAAGAAAAAAATATATTTCAAAATTATTTTAAGAAGTGACATAAACCTGATTCCAGAACTTATTAATAACAAACATAGCACAAAAAGCGCTACCATAAATCCTTATCATTTATGAGTCTAGACATGAAAATTCCATAGTACAATCAAGCCAAATTCAGTAACATACTATAAAATCATGTACTCTGACCAATTAAGATATATCACACATTTTAAAGATAGTTGAATATTAGCTAATCTATTAATAAAAGAATTATTACCAATAAATCAAAGAATCAAATTGTCAAACAACTGAAAGACATTTCATAAAATTAAATGTCACTTTCTTCCTGATTTTAAAAGCCTTATTAAAACAAATAATAAAAGTGCATGCTCTTAATAAAATTGCAAATAATAGCCATCACCATACAAATGGTGAACTACTTAGAAGAGAACATATTAAAATTAATGCCAGACAAAAATGCCCAATTATAACTATTATTCAATATACTCTGGATGTTTTATTCAATATAGTAAGACACAAAACAGAAAATAGAAATATACCTCCTGAAAAGGGGGAAATAAAATTATAATTACATGCAGAAAATGTGATTATGCACCTAAGATAATCCAAGACAATTATTTAAAAAAAATACTCAGAATTAATGAGATCTTAGTATAGAGCCTAGATACAGACAAATATTCAAATATCAATAGCTTTTCTACACAACACTGCTATCTACTTAGCAATATATTGGGATAATTCAACCAAAACACTAAAACATATAAGCAATGGTAGCAACAGAAATTTAAAAATGGAAATTAGGAATAATCATAATGATGTATATAATTGTGTGTGTATATGATTAATTTGGAGAAATTAGGGAGATTTGAATAAATAGGGAGAGATACAATATGCCTTCATGGAAAGACTTAAAGATTAAAAATGCCAATTTCTATTAAATTAATATCTAACATTTAACAAAATCCCAATGGGATTTTTTAAAACTCACCAGAAAATGCAAGTTGGTTTGCTGAAACTAAGGTGATTACATTGAATTTCATTATAACGAAATTTTCTCTATTTTTGCTTTTGTTAAAAAATTCCCATATTAAGCATTTTTAAAAACGTGACTGAAAAATTTTTAAAAACTTAGAAAATAAATGATTAGTTAAAACAATGTTATAAAAGAAAGACAATAAGGTGGGCACAGAGGTGACATTTCAGCACCACCAGTGACTGTCCACTGGAAGAGCCCATGTGGTGGCAGCGAGTGTCCAGTGGAGGCTGGGCTGTCCTCTCTAGGGACCTTCCCACACCTATTTAGGCTTCGGTGTATTTGGTATCCTTTCTTCATGTACTTAAGAGAGAGCTGAGGGCTAGGGATGGTGGCTCACACCTGTAATCCTAGCACTTTGGGAGGCTGAGGTGGGCGGATCGCTTGAGCCCAGGAATTTGAGAGCAGCCTGGGCCACATGGCGAAACCCAGTCTTTACAAAAAATACGAACAAACAAACAACAACAACAACAACAAAAACCTAGCAGGGCGTGGTGGTGCATGCCTGTAGTCCCAGCTACTTGGGGGGCTGAGGTGGGAGATTATCTGACCCAGAAAGTCAAGGCTGCAGTAACCCATGATAGTGTCAATGCACTCCAGCTTGGGTGACAAAGTGAGACCCTGTTTCAAAAAGAGAGAGAGACAGAGAGAGAGAGGTATCTGAAGCCAGCCTTAATTTATTTATTCTTTTAGATTATGTGATCATTTTCCTGGGTGCCTAAAGGACTGTTTAGTTTTCTTTGAGGTCTGATATACAAGAGCCACTCTTGCACTGTGGATAATAAAGGAAGGAGACATACTGTACCAAATAAAAACTTTACAACTTCTAGACAAAAATGTAAGATACTATCTCTGTAGTATCAGGGGAGAAAAGGAGTTCTTAATGATTTTTTAAAAGTCTAATTAATAAGAGAAAATTGGCCAATTTGGCTTTAACCATATAACCTGTATAACCATAAGGATTATTAACAAAGTTTAAAAAAAGTCCAAAATCAAGAGAAGAAAGTTGCAACATGCATAACAGACAAATCATCCGTATCCTTAAAGAATGGAAGTAGGAAAAATAGAAAATGGGCAAATTATATAAACATATCAAAGCGTGTTTAACTTCATTTATAATCTGGGAAAAACAAATTAAAAATTGTTCAATGAGATGGCTTTTTACACCAGCTACTTAGCCACCCCCCCCCCAACAAAATTTCAAGTCTGGCTAGAACAAATGCTAGAATTAGAAAATATGGGAATTAATATACTGTGGGTGGGAGTGTAAATTGGCAAACCACTCTGAAGAACAGTTAGGCAATATCTAGTAAAGCTGAAGATATTCTTATACTACAAACTCCAGTTCCACTTCTATGTCTGTATTCGATGCCTACATATATGCATAAAGAGATGTACTATAAATCCTTTGCAGTTTTGTTGGTAATTGTCAAAACAAAAACCAACAGATTGAAACAAGCCTGAATGTGCATCTATTGAGGAATGAATTAATGTTCGTTTCTGTTTACTTGTGATAGAATGCAATGCAATTGCATTTTAAGTAGGTGAATTAGATGTATAAGTATCAACATAGATATATTTCAAAAATATAATGTTGAGTGAAAAAGAAAAGTTGCAGAATAATATGCACAGTATAATGCCATTGCTATACATTTTAATTAATTAGTTAATTAATTAATTACATTATTTTTAGAGACAGGGTCTCTCTCTGTCACCCAGGCTGGAGTGCAGTGGCATGATCATAGTTCACTGCAGCCTCTAACTCCTGGGCCCAAGTGATCCTCCTGCCTCAACCTCTCAAGTAGCTAGGACTACAGGCATGCACCACCACACCTAGGTAATTTTTAAAGTTTTTGTAAAGACAGGTCTCGCTATGTTGCCCGGACTGGTCTTGAGCTTGTGGGCTTAAGCAATCCTCCTTTCTTGGCCTCGCAAAGCACTGGGATTATAGGTGTGAACCACCATGCCTGGCCTGTCATGGCTGTAAATTTTAAAAATAAACAAAATAAAATTTTATCTGGTTCATGGGTATATATGAAATATAAGTGTAAAAACATGAATGGTACGTGCGCTCATGAGCTTCATGACAGTGATTCACCTCTAGACGAGTAAGGAAATAAAAGGGTGTGAGAAAAGGTACAAAATCACCTCAGTTATATCTGTAGTGATCTTGGTCTTTAAAAATATCTGAAGTTGGATTTCATTACAATTTAAAACTTCTGCTTTCGGAAAGATAATGTCAAGAGAATGAGAAAACAACCCATAGACTGGGAGAAAATATTTTCAAAAGATACATCTGATAAAGGACTGTTATCCAAAGTATACAAAGAACTCTTAAAACCAACAATAATAAAATGAACAACATGATTTTAAAATGCACAAAAGACCTGAACAGACACCTTACCAGAGAAGACATATAGATGGCAAACAAGCATGTGAAAAGATATTCAACATTATATGTCATTAGGGAATTGCAAAATTGAAATAACAGTGAGATACCACTATACACTTACTAGAACAGCCAAAATCCCAAACAATGACGACACCAAATGCTGATGAAGATGTGGAGCAACAGACACTCTCATTCATTGCTGATAAAACTGCAAAATGGTACAACCACTTTGGAAGATGGTTTGCCAGTTTCTTATAAAATTAAACATGCTTTTACCATATGAACAAGCAATCAGACCATTCATATAAATCAAAAATTATGTCCACGCAAAAACTCACACGTAGATATTTATAATTCAAAAATTATGTCATTATAAATTATAGATATTTATAGCAGCTTTATTCATAATTGTCAAAACTTGGAAGTAACCAAGACATCCTTCAATAGGTGAATGGATAAATACACCGTGGCACATTCATACAATGAAATATTAGTGCTAAAAAAAGTAACTATCAAGCCATGAAAAGACATGTACGAACCTGAAATGCACATTGCTAAGTGAAAGAAGCCAGCCTGGAAGACTACATACTGTATGATCCCAACTATATGACATTCTGGAAAAAGCAAAACTATGAAGACAGCAAGAAGATCAGTGGTTGCCAGGGATTCGGGGCAAGGGAGGGGTGAATAGGCAGAGCACAGAGGATTTTTAGGGCAGTGAAACTACTCTGTAAGATACTATAATAGTGGATACATGTCATTATATACTTGTCAAAATCCATACGATGTACAGCACCAAGAGTGAACCCTAATATAAACTATGGACTTTGGGTGATAATGATGTATCAATATAGGTTCATTGTGTACCACTCTGGTGGGGGATTTTTTTTTCTTTTTTAGAGATGGGGTCTCGCTCTGTTGCTGAGGCTGGAGTGCAGTGGCCCTATCATAGGTCACTGCAACCTCAAATACCTGTGCTCGAGTGATCCTCCTGCCTCAGCCTCCAGAGCTATGGAGGGGGATATTGCTAGTGAAGGAGGTTATGCATGTGTGGGGGCAGGCAGTATATGAGAAATCTCTGTACCTTCTGCTCAATTTTGCTATGAACCAAAGACTATTCTATTTTACACTTTATTAAAAGATAAAGTTTATTAATTTAAAAATATCTGAGGTACATATGCTAATTATTTGTTAATTCTGGGAGTTAGGCACATAGTGTTCATTACTTTCTGTATTTTGCTATATGTTTGAAAACTTGCACAATTCTACAAAAACAAAAAACATATGATATGATCGCAAGAATAAACCGAACAAAATAATCAAAAAGTTGATCCAAATACACACATAACTGGATATATACAATACGCATGGATGTAATACATGATGATATAGGACAAGGCAATTGGAAAGGGATAGATTATTAAACAATGACATGGGGAAATTGGCTAGTTATTTGGAAAAATATCAAGTAAGAACTTCACCTTATGCACATATACATTAAAAAAATTCAGAAGAATTAATAGCTAAATGTTAAAATAAAATCATTCATATAAAAAAGTAAAATAAAATGAAGGTGAATATTTAACTTTTCTAATAGTGGGGAGGGGCTTTCCAAGTCTAAAGCAATAGAAAGAACTTGAAAGTTTAAAATACATAAATAATTAAAACCTCTGCATATTAAGGCATCAAACAATTAAAAATACAGAAACCAAACCGTGTAATGAACTAATATGATTTTTATAGTCCAAAAATAAAAGCAAAACTGACACCATGGAACAAAACCTTAAAATGTCCCCTAGTTAGCCTTATCCTGTCTCCTCATCCAATTAATGTCACTGCACAATGTCTCCTAATCACCAGACTAAAAATTTCCAGGAACCTTTGACTGTTCAAAATCCTTCTCTTCATCCCCATCAATAAATTGGCAAAAATATTTCCAACTTTATGTATTGAATATGCACTATATGTCAAGCTCTGTGTCAGGTGCTTTAAGTGCTGTTTTATTTAGTCATCAGCTCTATCAGACTGGCATTACCTCTTCCTCATAGATAAGGAATCTAAAGTTCAGAGATAGGAAGTAGTTTTTCTTTTTTCTTTCTTTTTTTTTTTTTTTTGAGACAGGGTCTTACTCTGTGGCCCAGGCTGGAGTGCAGTGGTGTGATCATAGCTCACTGCAGCCTTGACCTCCTGAGCTCAAGTGATCCTCCCACCTAAGCCTCCCAGATAGCTAGGACTATGCCTGGCTACTTTTTTTTACTTTGGTAGATATGCTCCACCATGCCTGGCTAATTTTTAAATTTTTGGTAGAGATGGGGTCCCACACTGTTGCCCAGGCTGGTCCCAAACTCCTGGGCTCAAGCGATCCTTCCATGTTGGCCTCCCAAAATGCTGGGATTACAAGTATGAGCAACCACATGCAGCCAGGAAGTAGTTTTTCCAAGATTATCTAATTCACCTGTGAGATACAGCCCATTAATGGATGGTGAGACCAATTTCGTGTCCATAGCTAGCAGCTTTAAGAAATAAAGTAGAAGAGAAAATATCAGAGTATGTCATGCATACTTAGGGTAAAAACTGTTTCATTCACCTTTGATTCACGGGTGTGTGTGCATTTGTGTATGTGTGGGCATGTGTCCTGGAACACAATGTAAAACATTTTTCTTAGTGTGTGCCATGTTCAAAAAAATTTGAACACCATTGCCTTACTTAGTATGATGTGGAACGAGAATTCACACTGAGCCCATGGGTCTCTAAAGCCCATAGCCTAGCATTTTCACCACTTGCTGTTCACCCTGGCATTCAAGGCTCTCCACGCCTTCCCTTTCTTATCTTTCCAGGCTTATTCTCCACTTCTTTAACTCAGCCATGCACTACTTTCTTTACACATTTTCTCAGGGTGTTCTGTGATCAAGCCTTGGATCAGACCGTTTCTGCCACTTGTAACCTGTCACATCTACCAAATAAGTGACCTCCATAAAGTCACTGCATCGTCTTTTACCTGAACCACACCATCCCACGTTTTTCCATTTTGATTTTCAAGAATGAGGATCCCACTCTTATAATCAAGATTTATGAAGTTCATGCTTTATGTTTCATTATGCTCTAGTGGAAAATTAGGCACTCTTGGATGCTCTAAGGTCACCATGATGCCATTGAGTCAACCTGAGCTAAAGGACCAGGAGAGGGCAGCAGTGGTGGCTCACATTTAGTTACTATGTGCCAGGCCTTGGACATCACCTCACCGAATCATTGAATCATTAGCCCCATTTTATAGATGAGAAGGTAGTGCCTTAGAGGGGGTCATTTTCCCAAGTTTGAATAGCTACTAGGTGGAAGATCTCCTTTTCAAAGCTGTGCTTTGAACTTGCATGGTTAACCTCTACTACTATACTGCCTTTGGCTAATTTGTCTGAGAAACACTCTCTGAATGTTTAGTTTTCAAGCTCATAAAATGGGATAGGGAAAGCGCGGAAGCTGGGAGGCTGTTCATATGAGTAGTCCCTGGAAAAAAAACTGCTGCGGAAGGGTTAACATGAACTCAGAGTGGGGATTTATCTGAGCTGTGAGGCAACAGCACAGCTAGGATGGGGAACAAGAACTGTTGCTGAAAGATCTGAGGCTATTGCTGTAAAAGTGGTCCTGAAGGTTAATTGCAAAGTTGAGGACAAGAACCAAAATGGAAGAGTGAGCAGCCAGGAGAAGGGGCTTTAGAACTAAGGTAGCAAACAGTGAGTTCATATATGGAAAGCTCCCTACTAGTACTTGAAGACAAGGGACTTGAAGGGCTTCTGCAGTCATAGGGCCATGTCTCCCCTGTGCCACACTGGGGGGACACCAGATGCCTTTTCTGCCAAGCAGCTCATACATACCAGGCAGACATCTTGGGGCCAGGCAGGTGACTGTGTGCAGCAGCCTTCCTCTGAGGAAGGAACACTTCTCAATGTTCCTTTCCAACCCTCTGCCTTCTAAACACGAATACTTGGAGCAGACCATTGTCCTGATAAGTGAGACTAATTGCTGTGTATTTGTAACTTCACTTGCCCAGTGAACTGAGAACACCACAGAGGGCTGGGCAATAACAAATAAGGAATAATAAAAATAAATATTTACTGTGTATCTGCTGTGTGAGGGTCTTTTAACACTCTCTTCTTTTACCTTCAAAGGGATAAATAAGTTAATCTTCAGAGTTACAGGGGGAGAAAACGCTCCAAGCTCCACCCAGATTCTCTCTTTGAGCTACACTAAGGGTTTCACAGATGGAAAGGCATTTCTCAAGACACCTTCCCACGTGTGGATCACCACAAGGAAATCAGTAATGAGTTTTTAAAGCTTATTTCAATTTTACCACATCACCCTATTTTAGTTTCTTCATAGCCTTTTTAACAGCCTAACATATTTTCCTGAGTATTTGCTTATTCTCTGGCTCCTTTCATTATCATACTGTTTTCCTAGCTCCTAGGATAGAGGCTGGCACTAAATGGCATCTCCACAAAGAGGGGTTGGAAGAATGAATGCATAAATGAGTGAAGATCATAAGTGGAATCTACAGTTTAAAGATACGGTGCAAAACAAGTCTGCTCCCAATTAAACAAATCAAAATCTTGATTTAGAAAATTGAGAAAGAATGCTGTTACTAACATTTCAAAAGGACTCATTGTAGGATATTTTTAAATAGTTCCACTAATCCTTAAAAACACGACTTAAGTACCAAAAAAAATGACTTATTTGACAAACATTGATTTACACTTTTTTTTTTTTTTTTTGACACAGGGTCTCACTCAGTTGGCTAGGCTGGAAGGCAGTGGCACAATCACAGCTCACTGCAGCCTCAACCTCCTCGGTTCAAGTGATCCTCCCACCTCAGCCTCCCCAGTAGCTGGGACTACAGGCACACGCCACCACACCTGGCTAATTTTTAAATGTTTTTGTAGAGATGTGGGGGGGGGGGGGTTTCTCCCTATGTTGCCCAGACTGGTCTCGAACTCGTGAGCTCAAGCGATCTGCCTGCCTCAGCCTCCCAAAGTGCTGGGATTACAGGCATGAGCCACCCTGCCCAACCAATGTATACTTTTCTTTCCATTGAACATAGCTGCTGCATAAACAATAACACCCTTGAATATACTATGAATACATAATTTTCTTCATTTAATCAGTTACATTTTTGGGCTATGGCTCCAGAATATAGATCTCTTACTATATGATCCAATCAATGGATAAAGTAAAACAAGCATCATCCTCTGTGACTGAAGTGACAAGAAACATGCACCAGGAACGGCAATCCCTGCTTGGACAGAGCTTGCTGTAGTGATTTAGGAGGCTGACTCTGTGTTATCAGGAACTATCATCCCCGCCCCACAGAGGCAAAATAGAAGTACTGATACCTCACTGAGTTTTAAGGACTGTATTAGTTTCCTATTGCTGATGTAATAAATTACCACAGACTTAGTGGCTTTATTTATTAATGTGGCTAAATTTATTATCTCACAGTTCTAGGGGGTAAAAGTCCTAGTTCAGGTCAGGCGCAGTGGCTCACGCCTGTAATCCCAGCACTTTGGGAGGCTGAGACGGGCAAATCACGAGGTCAGGAGATTGAGACCATCCTGGCTAACACGGTGAAACCCCATCTCTATTAAAAATACAAAAAAATTAGCTGGGTGTGGTGGCAGGCTCCTGTAGTCCCAGCTACTTAGGAGGCTGAGGCAGGAGAATGGCTTGAACCCAGGAGGCAGAGCTTGCACTGAGCTGATCGCGCCACTGCACTCCAGCCTGGGCGACAGAGAGACTGCATCTCAAAACAAACAAACCAACCAAAAACAAAAAGTCCAAGTTCAATCTCACTGGGCTCAAGTCAAGATACCATCAGGACTGGTTCCTTCAGGAGGCTCTGGGGAGCAACCGTTTCCTTACCTTTTCCAGCCTCGAGGCTATCTGCATGTCTTGGCTCATGGCCCCAGTCAATCTGATCTTTGCTTTGGTTGAAACAGTTCCTCCTCTGACCCTTTATAAAGGGTCTCCCATCTCCCTTTATAAAGACCCTGTGATGAGCTTCAGGCTTCCTGGTCAATCTAGGATAATCTCTCCATCTCAAGATCTGTAACTTAAACAGATATGCAAAGTCCCTTTTGCAACCTAGGGTAACATAGTAACAGGTCCTGGACATTAGCATGTGGATGTTATTAGGGGGCCACTATTCAGACAGACCTTAACCAGGGAGTCTTGGGCCTTCCTTGGTAAAATACCAATTTTTTTTCCAATCTGATCCCAATCTGATAAGGAGCTGTCCTGACTTACCTTGTCTTTGTTCATCCTTTAGCTAAGTAATTACTATCATATAATAACGCGAGGTGCCGGGCACTATTTTATGTACTTCATACATTTTTACTCACTTTAATGTAGGCACAGAAAGATTAAGTAATTTACCCTAGCTAGTAAGTAACAGAATCAGGATTTGAAGTTAGGAAGTTGCTTCATGGAGTTAACAAATATACTGTCTTGTCTTTGCAATCACCCACCTTCTTCTGAGCTCCCTGGTGCTGATTGTGTCACATCAGTTAAGCTGTCTGACACCTCACAACATCCTCTCAGACTCTGGCTCCCACAGGGATACACCAATGTGGCCTCTGCTTTGAGTCACATATACCCTCAGCTAGGACAGGAGCCTCCTTCTATCCCTGGGTGGCTTCAGGTCAAGTGACCACATTAAATCTCCGACCCCTCGAAGTCAAGGATCCACCCTTGACCATGGTAACCCCAGAAGGAATCATTTCTTGAGGTCTAGCCAGACACATTTCTGCAGCCTTTACTACAGTATAAAAAAGTATTACTTTTATAAATGGGAATGTGACTCATGCTTCTGTTTTTTATTGAGAACATGGAAGCAACAGTTAATGCAATTTGGTCTGAACTCTGAGCATAATTTCACTATTGGAAGAGCATCATGCTCAGATCTATTAGAAGCTGGAGGTGCTGCCATAGTTCATTAAAGTTTTTCATTATTCATCTATATTAAGTAAATACAGTTTGGTAAGTCAGCCAACATAGAGCTGCTACTCAGACTAGATACTTCCCTTAACCCATGAGTTTCTAATCTGACTATGGACACTTGAGAAATACATACGTAGGCTTCACATAACCTATACATGCACTTACTGGTCAGTGATGGGTTTCAAGACTTAAGAGCCACCAGGAAACAAACAGTGAGGCTCAGTTATGTGCTGCAAAGATGATGTTCATTTCTTACCACCTCTGTTAGCCAAAGCCATTGTCTTAGTCTATTCAGACTGCCATAACAAAATACCTTAGACTGGGTACTTTATAAACAACAGGAATTTATTGCTCACAGTTCAGGTGGCTGGAAAGTCCAAGATCAATGCATGCAGATGTGATGTCTGATGAGGGCCCTCTTCCTCATACATGGACAATCTAGGTGTCCTCACATGGCAGAACGGACAAACCAGCTCCCTCAGGCCTTTATTTTTAATAGCCTTGTTATGAACCAAAAGACTGTGTTCCCCCAAAAGTCATATGTTAAAGCCCTAACCCCCAGTGTTATGATATTCACAGGTGCAGCCTTTGGGAGGTAATTAGTTTTACATGAGGTTGTGAGGATGGGGTCTCTGTGATGGGATTAGTTTTTTTATAAGAGGAAAGATGAGAGCATGTGTATGCACTCTCCCTCTCTCCCTCTCTCTCTCTCTCTCTCTATCTCTGTCTCTCCCTCTCCGATGTGAAGACACAGTGAGAAGGCAGCTATCTGCAAACCAGGAGGAGGGTCCTCACCAGAAGTGAAATCAGCCGGCTGGTACCTTAACCTTGAACTTCTCAGCCTCCAGATCTGTGAGAAATACATTTATTTTGTTTAAGCTACCCAGGCTATGGTAAAATACCATAGCAGCTAAGACAAACTCCAAACTGGAAACAACCTGAATTCCAATTAACAGATGATTGAATAACAAATTGAGATATAGCCATATAATGAAATACTATTCAGCAATGAAAAGGAACAAACTAGTGATATAGGCAACAATGTGGTTGCATCTCAAAACAATGATACTGAGTCTAAGAAGCCAGACCTCCCAAAAGAACCACCATAAAAAGAGTATATACGGGGTTATTGCATTAATATATAATTCTAGAAAGTGTAAACTAATGTATAGTGATAGAAAGGAGATCAGGGTTGCCTGGGAAGAGGGTGGAAAGGGGTAGGAGGGAAAGATTACAACGAGAAACCTTTGGGGGTGGTGGATCTGTGCATTATCTTGATTGTGTTGGTGATGCACAGATATATGCACAAGTAAAATTTTATCAAATTTTACATTTTTATATATGCAGTGCATTGTGTGACAACAATACCTCAATAAAGCTGTCTAGAAAATAAGCAACGTGCAAGAAAATAGTTAAATAATGCTATCTGTTGCATAGGGAGAAAAAGGGAAACAAAACTTGTGGGTTTAAAATTTTTTTTAAGTGCGCTGTAAGGAAGGAGAGAATGAAATGGAAAAGAAGGAATAGGGGACAGTGCAGCAGATTAAGGATGGCCACAAATTCTTTGATATCTTCCCATCAAAATGTGGGGTCTATGTTCCTGGCCCTTGAATATAGGTAGATTCTGCGACTGCTTTCACTAACAGGATACAGTGGAAGTGACACCGCCGGTTTTCAGGTTAGAGGCTTAAGAAAAAGAGAGCTTCTACTTCTTGTCTCTTTGAACACTTGCTCTTGGAGCCCTGAAATATCATGTAAGAAGCAATGAGGGTGAAGTTCCCATGCTGGGAGGAAGCTTAAGATAGTTGTGTGGAGAAGCTATTCCCTGTCTGTGGATTCAACCAACCTTGGATTGAAAATATTTGAGGAAAAAGGAAAAATACAAATTAAAAAAAAAACAGTGTAACAATTATTTACATAGTATTAGGTATTATTAGTAATATAGAGAGGATTTAAAGTATAAGGAAGGATGCATATAGGTTACATGCAAATACTTTGCCATTTTTTTTTTTTCTTTTAAAAGAAAAGTTTATTACAGTTTCCAAGAGAAAGGGGCATGTCACACCATGAGGGGCCACACAGGGAAGAACGAGGTCAATCAGGAAGCAGCAGAATGAGGAAAAAGCCTGGGCAAAACCTTTACTGTTGTTTTCACAGAAGGCATGGGTGAAACAGAGTAAGCAGCTGAGCAGGCTGAGGATTGGATAGTTTCTTTTTTTTTTTTTTTTTTTTTATTATTGATCATTCTTGGGTGTTTCTCGCAGAGGGGGATTTGGCAGGGTCATAGGACAATAGTGGAGGGAAGGTCAGCAGATAAACAAGTGAACAAAGGTCTCTGGTTTTCCTAGGCAGAGGACCCTGCGGCCTTCCGCAGTGTTTGTGTCCCGGGGTACTTGAGATTAGGGAGTGGTGATGACTTTTAACGAGCATGCTGCCTTCAAGCATCTGTTTAACAAAGCACATCTTGCACCGCCCTTAATCCATTTAACCCTGAGTGGACACAGCACATGTTTCAGAGAGCACAGGGTTGGGGGTAAGGTCACAGATCAACAGGATCCCAAGGCAGAATAATTTTTCTTAGTACAGAACAAAATGAGAAGTCTCCCATGTCTACCTCTTTCTACACAGACAGGGCAACCATCCAACCTCTCAATCTTTTCCCCACCTTTCCCCCCTTTCTATTCCACAAAACCGCCATTGTCATCATGGCCCGTTCTCAATGAGCTGCTGGGCACACCTCCCAGACGGGGTGGCGGCCGGGCAGAGGGGCTCCTCACTTCCCAGTAGGGGCAGCCGGGCAGAGGCGCCCCTCACCTACCCGACGGGGCGGCTGGCCGGGCGGGGGGCTGACCCCCCCACCTCCCTCCCGGACGGGGTGGCTGGCTGACCCCCCCACCTCCCCCCCGGACGGGGTGGCTGCCGGGCGGAGACGCTCCTCACTTCCCAGACGGGGTGGCTGCCGGGCGGAGGGGCTCCTCACTTCTCTGACGGGGCGGCTGCCGGGTGGAGGGTCTCCTCACTTCTCAGACGGGGCGGTTGCCAGGCGGAGGGTCTCCTCACTTCTCAGACGGGGCGGCCGGGCAGAGACGCTCCTCACCTCCCAGATGGGGTCGTGGCCGGGTGGAGGCGCTCCTCACATCCCAGACGGGGTGGCGGGGCAGAGGTGCTCCCCACATCTCAGACGATGGGCGGCCCGGGCAGAGACGCTCCTCACTTCCTAGATGGGATGGCGGTCGGGAAGAGGCGCTCCTCACTTCCTGTATGGGATGGCGGCCGGGCAGAGACGCTCCTCATTTTCCAGACTGGGCAGCCAGGCAGAGGGGCTCCTCACATCCCAGGCGATGGGCGACTAGGCAGAGACGCTCCTCACTTCCCAGACGGGGTGGCGGCCGGGCAGAGGCTGCAATCTCGGCACTTTGGGGGGCCAAGGCAGGCGGCTGGGAGGTGGAGGTTGTAGCCAGCCGAGATCACGCCACTGCACTCCAGCCTGGGCACCAATGAGCGCTGAGTGAACCAGACTCCGTCTGCAATCCCGGCACCTCGGGAGGCCGAGGCTGGCGGATCACTCGCAGTTAGGAGCTGGAGACCAGCCCGGCCAACACAGCGAAACCCCGTCTCCACCAAAAAAATACGAAAACCGGTCAGGCGTGGCGGCGCGCGCCTGCAATCGCAGGCACTCGGCAGGCTGAGGCAGGAGAATCAGGCAGGGAGGTTGCAGTGAGCCGAGATGGCGGCAGTACAGTCCAGCTTCGGCTCGGCATCAGAGGGAGACCGTGGAAAGAGAGGGAGAGGGAGACCGTGGGGAGAGGGAGAGGGAGAGGGAGACGGAGAGGGAGAGGGAGAGGGAGAGGGAGAGGGAGAAGGAGAAGGAGAAGGAGAAGGAGAAGGAGAAGTATCACTCTTAAAAGCAGGATCACTTTGCCATTTTTTTTGTTTATTTGAGATGGAGTCTCACTCTGTTGCCCAGGCTGGAGTGCAATGGCACGATCTCGGCTCACTGCAACCTCCGCCTCCCGGGTTAAAGCGATTCTTCAGCTTCAGCCTCCCGAGCAGCTGGGATTACAGGCATGCACCACCACACCCAGCTAATTTTTGTATTTTTGTAAGAGAAGGGGTTTCACCATGTTGGCCAGGCTGGTATACTATGCCATTTTATATAATCAGTGACTTGAGTATCCTCAGAATTTGATATCCATGGGGGTCCTGGAACAAATCCCCTGTGGATACTGAGGGATGATGATATAGAGACAGAAAGAGAGAGATACCTAACAGCACCCAGCTCTTTAGCATTCCAGCACTCAGAGAATCCCAGCTGCGACTTCAGAAATTGTAGAACAGGGTCAAGGCTTTCCTGCTGTGCTCTTACTGCATTCTTGACCCGTTAAGTTATGAGATATAGTAACAATAAATTATTGATTTAAACCTCTAAGTTTTGGGGTAGTTTTTTTTTTTTTTTTTTAATTTTGAAATGGAGTCTCATTCTGTTGCCCAGGCTAGAGTGCAGTGGCACGATCTCGGCTCATGGCAACCTCTGCCTCCGGGTTCAAGTGATTCTCCTGCCTCAGCCTCCTGAGTAGCTGGGACTACAAGCACATACAACCACGCCCGGCTAAATTTTTTTGTATTTTTAGTAGAGACGGGATTTCACCATGTTGGCCAGGATGGTCTCTATCTCCTGACCTTGTGATCCACCTGCCTCCGCCTCCCAAAGTGCTAGGATTACAGGCATGAGCCACTGGGTCCGCCCGGCCTTGGGATAGTTTTTTATGCAACAATATCCAATTGAAATAGATGAGGTTGCACGTATTTGAGTGTATCTTTTGTTTTACTTATCTATTACAGTGCAGCAAACTATCCCAAATTTAGTGCCTTAATGACTATAATTTCTCACCATTCTGGGGTGGTGCTTGTCCTCCATGTGGTGTCAGCTGGAATCACTCATGGGCTGTCTGCAGCTGGAACTTCAGCTGGGGTAACTCAGTTCTCCTCCCCTTGGCCTCTCTCTGTCCACATGCTGTCTCATTCTCCCAGATCTCTCTACCCAGCCTCTGTCTCCTGGAGAATAGCCTGGATTCTCTACAGCTGACAGCTGGGCTCCAAGAGGGAGAATTCCCAGAAGACAAGCCTCAATGCAAGAGCTAATCAAGCCTCTACTCGATTATATTTACTCGTGTCTCATTGACCAAAGCAAGTCCCGTGGCCATTCCAGTGTCAGTGGGAGAGGAGACTACACAAGGCGTGAATACCAGAAGGCATGGCTCATTGACAGCCACCATTATAACAGTGTATCATACTTTATATATAGTTTTTCACCTTTGAACCACATACGTGGTCTACATTTTCAAAAAATAAAATTACAGTGGTGGAAAGAGCAAACCATAAAAATGAATACAAACAGATACAAATAAATACAAATAGATATCAAATTGATCATATACCCGCACACAAAAAGAAATAATCCAAGAAACTTTTGAACATAACAATCCAATAGTATACCCTTTGTAGGATATATCCTATTTTATCTTTTTAATTTTTTAATTTTTATTTATTTTTTCTCATTTCAGGTGGGATTGGAGGATATATTCTACAGACAAAAAAAGCTTTAGGAAAATCTCGAATTTTACTTACTAGGTTTTATTTTGGTGTATTATTGACATAGTAACTATGAAACTATTTCATGTATACTGTATGAGAGAGTAAATATATTGATATTTTAGAGATCCAGGACTCTCACTGTAGTAAAAGGGAAATACAAATGTGGAGTACGGGAAGGTAAGGAAGAACCTTGTGACATTATATTGAATTGAAGGGAATTGGAGGTATCAGTGTGAAGTCATTATTTTATAAATAGCTAAACACACACATACACACACACACATACTCACGCACATGTATACACATTAGCTCTTTCCAGACAAGGCCTAGAAGCAATAGTACCCAGTAGCAATGAGCATAACTGCCACCCAGACCTTGGTTACTATTAATAAATATGATTTCCCACAAAAAGGAACCAGGTTTTCCTTGGAGAAATTGCTCATTTCAGATCTAGGGTAGTAAAAGTAGAAGCAGAGCCTGGAATATCTTATTCTGCTAAAAAGCAAAGAATTGTTGAAAGACTAATGAGGACGTTTCAAAAGGACACAGCAGTCAGCTCGAAGGAGCTTTTATTGGAAGGCAGCTACGCTCACCATTATACCACCAACGTGGCACTAAAGGAGCTGTTATTGGCCAAAGTTTGGACAATTTGAGCTTCAAAAAGAATATCAGTGTTAATGGATTATAATACTGTATCTAAAAGAGAATCCATGAGTTCATGAGGCCGGAAGTCCAGATATTTTAAAAGGGGAATATAGCTGACTTATACTGAAGAATATCTGCTAATATATAAAAAGGAATCATAATTAAATTAGAAATCATCACTTTGTAGCCAACAATGTAATAACTAATTAGGAAGAATCATCAATGGACACAAAATCCTCTGAGTGAAATGTTGGGGAACATGATGTTCACAGCCTCCAGTTACTACCTCCATACATTACTGATTAATTACAAATGGAAAATGTGTTTTTACAACAGACACTGCTTTAACCCAGTGATAAAACTCAGCCCTGCTAGTAATTGGACAACCTGACATCATGTGCCTCTTGATGGGGTGCAGTGGGAAGTACACATCATCACATATACAGTGTTCTTGACCAAAAATGTTTAACTTAAATATAGTTATGAAAATATAATGTGGCAAATCCAGAATGTGGGATATACTGTAAAACAATTAGACAGTACTCTTCAAAAAGATTCAGTGTTATGAAAGAGTTAAAAATACATCAGGAGGCCAGGCGTGGTGGCTCACACCTGTAATCCCAGTCCTTTGGGATGCCGAGGCAGGTGGATCACTTGAGGACAGGAGTTCAAGACCAGCCTGGCCAACATGGCAAAACCCCTTCTCTACTAAGAATACAAAAATTAGCTGGGCGTGGTGGCATATGCCTGTAGTCCCAGCTACTCAGGCGGCTAAGGCACGAGAATCACTTGAACCTGGGAGGCAGAAGTTGCGGTGAGCTGAGAGATAGCGCCATTGCACTCCAGCCTAGGTGACAAAGCGAGACCCTGTCTCAAAAATAAATAAATACATACATCAGGACACTTTTCTAGGCTAAAAGACAGTAAAGAGATGTGATAAACAAATACAATGTGTGAATCTTGATTGAATCCTAGATTTTAAAAAACAGCTGTATAAGACATTTTGGGATTATTAGGGAAATCTGCATATGTACTGCATAATAGATACTATTTTGTATCAATGTTAAATTTCTTGTGTATGTGTTGTTTGATAATGGTTATTTGGATTATGTAGAAGACTCATGGTGGGGTATTTAGGGGTGAAGTGTCATGTCTGCAACTTTCGAATGGCTCAGCAAAAAGTGTGTGTGTGTATTAAGAGAAAGAAATCACATATGGCAAAATATTAACAACTGCATCTCGGTGAAGAGGATATGAGACTCAATTTCTCTGTAAGCTTAAAAATTTTCAAAATAAGTTGGGGAAAGTAATAATAGAGAAGTAAACAGTTCAAGAAAAACAAACACTATTTTATGCTTATTAAACCAGTTCCTCCCACCTCACTGTAGTTTGTGTTTTAAAATAACTTCCAGTGCTGCCAAGGTCATGGGGAAGCTGGTACAGTGAATTACCAGTGGCATGACCATGGCTCAGCCTGCATAGGCCAGCATGCAGCAATGCTTATCAAACATGGAAACACTTCCATGCTGGCTGAGGCAGGCATTGCCCTAAGGATTCTTTTCAAGGAATTAGGTTGACAAAAGTAAAAAAACTATGCCTGAAAACTGAAAATGAAAACAACCTAAATGTCCAGTAATAAGGGTTAGGTTTAGGAAATTTTGCTTCACTACTGGATGGACTATTATGCAAGTATTAAACATGGGTTTTAAGACTTCCAAAAAAAAAAAAAAAAGGCTTATGGCTATTGCTTCGTTCTTTCAAAAAAAAAAAAAAGAATGTGAAACCACGTGATTTCAACTTTGAAAATAAAAGCATAAATATGGCAATATGGCTGGGCACAGTGGCTCATGCCTGTAATCCCAGCACTCTGGGAGGCCAAGAAGGGCATGTCACTTGAGGTCAGGAGTTCGAGACCAGCCTGGCCAACATGGTGAAACCCCATCTCTACTAAAAATACAAAAATTAGCCAGGAGTGGTAACACGTGCCTGTAGTCCCAGCTACTTGGGAGGCTGAGGCAGGAGAATCGCTCGAACCCAGGAGGCGGAGGTTGCAGTGAGCCAAGATCACACCACTGCATTGCAGCCTGGGCGACAGAGCAAGACTCTGTCTCAAAAAAAAAAAATTTTTTTTTGGAAATATGACATATCTTTCAGGAATTTACATCTCATATTACTATATTAAAGATTAACTCAAACTCATTTTACTGTTGATTGGCTAAAAGTGCAAGCTTATTTTCTTAGCACAAATATTAACATATCTTCCTCCACAATATTTCCACCCTAACACCAATTTGGGTAGCTCTGAGAGAGAGTATAGATAAACTGAAATACTTGTGGAATTTCACCCTCGCTCATCATGGCAGCTGAAATTTAAATTCTGTTCAAGTACAATTTATTTCTTTGCCCATAATGTATCAATTTTTATTTTTTCAATTTTATTATTTATTTATTTTCATAAGGCCTTTTCCCAATGTTATCTATTTTTAAATGCATACGCCAGTACTTCTCAAAGTATGGTCTCAGGACCAGCTGCATTAGTATTTCTTGGGAACTTGTTTGAAACACCAGTTCTCAGACCCCACCTCAGAACTACTGAGTTAGAAACTCTGGAGGTTGGATCCAGCAACCTGTGTTTTAAGAAGACCTCCAGCTGATTCTGATGGAGGCTAAAGTGTGAGAGCTACTGCATGAGACAGTCCAATGGCCATGCTTATAATACTGAATTCAAATGGGTCTCTTATTGCCCATGAACCCTGAATAAAAACAGCTGGCTTAGAGTGTTCAACTGTCCTGGTTTGCCTGAGACTAAGGAGTTTGCAAGGATGCAGGACAAGGTGTGCAGCCATCACCACTATCTAATTCAAGAACATTTCATCACCCCAAAAGAGAAGCTCCAGCATTCTCTAGCAGTCACTCACCATCCCGCCTCTCCCAGCCCTTAGCAACCACTAATCAACTTTCAACATAGGTACTTTCATTCTCCATGTAAAAGTGAGGAAAGGGAGATCTAGACATTTTTGTGACTTTTCTTAAGGTTTTCTGATGAGGCTAAACCTTGGATTTGAACTCACTAAATGATTCTCTCTCCTTTCTAGACATATTTATGCCCTGTTTATTTCCTCAAGTTATTATATTTTCTTGTTACTGTAGATGGGGAGGTGTCAAAACAACCACTTGCAAACTATTGTTGTCATGTAGAAATAGCTGGTTTGTTCTGAGAGACCAATTCACCCAGATGTGAGTGCTTTAATTTTGTTAACCTTACACTTTCTTAATCAAAGAGAATGGCTTTTGTTTACTTCTTTACAACTGAAACATACTTGCCCTCCCCAGGAAAGAAAAAATTTAAAAGCCCTTGAAATTAACCAATTAAATTGAAATTGACTTTATTTTAAATCTAAGGAAGAAAACAAGTTTTAGTCCCCTTCAGAGCCATATATCTTAAATATAGTAATTCCAGTTTAGTCTATTAAGCTTCTGATCAAGATGAATAAACCTTATACAAAATTAAGACAGAGTTCAATAGGATTAGAAAAGGGAGGTCAGGGAAAAAATGTGGATATTATATTTTGAATAATTTGGAGTTCAAACCAACTTGGAAGCTTTCCTTTTAGCAGATATTATTTTAATAAGTCTAATTGTCTACGGACTGCTTTAATCTAATTCTAGAAACCAATAAATTGTAATCTAATTGTTAGATGATGAAAGACAGTGATTTGGGGAAACTAATGTGTTTACATGCAGTTTTTGTCCAAGTTTAGCTTTGTGGAAAGCAGTCAGAAATATCCGATCTTGACTTTAGCGGTAAAAATGCATCTAGGGATACACACCCATGTAGCTGGGTATATGTCTTCCTTTGTGGCGTCTCTTTATATGCCAGAAAATCTATTTCAGTTGAGACAGATAATACCAGGCCTGCACACCCCAGGCTCCAGAGGCCCTCAGGGGAAAGAGCTGGAGAACAGCAAGTCCCCGGAACAATTGGGGAGCCTGTTCACAATTTTGGCTGTGTCGCTGCCCTGCCAGTCTGTCTGAAGCATTTGGGGAACACCCAGTCTTTGCAGAAGCTTGAACTTGGCCCTAAAGAACAAAAATGAATAAGAAATTTTCCTTGAAGCTGAGAACAGGGGCCTTCACTCTCCTGTCTAGTGTTCCTGCCATTCAGCCACATCTATATCAGAAGACCACAGCTCTCGAGCACCCAGCAAACGTATGTGCTGGGAGGAGGGGAAAACATAGATTCCTTCCCACCCCAGCCCTGGACATGCTCAGTCCTGTGGTCTCTCTACCCACCAACAGTTAGCATGTTCATCTTCTGTTGGTTTCACAAAACCACGGTGATGGTCATGCTTCTGTGCCTGGTCCAGGGTGTTGCTCAGCTGGAAGATTCATACCTCACTTCTGTGCCAAACTGACTCTCTGCTGGTCCTTCTAGACTTGGCTTGTGTTAGCCTGCTTGGAACTCTCTCCTGATCCCCCTCATCTGCAGTCTCAGTTCAGTGCTCTCCTCAGAACTCCTCCTCTAGTGTTCACCCAATTCAGTTTTGTATCTTCCTATTATGTTAACTGCTGTACTCCATTACTATCTTTTTAAAAAATAATTTGGACTCCCTTGTTAGATGGTTTGTTCAGGAGCTGACCTATCATATTTATCTCTGTATCTCCAGGACCTGGTATCATACTTGGCTTATAGCAGGTGTGATGGTTAACAGTAAGTGTCAACTTGATTGGATGGAGGGATACAAAGTATTAATCCTGGGTGTGCCTGTTTTGGTGTTGCCAAAAGAGATTAACATTTGAATCAGTGGGCCCTTAAACTGGTGGGCACAATCTAATCAGCTTCCAACGAATATAAAGCAGGCAGAAAAACGTGAAAAGAAGACACGGGTCTAGCCTCCCAGCCTACATCTTTCTCCCCTGCTGGATGCTTCCTGCCCTTGAACATCGGACTCCAAGTTCTTCAGTTTTGGGACTCGGACTGGCTCTCCTTGCTCCTCAGTTTGCAGACAGCCTATTGTGGGGCCTTGTGATTGTGTGAGTTAATACTTAATAAACTTTTATATATATATGTACATATATTTATATATATTGTGTATATATATGTATATATATTATATATATAGTATATATATGTATATATTATATATATAGTATATATGTATATATACTATATATATAGTATATATATGTGTATATATTATATATATAGTATATATATATGTATATATATATATATATCTCCTATTCGTTCTGTCCCTCTAAGAGAACCCTGACTAATACAGCAGGCATTTCATCCATTCAGAAATATTCACTGGGCATCTCCTGTGTGCCAGGTACAGTGTAAGGTGCTGCAGGTAAATAGCATTATAGTGCTTGCTGAATGAACAGTCTCTGATATAGTTTTGATATTCCCCCCCCCAAATATCACATCAAAATATGATCCCCAATGTTGGAGGTGGGGCCTTATCAGACTGGCAACCATCACCACCAGTCAGAGGCTTATTAGACTGGCAATTCTCAAACTCTATACCAGAGAAAAACGGGAACTTTTTAAAAGCACAGATTGTAGGGCCCTCACCCCAGACTTAAATAAAAATTGGGGGGACTGGAGCACATGAGTTTGGATTAAATTACAAGTGCCCCAGATGATTCTGATGTATGGGATCCACTACTCAGAAAAGAAATCCTGGCCGGGTTGGGCGATTAACAGGCGGTGGCTAGGGAGGACGGAGAGGGGGCGTTTGCTCCTCTGGGACTTTTCATGCCTCGTTTTTTTTTTCAGATGTGGCTTGGTCTGGACGCAAGGTCCCAGCAGCCAGCTTAAGCTTACTCTTCTGTGAAAGGGGAAAGTATCCCCTGTGGAAAGCAGTTAAACTTGTGGAGGGGGTGCGAGACGTGAGTTCTCCCCCATGCCAGGCGAATGGTGTGGACTTGAGCTGGTCCAGCAGCCGGCTCGACTTGTCTGAGGGAGCCCTGGAGGGGGCGGGGAGGGGGCCCACAGAACGTGGGTTCTATAAAGAGACATTGGGAAGATTCGATTCCGAGAAGAGGAAGAGCCGGATTGAAAGAGAGCCAGGCCCTTGAGGGGGAGGGGGCTGCCAAGATGGCGTCGGCCTCCTCCGGGCCGTTGTCTTCGGTCGGTTTTTCTCCGTTGATCCCGCGGTCCCTTCCTGTACCTCGTCCTCAGCATCTGGAATCAAGAGTCCCATGGCATCTGAGGTGCCTTATGCCTCTGGCATGCCCATCAAGAAAATAGGCCATAGAAGTGTTGATTCCTCAGGAGGGACAACCTCATCAGCCTTGAAAGGTGCCATCCAGTTAGGCATTACCCACACTGTGGGGAGCCTGAGTACCAAACCAGAGAGTGATGTCCTCATGCAAGATTTCCACATGGTGGAGAGTATCTTCTTTCCCAGTGAAGGGAGCAACCTGACCCCTGCTCATCACTACAATGCCTTTCGTTTCAAGACCTATGCACCTGTTGCCTTCCGCTACTTCTGGGAGCTATTTGGTATCCGGCCCGATGATTACTTGTATTCCCTCTGCAGTGAGCCGCTGATTGAACTCTGTAGCTCTGGAGCTAGTGGTTCCCTGTTCTATGTGTCCAGCGACGATGAGTTCATTGTTAAGACAGTCCGACATAAAGAAGCGGAGTTTCTGCAGAAGCTGCTTCCAGGATACTACATAAACCTCAACCAGAACCCTCGGACTTTGCTGCCTAAATTCTATGGACTGTACTGTGTGCAGACAGGTGGCAAGAACATTCGGATTGTGGTGATGAACAATCTTTTACCAAGATCGGTAAAAATGCATATCAAATATGACCTCAAAGGCTCAACCTACAGGCGGCGGGCTTCCCAGAAAGAGCGAGAGAAGCCTCTTCCCACATTTAAAGACCTAGACTTCTTACAAGACATCCCTGATGGTCTTTTTTTGGATGCTGACGTGCACAACGCTCTCTGTAAGACCCTGCAGCGTGACTGTTTGGTGCTGCAGAGCTTCAAGATAATGGATTATAGCCTCTTGATGTCAATCCATAATATAGATCATGC
Organism: Homo sapiens; assembly: GCF_000001405.40. Classification (NCBI taxonomy): domain Eukaryota; kingdom Metazoa; phylum Chordata; class Mammalia; order Primates; family Hominidae; genus Homo; species Homo sapiens. Next base: position 93,960,551 of record NC_000010.11, on the reverse strand, counting down.
ACAACGAGAGCCCTTAAGCAGCGAAACACAATACTCAGTTGATACTCGAAGACCAGCCCCCCAAAAGGCTCTGTATTCCACAGCCATGGAATCCATCCAGGGAGAGGCTCGACGGGGTGGCACCATGGAGACCGATGACCATATGGGTGGCATCCCTGCCCGGAATAGTAAAGGGGAAAGGCTTCTGCTTTATATTGGCATCATTGACATTCTACAGTCTTACAGGTTTGTTAAGAAGTTGGAGCACTCTTGGAAAGCCCTGATACATGACGGAGACACTGTCTCAGTGCATCGCCCAGGCTTCTATGCTGAATGGTTCCAGCGCTTCATGTGCAACACGGTATTTAAGAAGATTCCCTTGAAGCCTTCTCCTTCCAAAAAACTTCGGTCTGGCTCATCTTTCTCTCAGCGAGCAGGCTCCAGTGGCAACTCCTGCATTACTTACCAGCCATTGGTCTCTGGGGAACACAAGGCACAAGTGACAACAAAGGCGGAAGTGGAGCCAGGTGTTCACCTTGGTTGTCCTGATGTTTTACCTCAGACTCCACCTTTGGAGGAAATCAGTGAGGGCTCACCTACTCCTGACCCCAGTTTCTCACCTCTAGTTGAAGAGACTTTGCAAATGCTAACTACAAGTGTGGACAACAGTGAGTATATGGGGAATGGAGACTTCTTACCCACCCGGCTGCAGGCCCAGCAGGATGCTGTCAACACAGTTTGTCATTCAAAGACCCGCAGCAACCCTGAGAACAACGTGGGCCTTATCACACTGGATAATGACTGTGAAGTGCTGACCACACTCACCCCAGACACTGGCCGTATCCTGTCCAAGCTACATACTGTCCAACCCAAGGGCAAGATCACCTTCTGCATGGGCATCCACGTGGCCCATCTGGCTCTGAAGCACCGACAAGGCAACAATCACAAGATCCGCATCATTGCCTTTGTGGGAAACCCGGTGGAGGACAATGAGAAGAATCTGGTGAAACTGGCTAAATGCCTCAAGAAGGAGAAAGTAAATGTTGACATTATCAATTTTGGGGAAGAGGAGGTGAACACAGAAAAGCTGACAGCCTTTGTAAACACGTTGAATGGCAAAGATGGAACCGGTTCTCATCTGGTGACAGTGCCTCCTGGGCCCAGTTTGGCTGATGCTCTCATCAGTTTTCCGATTTTGGCTGGTGAAGGTGGTGCCATGATGGGTCTTGGTGCCAGTGACTTTGAATTTGGAGTAGATCCCAGTGCTGATCCTGAGCTGGCCTTGGTCCTTCGTGTATTTATGGAAGAGCAGCGGCAGCGGCAGGAGGAGGAGGCCCGGCAGGCAGCTGCAGCTTCTGCTGCTGAGGCCGGGATTGCTACGACTGGGACTGAAGACTCAGACGATGCCCTGCTGAAGATGACCATCAGCCAGCAAGAGTTTGGCCACACTGGGCTTCCTGACCTAAGCAGTATGACTGAGGAAGAGAAGATTGTTTGTGCCATGCAGATGTCCCTGCAGGGAGCAGAGTTTGGCCTGGCAGAATCAGCAGACATTGATGCCAGCTCAGCCATGGACACATCTGAGCCAGCCAAGGAGGAGGATGATTACGACGTGATGCAAGACCCTGAGTTCCTTCAGAGTGTCCTAGAGAACCTCCCAGGTGTGGATCCCAACAATGAAGCCATTCGAAATGCTGTGGGCTCCCTGGCCTCCCAGGCCACCAAGGACAGCAAGAAGGACAAGAAGGAGGAAGACAAGAAGTGAGACTGGAGGGAAAGGGTAGCTGAGCCTGCTCAGGGGACTGCATGGGAAGCACGGAATATAGGGTTAGATGTGTGTTATCTGTAATCATTATAGCCTAAATAAAGCTTGGCAAGATTTTTTCCTTCTTTGCTTCAAAAAAAAAAGAAAGAAAGAAAGAAAGAAAGAAAGAAAGAAAGAAAGAAAGAAAGAAAGAAAGAAAGAAAAGAAAAGAAAAGAAAAGAAATCCTGATGCCTAAATCTGACCCCTTGAAATGCTGATGAGCTTCATCTGAGCTGTGTGATCTCTCATGTGCAGCTAAGGTTGAGAACCACTAACATAAAATAATTCACATTAAAATCACCAGGAAGCTTTAATAACATTTCAAATACTTGGACCCAACCCCTAAAGATTCTAATTTAATTGGCCTGGGACTCAGGTACTGATATTTTTCAAAAGCTCACAAGGTAATTCTGAAATTCAGCAAAAGTTGAGAACCACTATTCAGACTAAGTGACTTGTCCAATGTCTCTGGGTGCATCAGACTTTACGGCCTTCCTTACACAGGGGTTGTGAATGAAATATGGCTATGGAAAGCAATTGTTGAGTAATATGTTATAAAGTATGGTGGTGATGATGATGATGACAATGATGACAATATTTCTTGAGTGCGTCCTATGCACCAGGCACTATGCTAAGCATTTTATGAGCTTAATCTTATTGAATCTTCAACATTAGCCTGCTGGTATTATTTTCCCTTTTCCTTGATTATAATATGTCATCAGTTGAGGATGACAATTTAATAACAGTTATTAGAGGCTGTTGCTTGTTAATAGGAAAATATTTATTCAGTCCTCCAGAGACAAAGATTTGCTTTGATCAGAATAAATGTAAATTTTGATTTATTTAACATGAAATGCAAATAAACATGTGTGCTGCTATCAATGCAAATCACTCATCCCATGTGATATCAAATAAGCAGATACCTTCTATGTAGCCCTCCAAGTTCACCTACATTCACAAATGTTACTTATATCTCATACTGGGGTATCCATACTGGGCCTGGAAGCTGGCAAGTTTATTTAGACACATTCCATTTCAGGAATAATAAAATGCAGGGAAAATGTGTATCTTTGAGTCACAGAATCATGGTATTATTCTTATTTTCAGGTGAGACTTTAAAAGATTAAGTGACTTGCCTATAGTCCCAGGGTTCATTCTACAGCCAAGCCAGAAATAACAACCCAGTGCCCCTGATGCTGGAATTCTCCAGAAGCTCCTCTACTGACATAGTTTCCACTGACAAACTTTCCTTGACAAGAATAAAGTAGTCTGTCAGAACAAAATTTTGCCAGCTCTGTCTACTGCCAGCACTTGGAAATAGGAGTCCCATGGGGTTTGCAAACAAATGAAAGCAGTGGTGGGCTTGCAAGACCTCACCAGTCCTTAGAGTTCAGTTGATATGTCTCTCAATACAATGCAGGAACTAATTTTAAAGCATTTTGAAACAAGCACAATAACTGAAAATTCTGAGTTCAACAAGAAACAAATGCATTTAATCTTTGAAGAAAAATCAAGTCAATTAAGAAATGAAAATAGGTTGAGACTAGACGAATAAGAATGGAAATGATCGATTGGAGAAGTTTTCAGCCTTGAACAGGCCATTACCAAGTGGTCAGTATGACCACATTTATCTGATATTATTTGGTCCTTTTCTTTCTTTTAAAAGTACTATTTAGTTATAAGAATCTTAAATGCTGGCTGGTGCAGTGGCTCATGCCTGTAATCTCAGCACTTAGGGAGACTGAGGCTGGAGGATCGCTTGAGCTCAGGAGTTTGAAACCAACCTGGGCAACATGGTGAGACCTTATCTCTACCAAAAGTAAAAAAAAATAGTTGGACATCGTGGCATGAGCCTGTAGTCCCAGCTACTTGGGAGGCTGAGGTGGGAGGATCACTTGAGCCTGGCAGATGGAGGCTGTGGTGAACTGTGATCTTGCCAAGACCGTGTCTCAAAAAAAAGAAAGAAAGAAAGAAAGAAAGAAAGAAAGAAAGAAAGAAAGAAAGAAAGAAAGAAAGAAAGAAAGAAAAGAAAAAAGAAAATTAAACACCACTTTTTAAAAAAAAGCAACAAAGAAAATTTGGACATTAAGAGAATAAACATTCCCATTAATCCCATCTCCACTCTCCTAAGAGATCATCAGTTTAGTGCCTGCTTTTCCAAAAATATATGTCAAAAATGATTTCTCTTTCTTAAAGAGAAAGTATATATCTATAGTCTTAACTTTCCTTTTTTTTCCAACTATATAAATATAGTGGCCACCATACATTATTTTAAGCAGAAGGTAAATTAAACGATCCACTGCGAACACTTTGGATTTCTTTTGTAGCTCCCAATGTTTGTTTGGCAAGATAGAAATGCCCTTAAATGCAGCCTTATTGTCCCAGCTTTAGTAAAATTCTATTTATAAATCAAATCCAAAGTAACCAGAGACGTTGGCATAATCTTTGGTATTCTCTGCCGGTACAGAGAAATCTCAATTTGTGGTTTCCAACATTTGTAAGGTGGTAAATAGCAACCTCCCTCCACTGTTCCTCCCACCTCAAGTCAGCAGGGTGCTGGTAAACTGGCTTGGGTGGGAGTGAGGGGAACCCCTGGTGTGTCGTATTTACTGACTTCCATTGGGTAAATGCTCCATGATTGGCTCACAAAATTTCCTAATATTTAACAATTGGTGTTGAACTGTTCTAACACATCAGTGTCAAGCCATTCGATGACCAATTATGGCACATATATGACCCTTTTATCTTGATATAACACTCATGCAGGCTTATTTCATACATGTAGTCACTGCACCTACAAGAAACGTATAACAGAATGAATGACCCAAAGCCAACAACTGTGGGGAAAAGTGAATTAGACAACATCTCTCTCATATTTCTCTATTTATGAGAGGAAATTCTAGCATATAACCTCCAAGTATGATGAAGTTCTTCTGTAGACATGTAGGTATCAGTATTATGCTAACATTTTTTCTTTTCCTAGATAAAAATAAAGTAGCCCACAAGCCTGGTTTTATGTTATGTTAACATTCATTAGGTATTCTTTGCAATTTTCCCTTTTGCAGCTATTAAATCACTTATTCCTTCAATATTTTTTCCTGCATAATGATTTTTTTATAGAAGCTAATACAGTAAGCATTTTAAAGTCTTACCAGTTGTGACATTGAAATAATGAGACTTTAAAGTCCAACCACGTATCTGGAAATATAGGAACACCATTCATTTATTTTTTAGAAGACCACACACTCATGCTAATGAGGATGCCATTGCTTAAAATGTTTTGGAAATTCTCTTTAGGAATTGTTTTTGGCACAAGATTATGCAGTATGGATGAATATTAGTTTCACTGCCCTAATAGTGGTGCTTCATATTTTTCTAATTAAAATTATAAAATACAACCTCTGATAAAGGGTAAAGAGCATTGGATGTTGATTCAGAAGATCTGGACTCAAGTTTAACCTCTGCCACCTACTCGTTTTGTACTCTGCATATCCCTTAACTGCTCCTAACCTCACTTTCCTTCTCTGCAATTTGAGAATAAAAGTACACTCGTGCGTTGCTTAACAGCGGGGATGTGTTCTGAGAACCACATTGTTAGGTGACTTCATTGTTGTGTGAACATCGTAGAGTTTACTTACACAGCCTAGATGGTATAGCCTACCAAACACCTAGGCTAGCCCCTATTGCTTCAGAGCTACAAACCTGTACAGCATGTTCTGAATACTGTAGGCAATTGCAGCACAATGATAAGTGTTTGTGTATCTAAACATACTCAGTATAGAAAAGGTACAGTAAAAATATGTATAATCAATAAAAAATGGTACATCTGTATAGGGCATTTATTATGAATGGAGCCTGCAGGAGTGGAAGTTGCTCTGGGTGAGTCAGTGAGTGAGTGGTGAGTGACTGTGAAGGCCTAGGACATGACTGTACACTAGAGTAAACTATAAACACTGTACACTTAGGCTACACTAAATTTATTTTTAAAAATTCCTTTCTTCAATAATAAATTAACCTTAGCTTACTATAGTTTTTTACTTTATAAATTTTTATTTTTATTAACTTTTTGACTCGTAATCACACAGCTTAAAACACAAATACATTGTACAGTTGTACAAAATATTTTCTTTATATCTTTATTCTGTGATATGGTTAAGCTTTGCGTTCCCACCCAAATCTCACCTTGAATTGTAATAATCCCTACGTGTCAAGGGCGGGGCGAGGTAGAGATAATTGAATCATCGGGGCAGTTTCCCCCATACTGTTCTCATGGTAGTGAAAAAGTCTCATGGGGTCTGATGATTTTATACATGGGAGTTCCCCTGCCTAAGCTCTCTTGCCACCCCCATGTAAGACAAGACTTTGCTCCTCATTCGCCTTCCGCCATGACTGTGAGGCCTCCTCAGCCATGTGGAACTGTGAGTCAATTAAACCTCTTTCTTTTATACATTACCCAGTAGCAGGTTTATCTTTATTAGCATCATGAGAACAGACTAATACATTCTGTAAGCTTTTTTTCTATTTTTAATATTTTTTATTTTATTTACCTTTTAAACTTTTTTCTTAAAAACTAAGACACAAATACACACATTAGCCTACCAGGGTCAGGATCATTTATATCACTGTCTTCCGCCTCCACATCTTGACTGACTGGAAGGCCTTCAGGGACAGGAACATGCATGGAGCTGTCGTCTCCTGTGATAGCAATGCCTTCTTGTCCATACCTCCTGAAGGACCTGCCTGAGGCTATTTTACAGTTCTAAAAAAAAATAAGTAGAAGGAGTATACTTTAAAATAATGATAAAAAGTATAGTATAGTAAATACTAGGTGATAAGAATTTTTCAGCTCCATTATAATCTTATGGGACCACTGTCATATATGTGGTTTATCACTGAGTGAAATGTCATTGTGTGGTGCATGACTGTACCTGCTCCAGGAGTTGTCCTGAAGATTAAATAATACAAGGCATTGTGATAACACCTTGTGAAATGAAACACGCTATCCAAATGAAAGTCATCATTGGTCTAGCTTGATTAGAATTGAATGGGCTTGGCTATTTCCAAAATTCAGATGTATTCCCTGAAAGCATAAATGTTCCATCATCAAAAAAAGTGTAGTGTAAAAAGAAATATGCTTGGACTTTGTCTCAGTTCTTGGCTCAGAGCTCATAAAGCCCTTGGAATTTCCTGAATGACAGGAGTGTCTTTGGTTCTTTGCAAGGAGCCCCTTTCGAACATGCCTGAGTTTATGCTAATGAGGTGATTTAGAGTGGGACCCAGATAGTGTCATGATGGGGCCAGTCACCAGAAGGATTATAGAAATTTGGGACTTTCATCCCAGTTCACCTACCCCTCAGCAGGGGATGAGGAATGGAATTCAAGCTGTTAAAAACACATATACACCATGGAATACTATGCAGCCATACAAAATGATGAGTTCATGTCCTTTGTAGGGACAAGGATGAAATTGGAAATCATCATTCTCAGTAAACTATCGCAAGAACAAAAAACCAAACACCGCATATTCTCACTCATAGGTGGGAATTGAACAATGAGAACACATGGACACAGGAAGGGGAACATCACACTCTGGGGACTGTGGTGGGGTGGGGGGAGGGGGAGGGATAGCATTAGGAGATATACCTAATGCTAGATGACGAGTTAGTGGGTGCAGCGCACCAGCATGGCACATGTATACATATGTAACTAACCTGCACAATGTGCACATGTACCCTAAAACTTAAAGTATAATAAAAAATTAAAAAAAAAACAAACTCTCAAACAACAAGATTTGATGACTTTCCAGGTGGGTGAACACATGGAGGTGATGGGAGGGTGGGCACCTGGAGAAGGTGTGGAAACTCCACACTCCTCACCTTGAACTCCAGACCTTGCCCTGTGTAGCTCTTCCATCTGGCTGTTCCTGAGCTATACCCTGTATAATAAACTAATAAATGTAAGCAAAGTGTTTCCCTGAGTTCTGAACTATTCTAGCAAATTATCAAACCTGGGGGGAGGGGGGTCTTAGAAACCCTCAGTTTATAGAGGATTGGTCAGAAGTAAGGAAGGCCCGCACTTTCATCTGGCACCTGAAGTAGGGGCAGTCTGTGGGACTGAGCCTTTTCACTTGTGGGATCTGAGGCTACTCATCTGGTAGATAGTGTCAGGATTGAATTAAATTGTAGGACCCCACTCCCTCCCCGACCCCGCCTCACCCCACCCCCATGTCGGGAGACTTGGTTGGTGTGGGGAACCCTCCATGCCCCACATTTGGTGTTAGAAATGTTGTGTGAGTCTAGAGAGTATTTTTTTCAGAGTATTCAAAATAATTTGGAAGACACTTACATGGATCCCTCAGGTCAGTTTATTGAACCCAAATGAGGACTCAGGGATTATGGGCCCTAGATCATTTTGAGATCTGAGATCCAGAGAAAGCGTATCCTGTACTGAAGCCCTCCTCACTCTCCAGGTCCTTAGTGTTCTCATTTCTTCCTGATTCTCTGCTTCCCACCCACTCCACTGGATGAAAGCAGGATGGCTGCATGAGGGCATTTATGATAATAAATTTGAAAAGATCCTGGCCGGGCTTTTGACAAGAACATCTTCATCTCTCTCTCACGCCAGCAGCCTGGGCCAGCCAGCTCTCCTCCTTTTGAATGCCTCACTCAGTATTGCTGCTATTCTTGCCATTTTAAGATAGCTTTGACCTGAGGGGCAGGATCACAAATTCCACAGTGGAGCACAGGGCATGAAGAGGTTGTTCTGTCATAGTCTGAGGCTATGAGGGAGAAATTAACCTCAGGCCCAGCAGATTCCAACCAGCCCACCCCTAATCAGATAGGTCATATGAATGAAACATTTAACCAGGTTATCCAGTTTCTTGCTGTAAAACTAGCCCTTTGCAGTCTGCTGGAGCAATTACTGAAGTCTGTCATCTGCAATGCTCCTTTCACATCTAAAAGTGTTCTTTCTTTTCATTTTTCATGTTAATCAAAACAATAAATAGCAACCACTTAGGTATCCCAACAATGACTGCACTACATATAGTTTACAAATCAGAACAACAGATAAATACATATCATTTTACTGCATGCTATATTTTTTTTCGTTGTAGATTTAAAAGTGTGCTTTGTTTGTAAGAAAATAAGTAAAGAAAACTGCTTCACATTCTAAGGTGAAAAGAAATCCTCTCACGTGTCGCTGTAAAATTTTCATTTATGGTGATGAGTTGTCCTGTGTCAAAACATCCTTATTAACAGACATTTTACTGTGAGCGCTCTCTCTTTATTGTGTTGTCTGATAGTGCAGGGTTTTGTAGTGAATACAAGTAAAGTATGAACTGTCTAAACAAAAAAGCAAACACAGGCCAGGTGTGGTGGCTGACACCTGTAAGCCCAGCTACTTGGGAGGCTGAGGCACAAGAATCACTTGAACCCGGGAGGCGAAGGTTGCAGTGAGCTAAGATCGTGCCACTGCACTCCAGCCTGGGCAACAGAGTGAGACTCTGTCTCAAAAACAAACTAGCAAACCCCACAAATCTAATAATATTTGAAAAGACACAACAGTTTCAGTGACAGATTAAACACAAAAAATACACTGGCCCATGATTTGGTTATCCTTGGTTAGAGCCACTGTATATTATAAAAATTTAAAAACAAATTCTTGGTTTTTTAAAGGAATTCCTTGAGATGAGGGAATTTTAATGAGCTACTTCTATTGGTATTCTTCAACCATCAGTTTAGAAGCTAAGTATTTGATGTTTCAAGGTAAATTAGATTTTGAAGCAGCAGACCAAATATTCAGTTCTCATCCACCAGTAAACAATACTTCACGCCCATTTTATAAAGCTTTCAGTTATGTTTTTCCTTATCTGCTGCTGCTGCCTGTAGGCATTTGCAAAACATACATCATGGCTCCTGGTCATTAGTCCCATCAATTATTAGTTTCTCAAATTCAAGCACAACCTCCAAGGTCTTAGTGTTAATGTTAAATTACTTAATTGAAGAATAAGAAATGATGAGACTAAACCTTCTGTCTTGTCTCCTAATGGAGACTTAATAGTCTTTCCCAAGGGGTATTTTAAATATAAATATTTTTAAAATTTAAAGGAAGTTCATTTTACAACTTAAAGGTGATTTCCCTTCAGAATGTTAAGCACTTTTCCTTGTTTATTTTCTTATAAACAAAGCTCACTTTTAAATATAAAATGCAAAAAAGATACAGAGTACAGTAAAATGATACATATTTATCTGTTGATCTGTTTAGTAAACCATATGTAGTGCAATCATTGTTGAAATACAAAATAAAGACTAAAATAATGAACATAAAAGTAACCTGTAGTCTCACCATCAAAAGAATAATTTAACATTTTGATGTATATCCTTTATAAAATATTGTATTTCAACTGCAAATGTATTTATTAAGTGTTTAGTATATACCCAGAACTGTTCTGGGTGCTGAGAGAGAGATAAATGAACATAGTCTTCATCCCCCAAGGGCTTACAAATAAGGTATTCATCTTATTGATAAAGGCCTAGTTTGTTGATAGAAAAGTTAGTTGATAGTTGTTAATTTTCCACATTTTGAGTATTTATAGGCTTTAAGCTCAATTGAAAAGAGTTCTCTCCCAGGTATGTCAAGTCTGTTACAACCTCTTTTTAACTTACTGCCTTTTGTGTCTTGTTCACTGGGCCCAGATTGTACTTAATGGATTTGATGGTATCCAGACATATTTAGTTACACTGATTCCTCTAATAAAACAGTCATTTCTCAGTGTACATTATGTTAGTTCCTTGGAATGGAGATAGGTGTTATATAGGGAAATAGATTTTATGGCCAGAAATGTTTGGGAAATTCTGTGTTAAACAATCATGTAGAATACAAAATCAATTGTTTGATGAGTGATCAATCTAAATGTGGAAGATAAATCTATCCAGCCTGTAGAAGAAAATGTAGGAAAATATTTTCATGACCATGAAGTAGGCAAAGATTTCTTAGGACATCAAAACAGGACAAATTTGACTTCAACAAAATTAAAAACATTAATCAAAAGATGTAGTTTTCCTTTTTTAAAGAAATAGTTAAATTGAAAGACAATTCATAGACTGTGAGAAAATATTCACAATACATATATCTGACAAAGTACTCACATCAAAATACTGATATCAGAATATATAAAGAACTACAAATTAATAATAAAAAAGACAAAACTAAAAAAGATCAGGCAAAAGGCTTGAAGAGATACTTGACATAAAAAATATATAAACACTCAATAAGTGCATGAAAAGGTGCTTAACATTAACAGTAATCAAGAAAATGCAATTAAAACCATGATATAGTACCACTTCACATCAACTGCAATGAGACTAACTAAGATTTAAATACCAAGCATCAGAAAATATATGAACTGGCTGTGATACACTGATAACAGGAATATAAAGTGGTATGATCACTTTGGAAAAGAGTTTACCGCTAAACAGATAGCTACTGGTAGCTATAATTGCACTCCTAGTTGAACTTCTCAGCATCTGTATATTTATATATATTATTTGACACACACACACACACACAGTGAAAACCTTGCTGCACCCAAGAGGAATAAGAGTATGTCCACAAAAATACTGGTATAAAGAACGTTCATAGCAGCTTTATTTATAATGGGAATGAACTACTAGTTCACACAGTGTACATGAACTAGTGTGATTCACAAAACAACAGAAACATTGTATCAAGGGAAAGAAGCAGGCACAAACTAGTACCTACTATAAGAATATGTGAAACTAAGCTATGGTGATAAAAATCATTTAGGATGATTGCCTCTGGAGAAGGTCTTGGGGTAACTAGAAAGGAATACCAGGAACTTTGTGGAGTAATGGAAATGTTCTCTCTCTTAATTTAGGCGGTGGTATTACAAGTGTATACTTTTTTTAGCTTTTAATTTTGATGTACATAATTTTCAATTTACAGAAAACTTGCAAAGCCAGGACAAGAACTTCCGTATTCTGTATCTAGGTTCCCCAACTGTTAGGCGTATGTATTTGTTGAAATTAATTGAACCATATGCTTCAAATATGGATGTAAATGTTACCTTAATAAATAAAGTGGGGGGAAAAGCTATTTTACTGAATAACTTCTCAGAATTAGTTAAGTCTCCAAAAAATGTATACTTTATGTATTACCTCCCTAATTTTTTTGGATGAGAAACCTAGTTTTCAACAAAAACCTGCTGGGCCAATGTCTCAATGAATGCTCATTGGGACCCAATGCTCTAGTACAGCACTTCTCAGCCCTGAGCGCTCATTGGAATCACCTGAGGAGCTTTTCAAACCTTCTAAAGTCCAAGCTGCACCTCAGTCTAAATAAATTACACTCACCAGTGGAGCCAAGGAAGCAATCTGTTTATATCCCAGGTGAGAGCTGGGCGTGACACTTATAATCCCAGCTACTTGGGAGGCTGAGGTTGGAGGATCACTTGAGCCCAAGAATTTGAATCCAGCCTGGGTAATACAGTGACACTCCCATTTTAAAACAAAACAACAACAACAAATAAATCTCAGATGAATCCAGTGTGAGCCATGGCTGAGAACCACTGTTTTACGAAAATATCATCTCACTTTTAAGAATTGACACTTGCCCACGGTAGGGTGGCCGAGTGGTCTAAGGCGCTGGATTAAGAATTGACACTTGCCCAATTAGACAGAGGCTCACACTTAATAAACATTACCAAGACCAGCAACCTGGTGTCCTCCCTCGATGGATATCTGCATTGGGAGCAGGGATCTATCGTACTGATTAGTGCCCACCTGGCTGGCTCTCTGACTGTAGGACCCTGGCTTCTCCCCTTCAGACCTCTGTTTCCTGCCTGCAGTTCACTTCAGTGGATGTCCTCTCTGGACAAGGTGCCCAGGTAGACCTAGAGTATTTGCCTATTTTTTTCCAACCCAGCTCTATACTATTAAGTGGTCTGATTGGTTGCCTAGCCCCCTGTCATGTGACCAGCACCCAATGAGAACAAGGCTTTGGTTTCTTGGGCAGTTCAGTTTGTATACTGAACTTTCTCAAGCCATCCTACTTCCCACTGTGTTTCTAGACCTGTTTCTTATCAAAGCTTCTGGTCTCTTGCCTCATTCTTTACCACAGTCTCAAACTGACCTCTTATATCTGGTAATTCATATTGCTGCTTTGCCCCAGCTGTTGGCTCCAAATGAGACTGCACTTCATGCATCTATCACAGGAGTTTCCTCTACCCTCTCTGGTGCCAGCACTTTCTGCCTCAACGAGGACCCCTCTCTGTTGCTAGCCGGGTAAGCCTCCGCTTAAGAAAGAGAATGGGGCAGTTTCTCTGTGCCTCAGCTAACCTCCCTGGTCTCACCTAAATGTGCAGTTCGGCCCTGATAACTCTCACTTGGCTGGTCTTACTCTCTCACATGGCCTGGCCAGCCTCATATTTCCGTTCGTTGGACACCACAGGGAATTAGGCATCCGGCTGAAGCCACTATATCAGGTTTCTGTGTGCTTCCGAGGGGCTGGTGTCTGCCCTACATTCCATTCTACTGACCATGTGGTACATTCTCGGTGCAGGCGGCTAGATGAAGTGCGTATCAGAAAATACAGCTGCTCACACCTCAGAACTCCAAGTGCCCTCTCTGTCATCCATCTCTCCTGGCTCAGGCCTGCCCCTTCCTGACCTGGGCCACAGCTTTGATCCAGCATTTATCTTTATTTCTATTCATGGTTTATATCTGCCCCTAGCCTCAAACCCATGTCATAGATCCCTCCAAGGGGATGGAGAGGCCACATTCCTGGCACCAGGTTCATGGACATCTGTTGTTTTGCCCGCTTGGCCTCTCCACTCCCTTCTCCTGATAACAACACCCAGCTTTCGCTTAAGAAAACCAATACTCACCTCCAGTCAGAAATAACATAGATTCAGCATACATGTCAAGTGTCCCTCCCTTGACCACGGCATGGGCAGAAGTCCCAAACTAAATCATTCCAATATTCACTCTCTGAAATTTGAGTGGAGTAGAGCACGAAAAGTTTTAAAATGGCTGAAAATCATCAAACCTACTTATCTTGAAGGGTAATGCTTGTTTCTATTAAGGGTCTCTGAACCCCTTAGTTCCTGCTGTTTTCTAAGATTTATTCTTTCATCGTACATTTTCTTCAATTCCCAGGCTTGTTTATTTACTTATTGATTTGTTTTCTCTAGTACCAAGAGCTGGTTCCATTGTTTGTGACCAGTACATATAACTAGTTTACAGTCAACTCTTTTTTATCTTTAAAGTAATAATAAAATACTAAGAAATATTTTAAAGAATTATTTCATAAGAGTGACTTATTTCCTAGGATCTCCTTGGAGTTCCATAGATTTTGTCTATTACCTTTATAATCCTAGCTGAGGTAATTGTTTAACATCTCTGAGCCTCAGTTTCCTCATTTGTAAAACAAAGCAAGCCAGTGATCCTCATCTCATGGAGAATCAGGGCAGGTTAGATGAGAAAACATTAACCACCACCTGCTCAGAGCCTGGCACATCACAGGTAAACAAATGTTTGTTGAATGAGGCATTTGTGTATTACTTCCCAGGTTCGTTTTGCTCTCCCAAAATGCTTTCTTAAAATCATGTAGTGGGAAGATTATGTAAAACTGTCCTTGGGACTTAATCATAGAAAATTCTCCTGACAAAGTACATTTTGGAATATTTGGTCCAGGAACATAGCCAGCAATTTGGCAAGCATAACTCTCCAGCAAAAACAAGGCCGTTGTACAAAAGAACCTCTCATGCCTTTGGCCTCTCTGCTTTGGTTTGCTCTAACTTCTGCAGATGGTCATGCTCAACCTAGTAGACAGTGGTATCTAAATTCTAAATCCACTGTCTTCCTAAGGAGGAAACGAAGGTACGAGGGAGACAGAGTGTACAGCTTACCCATTGGCATGGTGTCAATAGAAGAAAAAAACTCTTCAGCTCTCTTACTCCCCCTGCCCCTCAACACTTGAGGAATTATGCCAAATTGAGGAATAAACTCCATGGATAAAGAAATAATAGAGAAGCTCACCTCATTTCAGACAAACCTTCAGTATATGAAGACTATGAGAAACACAAGAAGAGGTAGCAGCTGTGAATGGTGAGTGCTCGGAATGTAGACTGTAGTCCCATAGAGCAAAAGCCACAGCCACTGAGTCTGACCTAGACGTTTTATCCCTCACCCCACTTATCCCCTCTCCATTTCTGCACATGGATGCATTTTGTATCTGCATGAAACTGGAACATACTGAAGCAAGAAACAATAATAAACTTACATTGTGTTGATACTAATTTTTTTTTAGTTCCAGTTTATGCCCATGTCTTTAAAACTTAAAATAATTAAGAGATAGTTTTCATTTTTAAAGAGCCCAACCCAGCTATATTTGATGAAATTTAAAAAAGAAATTTAAATCAGCAATGGTATAATTATTATCCAAATTGACTATAAATATTGATATGCACAGTGAGTCACCTGAAGAGTGTCTGGCTCATGAAGGCACTTAATATTTTTGGGATGAATGAATGAATGAAAAATAAATACCTGTGTGAGCAAATCAAGTCACTTATTCATTTTTATGTTACCACTAAGGAACATGGAGTTGGAAGGAGCCAGGAATACTAGTTCTACCCTGATATTTTAAAGGGGAGGAACTGAAGCCAAAAGGAAGTCACTTGACTAAGGCACAGGCTAGTGGCAGTTCTGGAATTTTTTTACTTCCCTGAAAGTTGTTATTCCAGACTTCTTCCCACAAGTGGAATTTTAATGTACACATGATTGGTTTATTGAATTAATAGTTTTTTCCCCCTAAGTTTGCTCTGATTTTAGCATTCTTTGACTCACTCATATAACATATATTTGTTGCATGGTTACTCTGGGCTAGGCACTATTCTAAGCAGCAAACAAAACACGTCAAGATCCTGCATTTAGGGAGCTTATATTCTAGTGGGAGCACGGCAGGCAATAAAACAGAAAACAAGTCAATATATAATACCTCAGTTGGTAACAAATGCTCAAATAAAGCATAACACAAATGATGGGGATCTATCTCTAGGTATGTACCCAAGAGAAATAACATATGACCACATAAAAACTTGCTCACAATGCCTTTCACAGAATTATACACAATAGCCAAAAAGTGAAAACAACTCAGATGTTCATCTACCGATAAGCAGAGGACTAAGATGTGGTATATCCATATGGAATATTATCTGCCAAGAAGCAGCAATGAAGTACTGATACATGCCACAACATGGATGAATCTTAAAAACATTATGAGAAGTGAAAAAAGCCCATCACAAAAGACTGTATATTGTATAATTTCCTGCATGTGAAAAGTCCAGAATAGGCAAATATATAGAGACTGAAAGCAGATTAGTGGTCAGCTAGGGCTAGGGAACCGGAGTAATTGGTGTGTCAGAGGGTAATGATGATCAAAAGGTGCAGACTTTCTTTTTGGGGTGATGAAAATGTTGTACAATTGATAGTGGTGATGGATGCAAACTCTGTTAATACTAAAAGTCGTTGAATTGTACACTTCAAATGAGTGTATTGTATGGTATGTGAACTGTGGGAGCGGGCTCCTGCTGTTTTATGAAGTATCTTCAAGAAAGGTCTCACTGACAAAGCGACATTTGAGCAGAGACTGCAAGGAATGGAGAAAGTAAGCCTGTGGGTACCTGGGGGAATAGCATTCCAGGCACAGGGGACAGCAAATGCAAAGGCCCATTGGTGAATAAAAGATTGAGATGCTGGAGGAACAGCAAGAGGGTCACATGGCTGTAGAGAGACCAAGGGGGAGGTGGAAGAAGAGGAAGTTAGAGAGTTAGCCAGGTGGGGTGGGTATGTGCTGGTGAGGCTTGTAGACCCCTGAAGGACAGTAGTAGCCTTTCTCTGAGTGAGATGGGCATTTGCTGGAGACTTTTGAGTAGAGGCATGGCATGATTTTTGTGCAAATCACTCCACTGCCCTTATAATAGATCTGAAAATTAACTGGTTTCACAACAGCATGCAGAAGACATTTGGCTTTACTTCTGGGCCTAAAGTTCAGAAAATAAACAGAATCAGGGCAGGGGTCTCCCTCACCCAGGCCTGCTGGCAGCATTGCCCTGTCATTGCTGTCAGAACCAGAGAGAGGTCAGGGAGGAGCCTGGAGCTCTGAGACTAGATCTGGTCTAGTCTTCACCTGGTCTTGGCAAGTTTTGTAAAAACTTTCTTCATGAGAGGAGACAGCCATCAGGTTAACCAGTAATTGTATTTGACACTAAGAATGCCAGGCCATAAAAGGATTATCTAATATAACTGGAAGGTTCCAAGACCAGTGATAGAGAGGCACAGTGGAAGCTGACTCTGAGTCCCTGCCTAAACAAAAGGACAGGCAGAGAGAAGATAAGTTACTGAGTTCATGGACTTTAAAATGCATTTCTCTATCCTTAGCTTCTCTCTGTGTACAGTGCTTTTATTTTTCCAAGAGACACTGCAGAATCAATGGGGTGAAAAGGGGAGGTGAGAGGAAAGAAGTAACAAAGTTTATTTACTTTAATAATGACTTATAATTGCCTTATTGTCTTTCAGAACTCATTTTTAAATATTTTCCCTTCCTTGGCACTTCAAATCAAACTATTTTAAAAATGTACACATTCTAAAACATCTTATTTTCTGTGGGTGAAGTTTAAGGAATAGATAATTCTCCCTGTAAGATGTATTCTGCTTGGCTAACTTCACCATGGGCAACTTGCATTTACTTAAGTAAAAGAAATGATAGGGCCACGTACAAGATATTTTGACAGAATGCCTAATGGTCTGGTTACTAGAGAATTATGTTGGAGGAGGTGAGAAATGCCATCTTGAGTCCAATAGTTCTCAGTATCTCAGAGGGCATTCAACAGGAAAACAGGAAATGCTGGTTGAATGGATGCATTTATAGAGAGCTGGTAATATACTTTTTCTGGACTCTTAAGAATGAGCCATCCAAAACACAATAAATAAAATTGTATGCACTCTGGGAAAAGATCTGGATAATTAAGATGAATAACCTATTGTAGGAAGAGTTCTCCTTGAGCGTGCTTATTATTCTTCAGGGAATTGAGACAAGTTTGGGGAAACAAGGTTGGTTTTATCAGGGCATCCAGGTGATCAACAACCCAACTGAATAGACCAAGTGTGTGGAAGGCTCAAGGACCAAGCTAAAGAGCTGTGGCATTTACAGAATTAGGATGTAAGGTGAGTTTAGGGACCAAGGTTGTTTGGAGTGGGGAGTGGTCTGATCAAGGGATCAACTTTTATCCTCTTTCTTCCCATCTTTGACCATACACTCTCTATCCTCTTTTCTTTCTTGTCCTTTTTCTCTCCATGCCATTTTCTCTATGTGTGTACTATTATACTGAACTGAAGCCTATTTTTATTGAGGACTGGGTATTTACTGAAGAGAAGTATTAGGTTCCCGTGTATATTTTTCATTTATTCTTCCGCAGTTTGCCTGGGAAAGAAAACTAAAACAAGAAACAGTAAGCTCTATGCTTACTTGTAAAAGTGGTCAACTGAAAAAAAAAAAAAAACTTTACAAGTGGATTCCTTCTTTTTCATGGGTTGATGGTTTTTGACAGGGGAAAGAAAAAAACCTTCCCCACTCACTCCAAATCTACACGGAAGTGCTCAAAAAGATTCCTTCAATCAGGAAAAAAAGTGATGAATTTGAAAGGGAGAAAGGCTATCCTATTTATGTTATTTAATAGATAGAAATTGATTTTCGATAGGAAAGCAAGCAGCTGCAGACACTGTGTTCAGCTCTCACGAGAAATGGTTGCTCTATTTTAGGGTTCTTGCCAAAGCTGGAGCAGGTGCTGGCTTTTTTTCCTTCTTTTTAACTCACTCCTAGCTCTCAAGGGTTTAACTGGCCAGAAGGAGGCTGACAGTCAATGGACCTATGCCCAAATGGGCTGCAGCTCAGGCAGCACAATGCTGCGACCAGCTCGATGCTCTGATACAACTTTCAAAGCCCTTCTGAAATAGTTGGCTCGGTGGACTCCCACTCACATTATAATTAGAATCGCACCTGCTACGTCCAGCATGTGTTAAGTTTCTGAAAATACTAGAGAAGGAAGACAACAAAAATATTCATACTGATGTCCTTAAAGGGACTGTAGTTCTAGGACTTTGCGGGTGTGGGTGAGAGAGGAAGGGGGTAGGAATAGTCATTCGCCTTTGCTTCTAAAGTATTCTAGTTAATGCAGGGGTGTGGGAACCCTTTGAGGCAAACTGTGGCAAAACGTTTTTTTCCACCTATTTATTTTGTAGTTTTCAAGTATAAACTTAGTTTTGCCAAATTTCTGAGCCCCTTTACTTCTTTTCAAAATTTTACTGAAATCTTTATTCAAAATTTTGCTGACAATAGAAACCTGGAAGGAGGAGAATGCAAGAGGCCACAGGGAGGTGCTAAGGGCTAAGTGGGTTTTCCAAAGAGCCTGCTAGGAGTTCGCGAGCTCCCCTTCACTTGTCACAGGCTTCAGTGCCCATAGAGCCCACCGGTCACGTAAATGAGAGACTTGGGCCAGGCATGAGAAAATTGGGAGTGAGGGGGATGCCGTTCTACGGAGGATGTTCTTTCTTTAAGGCTACTCAGCTCCAGCCAATTGTTCCTGTGTGAGAATGTGAACTCAGTGTTGCCAGATCTTCTTGAGTTTTCAAGAGTAGCCAGAAATCTGGATGCTATAAAAAAAAGTTCCCAGTTTTTAAAACAGGAAATACCTTATTATAACAAAAGGACCTGAGGCTGGGTAATTTATAAAGAACCAGAAATTGATTTTATCACAGTTCTGGAGGCTGGGGAGTCCAAGATCAAGGCACTAGCAGATTTGGGTGACTGCTGAGAGCTGCTGTCTGCTTCCAAGATGGCGCCTGGTTGCTGAATCCTCCGCAGGGGAGGAACAGCAGAAGGCGAAAGGGCAAGTGAGCTGAGTGCTGCATGAAGCCTCTTTTATAAGGGCCTTAATTCCATTCACGAGGCAGGGGCCATCTTGGCCTAATCAACTCTTAAAGATACCCCTTTTAATATTATTGCATTGGCCACACCTGAATTTTGGAAGGGACACTTTCAAACCACAGCAGGGAGTTCAAACAAAACACATCTGTCTGCTGTATTTGGACCATGGGCTGCCAACTTGTGACCACTGCCGTAAAGGGCTTGTTATATGTGTACCACCTACTGCTCACTCACCTCCCCTTCTGTGCCAGCTACGAAACATCATTGGTTCCAACGTGGCTTGGCTTTGCCTCATTATGCCACCTGATTTCCTTAGAGAACTACACTTACCCTTCTCTTACTCACATGGATTGGGTGAAAGTCTCAAGTCTCAGATATGCTCATTAGCATTTTTCATCCTCTCTGGCAACTCACATCAGGTCAATGAGATTAGTAGTGGAAGTTTATGAAACAACTGGACAAAAGAATGTTTATTTCTGCTGAACTAGAGAGCTATATGGTGCCACTATATGAAGAGTCAGTTTGAGAGAGTGTCTTGGTCCATTTTCGGTTGCTATAATGAAACACCACAGACTGGGTAATTTATAAATAAAATAAATTTATTTCTTGGCAGGGCATGGTGGCTCACACCTATAATCTCAGCACTTTGGGAGGCCAAAGTGGGAGGATCCCTTGAGCCCAGGAGATCAAGACCAGCTTGGGCAATATAGTGAGACCTCATCTCTACAAAATCATTTTTTTTTAATTAGCCAAGTGTAGTGGCACACACCTGTAGTTCCAGCTACTCAGGAGGCCGAGGTAGGAGGGTGACTTGAGCCTAGGAAGTGAACACAAGTGGAGGCTGCAGTGAGCCAGGATTGTACCACTGTACTCTAGCCTGGGTGACAGAGTGAGACTTTGTCTCAAAAAAAAAAGAAAGAGAGGGAGAGAAGAAAGAAAGAGAGAGAGAAAGAAAGAGGGAAAGAGGGAGGGAGGGAGGGATGAAGGAAGGAAGGAAGGAAGGAAGGAAGGAAGGAAGGAAGGAAGGAAGGAAGGAAAATTTATTTCTTAAATTCAGGAGGCTGGGAAGTCCAAGGCCAAAGGATCCACATCTGGTCAGAGCCTTCTTACTGCATCACAGCATGGTGGAGGGTATCACATGGCAAGAGGACAAGAGCATACCAGCTCAAGTCTTTCTTCCTCTTCTTATGAAGCCACTGGTCTACCATGGGAGCCCTACCCTGATGACCTTATCTAATCCTAATTACCCCTAAAGGCCCTCACCACCTCCAAATATACTAACATATGAAATGTGGGGGACACATTCAAGCCAACACAAAGTAAAGCCAACACAAAGGAAAATAGGGCTGAGAGAGAAAGAGGAGTCCAGATCGTGATCACATCAAGTGAACACCTGAATCTGGCTATGCCAACTGCTATACCCTTTGATTTTGCAGTTTAATGTACTGAGTTCTATTACGCTCAGGCAGTTTAAACTGAATGTCTTATCACTTGCAAGTAAGAGTCCTGATCAGATTTTGTCATTTCATTTAAGCATTTAATGAACATATATTGAGCATCTACTATATTCCAGGGCAATGCTAGGAGATGCTGAGGATACAGATTTGAATGAGATAATTTCTTTTCTTTATAAATTAAAAATTTGAAGACTTCACATTTTATTAGCACCTTGACACATTTGTGCTTTCTTTCTCCACCTCTCCCACTCTCTCTCTCATGCACACACATACGCTTCTTTTTTTTCTCTCTGAAACATTTGAGAGTAAGTTGAAAAGATCAACTAGAATTAGGACAGTCTGATTATCAAACTCAGAAAATTTAACATTGATCTAATATTACCCATTATAAAGCCCTTATTCAAATTTTACTACTATACTAATATTGAATATAGCAATGTTTAGGCCAGATACAGTGGCTCATGCCTGTAATCCCAACACTCTGGGTGGCTGAGGCAGGCAGATAGATTCCCTTGAGCCTCGGAGTATGAGACCAGCCTGGGCCACATGGAAAAACCCCATCTCTGAAAAAAAAATACAAAAAAAAAATTTAGCAGGTTGTGGTGGCATGCACCTGTAGTCTCAGCTACCTGGGAAGCTGATGTGGGAGGATCACTTGAGTCCCAGAGACTGAGGCTGCAGGGAGCTGTGATTGCACCACTACACTCCAGCCTGGGTGACAGAGCTGGGGAAAAAAAAAGAATATAGCAATTTTTTATACATTTAATGTAGGATTTAATCCAGGATAGCACATTATATTTCTTTATCATGTTTCTTTAGTGTCATTTAATGTGCAATGATTTATCAGCCTTCCATGGTTTTTCATGACTTTAACATTTTGAAAGAGCACTTGCCTATTGTTTTACAGAATGTTGATTAGTAGAATGTAGAAACTAAGATCTGGGCACTTGAGGTTAGTCCGAGTGCCTTCTTGTGATTTGATTATGAGTATGCCTTCTTGGCAGGAATACAATGTAAATGGTGTGTGTCTCTTTTAGTGCATCATGGCAGGAATCATCTGATGTCAGTTCATCCCATCATGGGTAATGTTGACTTTAATCACTTGGCTGAAGTAGTATCTATCAGATTTAGGTAAAGGTACCATTTTCCCCTTTGTAATTAATAAGTAATATGAGAAGATGCTTTGAGTTTGTATAAGTATCTTGTTTCTCAACAAATTATCACCCAGTGATTTTAGGATCCACTGATGATTTTTGCCTAAGTCAGTTAACACAGTGGTTGAAAAATAGTAATGTTTAAAACTCTATTGTTCCTTATACATTTTTTCAGTTGGCTTTCTACTGTAAATAAAAACTTTCTCTCTTTTTCTATTCCCTTTCTATGTTTGTTTTTAGTTTAAGTGTGGACTCATGGAATCTTTTCTTTTCACTTTTGAAATAAATTCAAACTTAAGAGGTGCAAAAATAGAATAAAGAGCTTCCCCACTCTCTGAACCATTTGAAGAAAAGTTGCTGACATAATGTCTAATATCCCTGAATACTTTAGAATATTCCTACAAACAAGGACTTTCTCCTACATAACCATGATACAACCATTTAGATCAGGAAGTTAACATTGATAATTACTATCATCTAACCCACAGACCCCATTCATTTATCCAGTTGTTCCATCAATGTCCTTTATTGCAAATGGATCCAATACAGGAATACATGTTGCATTTAGTTGCCATATCTACTTATCTTTCTTTGGCTTTATGACCTTGACCCTCTTAAAGGTCAGTTATTTTGCAGGATGTCCCTCAGTTTGCCTTTGCCTTATGCTTCCTTGTGATCAGATTCATGACTTGCATTTTGGTAAGATATCACGGAAGCGAGGCTGTGTGTCCTCAATGTATCCTATGACGTGGTGTATGATTTCAATTTGTCTAACATGCTGATGTTAACCTTCGTTGTTTGATTAAAGTGCTCTCTGCCTCAAGTTACTGCTTATAGTTACTGTCTTTCTCTTTATACTCAGTAAGTATTTTGTGGAGAGTTATTTTGAGACCATGTAAGTATCCTGCTCCTCATCAAACATTCACCCACTAATTTTATCATTTATTGATATTTTTAGTTGAATTTATTATTACTGTGATGATTGCCACATAGTGATTTTTCTAATTTCATCATTGTGTTTACTATTATCAATTGACTTTCTTTTTCTTTTTTTTCAAGATAGGGTCTCACTCTGTCACCCAGGCTGGAGTGCAGTGGTGCGATCTTGGCTCACTCCAACCTCTGTCACTGGGGTCAAGCAATTCTTGTGCCTCAGCCTCCAGAGTAGCTGGGACTGCAGTCTTGTGCCACCACGCCTGGCTAATTTTTGTATTTTTAGTAGAGACGGGGTTTCACCATGTTGGCCAGGCGGTCTCAAAGTGACCTCAGGTGATCCACCTGCCTCGGCCTCCCAGAGTGCTGGGATTACAGGCATGAGCCACCGTGCCCAGCCTCAATTGACTTTCCAATGTAAAGAAAAGTTTTCCTATCTATCATCTATCCACCTACTTACTTATTCATTTATTCGTATCAGTATGGGCTCATGAATTCCCATTTTATTTAATATGTTATAATCTGTTACTAATGATATTTATTTATTTATTTGAGACAGGGCCTCACTCTGTCACCCAGGCTGGAACGCGGCAGCGTGATCACAACTCACTGCAGCCTAGACCTCCCAGGCTTAGGTGATCCTCCCACCTCAGCCTCCCAAGTAGCTGGGACTACAGGCACACATCACCGTGCCCTGATAATTATTTTGTATTTTTTGTAGAGACAAGGTTTCGCCATATTGCCCAGGCTGAATGATATCTATTTTGATCCTCAAGTTGTTCCTGATTTGGACAATGGGAATCCCTTCAGAGACCTTTTGACAGGTCCTCATCATTTTTTAGGCACTCCTTCACACAAGATATTCATTCTGTATTCCCTGGCCCAGTGCTGGAATCAGCTATTTTTTTTTCTAAGAAGCACTGATTCTTATTAATGGGAAATGAAATTTAGAAACCAAGATCTGGGCACTAAGTGTGGATATTGCTACTGGGTTGTGACTGCTTTTAAACACTTTTGGCCAATATAGACCCACGTATTTAAAATCATGACTTTATAGTGATTCCAGCACAGGGTTGTTCATCTCTAGCCCCCATTTCATATTTGCATATCAAATGCAACAGCAAAAGCTGTGGTTTCCATCAGCAAAAGCTCTGGTTTCCAAAAATTTCAGTATATATATAGTCATTGACTCTATCCTACAATATTCAGAAAATACTTTCAGAATTCCTATGCCCATAGCACTGCCAATAACAAAACTACTAAGCAAAGTTCAAGATTTATTTGCAGTTCTTTCTGTCATTAGGCTGTTTATATGTACACAATCCCTTTTTTCCCCTTCTGTGTTTATAGCATTCATTTGATATATAGCTCAATTCATGTTTTTGTTCATATTCAATTTTTTCTGCCAATTTTGTTAATTTAATTTTTTTTTGAATTTGTAAAAACACTAACATGGTTCCAAAAGTCAAAATTATACAAAAAGGTTTAATCAGAGAAGTGACACTACCTCTCCTTCCCTTCCACCCTTTTCACACTCTCCCTCTGTAGGGAACATTAACATTAATTCTTTTTTTTTTTTTGAGACGGAGTCTTGCTCTGTAGTCCAGGCTGAAGTGCAGTGGCACAATCTCGGCTCACTGCAACCTCCACCTCCTGACTGTAACCTCTGCCTCCTGGGTTCAAGCTATCCTCTTGCCTCAGTCTCCAGAGTAGCTGGGATTACAGGCGTCCACCACCATATGGGGCTAATTTTTGTATTTTTAGTAGAGACGGAGTTTCGCCATGTTGGCCAGGCTGGTCTCAAACTCCTGACCTCACGTGATCCATCTGCCTTGGCCTCCCAAAGTGCTGGGATTACAGGCATGAGCCACTGTGCCTGGCCTTATCATTAATTTCTGATTTATCCTTCCTGTGATTCTTTTTGCAAGAATTAGCTGGCGCATGAACATTTTAATATACCCCCCTTTTCAAACATAAATTATGTACTCTTTTACACCTTGCCTTTTTTGGTTAACTTTATATGACAGAAACCACACCTTTCAGTATTAAAGAGCTTGTTCTTATTTGTTTAAATAACAGCTTTATGAAGATATAATTCACAAGCCATAAAATTGATCCATTTAAAGTATTTGATGCTTTTTAGTATAGTCAGAGAGTCGTGTGACCATCATTACAATAAATTTTAGAACATTTTCCTCACCCCCAAAAGAAATCTGTACCATTAGCAGTTACTCAGCATTTCCCCCTATTCCAGCAGCCCTGGGGGGCCACCAACCTACTTTGTGTCTACAGATGTGCCTATTCTGGATTTTTCATATATGTGGAATCATACAATGTGTCATCTTTTGCCCCTATCTTCTTTCATTTAGCATAATTTCAAGGTTCATCCATGTTGTAAAATGTATCAGTACTTCATTTCTTTTTCTTGCTGAATAATATGCCACTGTGTAGATGTAACACATTTTATTGTTTCATTCATCAGTTGCTGGGCACTCAAGTTGTTTCCACTTTTTGTCTCTTATGAGTAATGCTGCTATGAACATTCATGTATAAGTTTTTGTGTGGATGTGCAGTTTTAATTCTCTTGGGTATGTATCTGTGTTGTAGGACTTTCTCCTTAGTTCAGCTAAAAGCCAGGTTTTTGTCACACGGCCATTAAAGATTAGGTTCGCAGACACTTTGAAGGGTGAGAAGGGGAGGGTTTATTGCATCAAAAGGGGAAAAAAACGGAAACAGGGACTCTCAGCAAAGCGAGGGTCCTGCTAATAGGCTTCTAGACTCACAGATTGAATCCCAGATACCACCCGGAACCGGAGAGGCCAGGCTCCTCCCGCCTGCAAACTGGCAAACTTCCAGAGGCTCCACCCCCAGTGTGCACTCCTCCCAGTGCGGAGGCCAGTTGGAGGTCCTCCTGCGACCCCTTTATACTTGGCTGTCTCATTTGGACCGGAATTCCTGGATCATATGGCTACTCTGTGATTAATCTTTTAAGAAACCAAAAGGCTGTTTTCCACAGCTGCAGCACCAGTTTATAGTCCCATTATCAATGTATGAGGGTGCCGAATTCTCCTCATCCCTGTCAACACTTGTTATTATCTGACCCTTTCAGTATAGCCATCTTAGTGGAAGTAAAGTGATATCTCATGGTGGATTTCATTTTCATTTCGCTGATGCCTGATAATTCCATTTTCTCTTTTACTGCAGCACAGTACTTCTTTGTGTGGATGTACCAAAATGAACAAGGCAATTCTTGCAGTCTTTTACCCTCTGGGAAGGCTCATTGACCAGTGAGAGAGACAGACTCTTTTTTGTTGTTGTTGTCGTTGTTGTTGTTACAGGACTTTTAGATTTTTTTTTTAAATAGTATTAGTAGTTTCTGTGTTTTCTTTTCTTTTTTTTTAATTATTATACTTTAAGTTCCAGGGTACATGTGCACAACGTGCAGGTTTGCTACATATGTATACATGTGCCATGTTGGTGTGCTGCACCCATTAACTCGTCATTTACATTAGGTATATCTCCTAATGCTATCTCTTCCCCCTCCCCCCAACCCACGACAGGTCATGGTGTGTGATGTTCCCCACCCTGTGTCCATGTGTTCTCATTGTTCAGTTCCCACCTATGAGTGAGAACATGCAGGGTTTGGTTTTCTGTCCTTGCAATAGTTTGCTGAGAATGATGGTTTCCAGCTTCATCCATGTCCCTACAAAGGACATGAACTCATCCTTTTTTATAGCTGCATAGTATTCCATGGTGTATATGTGTCACACTTTCTTAATCCAGTCTATCATTGATGGACACTTGGGTTGGTTCCAAGTCTTTGCTATTGTGAATAGTGCCGCAATAAATATACATGTGCATGTGTCTTTATAGCAGCATGATTTATAATCCTTTGGGTATATACCCAGTAATGGAATGGCTGGGTCAAATGGTATTTCTAGTTCTAGATCCTTGAGGAATTGCCACACCGTCTTCCACAATGGTTGAACTAGTTTACAGTCCCACCAACAGTGTAAAAGTGTTCCTATTTCTCCACATCCTCTCCAGCACCTGTTGTTTCCTGACTTTTTAATGATTGCCATTCTAACTGGTGTGAGATGGTATCTCATTGTGGTTTTGATTTGCATTCCTCTGATGGCCAGTGATGATGAGCACTTTTTCATGTGTCTGTTGGCTGCATAAATGTCTTCTTCTGAGAAGTGTCTGTTCATATCCTTTGCCCAGTTTTTGATGGGGTTGTTTGATTTTTTTCTTGTAAATTTGTTTAGGTTCTTTGTAGATTCTGGATATTAGCCCTTTTTCAGATGGGTAGATTATAAAAATTTTCTCCCATTCCGTAGGTTGCCTGTTCACTCTGATGGTAGTTTCTTTTGCTGTGCAGAAGCTCTTTAGTTTAATTAGATCCCATTTGTCTATTTTGGCTTTTGTTGCCATTGCTTTTGGTGTTTTAGTCATGAAGTCCTTGCCCATGCCTATGTCTTGAATGGTATTACCTAGGTTTTCTTCTAGGGTTTTTATGGTTTTAGGTCTAACATGTAAGTCTTTAATCCATCTTGAATTAATTTTTGTGTAAGGTGTAAGGAAGGGATCCAGTTTCAGCTTTCTACATATGGCTAGCCACTTTTCCCAGCACCATTTATTAAATAGGGAATTCTTTCTCCATTTCTTGTTTTTGTCAGGTTTGTCAAAGATCAGATGGTTGTAGATGTGTAGTGTTATTTCTGAGAGCTCTGTTCTGTTCCATTGGTCTATATCTCTGTTTTGGCAACAGTATCATGCTGTTTTGGTTACTGTAGCCTTGTAGTAGTTTGAAGTCAGGTAGCGTGATGCCTCCAGCTTTGTTCTTTTGGCTTAGGATTGTCTTGGGAATGCGGGCTCTTTTTGGTTCCATATGAACTTTAAAGTAGTTTTTTCCAACTCTGTGAAGAAAGTTATGGGTAGCTTGATGGGGATAGCATTGAATCTATAAATTACCTTGGGCTGTATGGCCATTTTCACGATATTGATTCTTCCTATCCATGAGTATGGAATGTTCTTCCATTTGTTTGTGTCCTCTTTTATTTCCTTGAGCAGTGGTTTGCAGTTCTCCTTGAAGAGGTCCTTAACATCTCTTGTAAGTTGGATTCCTAGGTATTTTACTCTCTTTGAAGCAATTGTGAATGGGAGTTCACTCATGATTTGGCTCTCTGTTTGTCTGTTATTGTTGTATAAGAATGCTTGTGATTTTTGCACATTGATTTTGTATCCTGAGACTTTGCTGAAGTTGCTTATCAGCTTAAGGAGATTTTGGGCTGAGATGATGGGGTTTTCTAGATATACAGTCATGTCATCTGCAAACAGGGACAATTTGACTTCCTCTTTTCCTAAGTGAATACCCTTTATTTCCTTCTCCTGCCTGATTGCCCTGGCCAGAACTTCCAACACTATGTTGAATAGGAGCGGTGAGAGAGGGCATCCCTGTCTTGTGCCAGTTTTCAAAGGGAATGCTTCCAGTTTTTGCCCATTCAGTATGATATTGGCTGTGGGTTTGTCATAGATAGCTCTTATTATTCTGAAATACGTCCCATCAATACCTAATTTATTGAGAGTTTTTAGCATGAAGGGTTGTTGAATTTTGTCAAAGGCTTTTTCTGCATCTATTGAGATAATCATGTGGTTTTTGTCTTTGGCTCTGTTTATATGCTGGATTACATTTATTGATTTGCGTATATTGAACCAGCCTTGCATCCCAGGGATGAAGCCCACTTGATCATGGTGGATAAGCTTTTTGATGTGCTGCTGGATTCGGTTTGCCAGTATTTTATTGAGGATTTTTGCATCGATGTGCATCAGAGATATTGGTCTAAAATTCTCTTTTTTTGTTATGTCTCTGCCAGACTTTGGTATCAGGATGATGCTGGCCTCATAAAATGAGTTAGGGAGGATTCCCTCTTTTTCTATTGAGTGGAATAGTTTCAGTAGGAATGGTACCAGCTCCTCTTTCTACCTCTGGTAGAATTCGGCTGTGAATCCATCTGGTCCTGGACTTTTTTTGGTTGGTAGGCTATTAATTATTGCCTCAATTTCAGAGCCAGTTATTGGTCTATTCAGGGATTCAACTTCTTCCTGGTTTAGTCTTGGGCGGGTGTATGTGTCGAGGAATTTACCCATTTCTTCTAGATTTTCTAGTTTATTTGCGTAGAGGTGTTTATAGTATTCCCTGATGGTAGTTTGTATTTCTGTGGGATCAGTGGTGATATCCCC